>NW_018654718.1:0-348946 GCF_000001405.40 Homo sapiens
TTGTTCAAAAGCCTCTGAGGAAGAAGGATCAGGCTTCCAGGCTTTATTTGCTCCTCAGTTCCCGGTGCCAGCTCAGGGTTTTTGCAAAGTTTAGCTGCCATAGGAAGTGAGAAATTGCTCTGGAAAATGTATATGTTCCCATTTTTGCCTTTGTTATTATTTCAGTTCTGCTGTGGACTGTTGTGAACTGACCCAGTAACCACAGGCTAGTTCTTTGTCTTCCAAGCCCCTTATTGCTTGTTTCCAACAAAGTAGTCAAAAACACTTTCTCTGCTAAACAAACTTTTTTTCTTTTTTGTAACAAAAAAGACCAAAGATAGAAATACAGCATGGCTTTCTTTTTTCCTTTTTTTTTTTCTTTTTTTTTTGAGATACAGTCTTGCTCGTTGCCCAGGCTGGAGTGCAGTTGTGAGATCTCGGCTCACTGCAACCTCCACCTCCTGGGCTCAAGCGATTCTCCTGCCTCGGCCTCCCTAGTAGCTGGGACTACAGGCGCATGCCACCACGCCTGGCTAATTTTTGTATTTTTAGTAGAGATGGGGTTTTGCCACGTTGGCCAGGCTGGTCTCAAACTCCTGACCTTAGGTGATCCGCCCGCCTTGGCCTCCCAAATTGTTGGGACTATAGGCATGAGCCACCGCGCCCAGCCTTACAGCATGGATTTCTAAACAGAGTGGCTATTTGTTGCTGGGACAGGTAACTGAGAGGATAGATTTCATTCCCCAGAGAAGTTTAAGAAAAGAAGAGCATTTAGATGTTTTTAGAATTTAGTAGAGTCTAGAGCCAGGGAGAAAACCAGACATTCTCTGGAGATTCATTTCAGCTAGAGGGTTCTGTGTGTCCCATCTCCCTTTCAGGGATTAATCAGCCTCTAAAAACAGCAAGGGCACAAGATTCAGTACAGAGGACCTGGCTTCCCAACCAACTAGTTAAGTGATTCAGGCAGTTTCCTCAGCAATAAAACAGAAATAATACTCTCTCTACCTCAAATTAAATCATATGGATGTGAAAGCCTTTTGTAAAATATAAACTTTTAAAATATTGAGGCTGGGCATGGTGGCTCATGCCTGTAATCCCAGCACTTTGGGAGGCTGAGGTAGCAGGATTACTTGGGCCCAGAAGTTTGAGGTTGCAGTGAGCTAGGATCGAGCCACTGTACTCCAGACTGGGTGACAGAGCAAGACCCTGTATTAAAAAAGAAAAGGGTAATGGTATATCTTACATAGATATAGATAAGTGTATAAGATATAGCTTGCTTATATCATGGCAAGATCAATGAAAATATGCTTTTTAAAAAAGTAAAGTTTATTATGTAAGCTCTTGGGAATCATCTCAACTGAAGCCAACCACAAATGCAAGGGGTCTAACCTTGATGATCTGGATTTGTTTGGTCTTTTGTATACCCAGAAATCCACCATCCTTCTCTATGTTGGTCTTGGTCTTTCCTGAGAAGGCCAGTACCTGAAAAGTGAGCATTCCACCTTCCACCCCGCCATCACATGGGAGTCTTTTTTTTTTTTTTTTAAATCCCCAGTCTGTTTACCACTTTGTCCTAAGAATCAAAGACTTAGGAAACTTTTTTTTTTTTTTTTTTTTGAGACAGGGTCTCACTCTGTCACCCAGGCTGGAGTGCAGTGGCGTGATCTCAGCTCACGGCAACCTCTGCCTCCCAGGCTCAAGCGATTTTCCTGCCTCAGCTTCCTGAGTAGCTGGAATTACAGGCACGCGCCACCACACCCGGCTAATTTTTGTATTTTTTTTTAGTAGAGACGAGGTTTCACCATGCTGGCCAGGCTGGTCCTTATCTCCTGACCTCAAGTGATCCACCAGCCTCGGCCTCCCAAAGTGCTGGGATTACAGGCGTGAGCCACTGCTCCCGGCCAAGGAAACTTCAAGAAGGCAAAGGCAAGGAGGCCCACCCCTGGGCCCTCAGAGGACATGGACAGGGAGCGGACTCTGAAAGGAGCTCTGGGAATGGACTCTGCCCCCTCTAGCCCCCAGGGCCTGGCCGCCTACACCCAGCTGCTTCTCCTCACTGGCCTCTGCCCCAGGACATGGCAGCCACATCAGGGACGTGGAGCTGGGAAGCGTCCCCCCTTCTCACAGAAGGTCTGTGACAGTGGAGAAGATTCCCAGGATCTCAGGCTAGAAGTTGGAAGGCATTTTCTGAGGGCCACATGATTCCACCAGCTGGAGTTTTCTGTTCCCATTGTACAGTCCTTGATTTCTGGGACACAAGATGTTCTTTTAGGCTTTCCTGAATAACAAAGATCACACATACACTTGTTTATCTGGGGAGATGCCTTCCCGTTCTAAACAACTGACTTACAAATTCTCTTTCTGAGAACAATGCCCATTCATAAGTTGGGAACATTCTGTATGAGTGACTTCTGGCTGGGAAGGCACAGTTCTCAGGAGGGGGAGGAGTTCTCAGGAGACCCCTGTAAAGTGGGCCTGTGCTTAGACACTCAGGTCCCTGTGTTTGCTAGAAACACTTGGGCACACACAGGTGCCTGTTCCAAGCCTTCCTCCCAAGGAACACACCTGCGCATGTGAGTCACATGTCCCGCCAACGTGCCACCTAACCTTCACCCTGAGCTGGGGAGTATTGAGTAACTGTGTCGTCAGCAAAGTCACCCCACTGCTTGGGTAACACCTTCAGATAGTATCCAGGCCAAAACATGTTAAGAAAAAAAATTCACTCACAGCCAGAACACTTATTCCTGTTTATCTTTTAACAATGCAAGGGTAGGGAAATTGTTTGGAAATCAAAACGTGGAAGTTCGTTCATCCTCCCAACTCGTGGAGTTCTAAGGCAGAGACTGGCTAAGCTTTTGTGGGACCTAAAAGTTATATAATCAGGGTGGGGCAGTTTAAATAATTACAAATACGGAATTATGAACAGGGCCTTAGAAGGCGAGGGAGAGGCCCTGAAACTTGAGCTTCATTCACTTAATGGAAAATCTAACTCTGATTCTAGGGGAAGAATCTAGAAGATTCCATGAAAATACAATGTTATAGAGCTTTAAATGACTTTCCCTAAAATACTTTTAATACTTCTTGCCTTAGTGGATCCTGGCTTTTCTTTGACAGTGTCATTCAGTTGAAAACCCTCTGGGTAAAGGCTCTTCGCCTCCTGGCAGCCCCATGCGGGCGGGAGGTGCTGCTCTCAGGGTCTTCACACCCCACTGTTGCAGCCCTCCGCCCACCCGTCTCTCCAGCCGGACCATCCTCTCTGCATTTTGGTCCCTGTCCTCCGCCCACCCGTCTCTCCAGCCGGACCATCCTCTCTGCATTTTGGTCCCTGTCCTCCGCCCACCCGTCTCTCCAGCCGGACCATCCTCTCTGCATTTTGGTCCCTGTCCTCCGCCCACCCGTCTCTCCAGCCGGACCATCCTCTCTGCATTTTGGTCCCTGTCCTCCGCCCACCCGTCTCTCCAGCCGGACCATCCTCTCTGCATTTTGGTCCCTGTCCTCCGCCCACCCGTCTCTCCAGCCGGACCATCCTCTCTGCATTTTGGTCCCTGTCCTCCGCCCACCCGTCTCTCCAGCCGGACCATCCTCTCTGCATTTTGGTCCCTGTCCTCCGCCCACCCGTCTCTCCAGCCGGACCATCCTCTCTGCATTTTGGTCCCTGTCCTCCGCCCACCCTGGGGCCCTTCTGCAAAGCACTGAGGTTCGGGGCGCATGGACGTCTTCCTCCCAGCCCCTCATCCGCCAGCGAGCTGAGCCGCGCCCGGGCCCCTGTCACCGCGCCACCGCTCCTTCGGGACCTGAAGCCTCCGTGCTCAGCGATCCCCCTGCAGCCCACTGCGACCCCCACCCTTGCTGCGCCCTCCGCCTCAGCACGGCCCTCCCGGAGCTATGTGCCCTCCCTGACTTCCTCTTCGCCCCTCCCCTGCCTGGCTCTCCCACTGCCAGTCACCCCAACCCCGCCCCAGCAGCAGCCTCGAGTTCCCTCTCCCCTCGAAGGCCTCGCGGCGGACTCGGAGCGGGGCAGGGAGGAGGCGGGAGGCGGCGGGGGGCGGGGGGCGGGGGGAGGCGGGAGGCGGCGGGAGGCGGGGGGCGGGGCCGCAGCTCCGCCCTCGGGAAATGGCTCCGCCTCCCTCGCCGGGAGCTGCCTTCAGGGGCCGTATGCAGCGACTCCCCACCCCGCGGGCCATGCCAGCGGACGGGCACCTCCGCGGGCGCAGAGCGAGTCACACGTGCATCCTCTCGCCCTTCCCCCGCTGCACCGCCCGCTGTCCAGCCCTCTCCTGTTTTCTCCCACTGCAGAGCTGGCTAAAGAACACTGCAGACTTGGGCCAATTTGCCCCTGCCCAGATTCCTGATTCCCGGCCTCGCGGCCCCACCGCTGTCTTCCTCTCCCCTCCCGGACTTCCTGTCGCCCCCAGCCCCAGCCCTCTGTGGCCGCGGCCTGCTCTGCCTGAGCTGCGCCTCCGGAGGTTCCGCCGCCCCTTCGCCTCCCCCTCCCCACTTCCCGCCTCCCCCCTCACTTCCCGCCTCCCCCTCCCCACTTCCCGCCTCCCCCCTCACTTCCCGCCTCCCCCTCCCCACTTCCCGCCTCCCCCTCCCCACTTCCCGCCTCCCCCTCCTCACTTCCCGCCTCCCCCTCCTCACTTCCCGCCTCCCCCTCCCCACTTCCCGCCTCCCCCTCCCCACTTCCCGCCTCCCCCTCCCCACTTCCCGCCTCCCCCCTCACTTCCCGCCTCCCCCTCCCCACTTCCCGCCTCCCCCTCACTTCCCGCCTCCTCCTCCCCACTTCCCGCCTCCCCCTCCTCACTTCCCGCCTCCCCCTCCTCACTTCCCGCCTCCCCCTCCTCACTTCCCGCCTCCCCCTCCCCACTTCCCGCCTCCCCCTCCTCACTTCCCGCCTCCCCCTCCTCACTTCCCGCCTCCCTCCTGAGAGGTCCGCTGTCGGGAGAGAGGACTCGGTGTGTGCTCCGCTCGCCCTCCGCGAGATTCCCTCAGGGCACAAGCAGCGCTTCCTGAAGCTCGGTTAGCCCCTCACCCACCAGCTGCAAGGACGGGGACCCTGCCTTTCTTATCGCGCATCGCCCAGGCCCTGGCCGGGAGGAGGGCCTCTAACCGGGAGGGGCTGCCCGCTCTTCCGTGCCCCGCCCCGCAGCGCACCTGCCCGCGAACATGAGGCAGCCGGGGGTCCGCTGGGGCAGAGTGCGGAGTGAAGGGGTGCACTGGGCACTCAGCGCGGCCCTTGGGAGGCAGGGCCGCCCCAGCCTGCCCTCCTGTCTGGGAAGGCCGTCCAGAAGCAGGAGCCCCGGGGAAAACAACTGGCTGGACGGGGCGGCCTTCAGTGTCTCTCCCAGCCTGAGAGTCGCTTCCCACCACCTGGGCACGAACCTGCTCTGCGATCTCCGGCAAGTTCCTGCGCCTCCTGTCGGTAAAATGCAGATCGTGGCGTCTTCCCTGTCCCCTGTGAGGATCGTGAGCCTATGCGTGTGAGGCCACCAAATCCCAATTCGTATGAACGTGCTGGAAGCAAGGGGGTCAGAGCACTTAGCGGCTCTCTCCTCTGGTGGGGAGAAAACAATGATTTTCTTAAGGACACAGTTTGATGGCGGAGGCTCGAGAGCGGCTACAGTTGGGGCCACTGGAGAGAGAGATGGCCTCTGGAAGAGGGTGCTGAGTTATGTAGTGGCCGATTCACTGCAGGCTGCCTGCTAGATTGTAGGCTTGCTGAAGGCAGCACCAGTTATCTGTCGCACTGTTCGCTACAGAATTGTCCGCACCAAGCACAGCATGGACTCTGTTAGCAGTGCAGCAAACATTTGATGAAGGAAGGAAGGAGGGAATTAAAGGAGGAAGAAAGGAAAGGAGAAAGATAAAAAAGGAAGAAAGGAGGAAGGGAAGGAAGGAAGAAAGGAAGGATGGAGGGAAGGAGGGAAGGAAGGAAGGAGGAAAACAGGAGGGAAGGAGGGAAAGGAGGGAAGGAGGAAAACAGGAGGGAAGGAGGGAAGGAAGGAAGGAGGAAAACAGGAGGGAAGGAAGGGGGAAAGGAAGGGAGGAAGGAAGGAAGGAGGCTGCTTAGGGGTAAAACGTCTGTAGGGAGGATGCAGCCGGGCCACGAGCTAATAGAAGGTGCAGAATGTCAAGCTGCTGAGATGGACCATGGAAGGCAAGAAGAATGAGGGAATGCCCACCCAGTCCTCAATGACAAATAATGATCTTGTTTTCTTTTGCTTTTTCCTCGATCTTAATTTTTAATCCCCAATGGCTGAATGATGGTGTTCTGTGCAGACATTTGTGTTCGGGTAGAGAGAAGGGGAAAGAATGGCTGGGACTGGCCCACCATGGCCTTGGGACTGGCCCACTATGGCCCTGCCCTTACAAACTAGAGGAGAGTAATTAAATGAAAACGATGACAAGGATGTACATGTAAAACATTTAAAGGCTGGGCACAGTGGCTCACGCCTGTAATCCCAGCACTTCCGGAGGCCAAGGCAGGTGGGTCACGAGGTCAGCAGTTCGAGACCAGGCTGGTCAACATGGTGAAACCCCATCTCTACTAAAAATACAAAAATTATCCAGGCGTGGTGGTGGGCACCTGTAATCCCAGCTACTTGGGAGGCTGAGGCAGGAGAATCTCTTGACCCGGGAGGCGGAGTTTGCAGTGAGTCGAGACCATGCCATTGCACTCCAGCCTGGGTGACAGTGGGAGACTCTGTCTCAAAAAACAAACAAACAGCAACAACAAAAAACATTTAAAGACACACAAGGCCGGGCGCAGTGGCTCTTGCCTGTAATCCTAGCACTTTGGGAGGCTGAGGCAGGAGGATCGCTTGAGCCCAGGAATTTGAGACCAGCCTGGGCAACATGGTGTAAACGTGTCTCTAAAAAACATAGAAAAATTAGCTGGGCGTGGTGGTGCGCACCTGTGGTCTCAGCTACTCAGGAGGCTGAGGTGGGAGGATCACTTGAGCCCGGGAGGTCGAGGCTGCAGTGAGCTATGATCTCACCACCGTACTCCAGTCTGGGTAACGGAGCAAGACCCTGTTTCAAAAATAAATGAATGAAATAATAAAAATTAAGAACACACAAAAGTAGATTCAAAATATTACACACACTTTTACACCTGTACCTCTCTCTCCATCTTTGTGTATTGGAATGCATGAGTCCACACTGATAATCTCCAAGTCCAGGCCGACAGCATGAGTGCATTCTTGTTTTCTCCCTTTCCCTTCTCTGCCAGTAAGAAACCCGGCTCCACAGGGAGTGAAAAGAATGAAAAAGCAGCAGTAGGTCACTAAGGTCCCAGCTTCCCTGTGCCAGCCCTGCCATGGTGCCTCCAAGGATGCAGACCTGCCTGGGGCAGAGGTCTTTAAGGAGACCAAATTGGAACCAGAAGTTTCTTCAGACTGAAAGAACTCCAGGAAGTGTCAGTGGTTAGGGCAGATTTAGGATACCCTATAAATATACAGTAGGGCAAAGTTAAGTCAAGGGCCCCTGGAGCCTTCGGGGTTATGTTGAACCTCCAGGGTTCACCTGGATTAACTCTGTGGTGGCTTCCAGCTGTTGATCTCACCCTAGACCCAGGAATCTGAGGTATGATTTGAGTTAGAAATGGGAAGTAGGGGAGAAATGAAGAAAATTAGAAGAAAACAGTAAATGTATCACCACTTAAAAACATTAGTATTGATAAAATTGACTTCATAAAAATTAAAAATTTCCATGTGGCAAAAATAGCTGAGTCATAAGTAATTAACTGGGAAAATATTTGCAACACATATGACAGTTAATTTTCTTCACATGCAAAGTACACTTAAGAGTGAATAAGATAATCAGCCCCAAAGAAAAATGGGCAAAAGACCTTAAAAAACCGCAGAAGAAGAAATATATCTGGCTTTCTTTTTTTTTTTTCGAGACAGAGTTTTTGCTCTTGTTGCCCAGGCTGGAGTGCAATGGCATGATCTCAGCTCACTGCAACCTCCGCCTCCCAGGTTCAAGTGATTCTCCTGCCTCAGCCTCCCAAGTAGCTGGGATTACAGACATGTGCCACGACGCCTGGCTAATCTTGTATTTTTAGTAGAGACGGGGTTTCTCCATGTTGGTCAGGCTGGTCTCGAACTCCCGACCTCAGATGATCCACCCACCTCGGCCTCCCAAAGTGCTGGGATTACAGGCATGAGCCACCACCCCCGGCCTGCCTGGCTTTCAAACACATGAGAAGGTGCTTACCCTCACTTATAATAAAAGAAATAATTCTATTATATTTCTAATACATTACCAATACATGGTTTCCAATACATAAATTCAAAGTATAAGAGGTATTTTTTATGTATTAGATGAATAAAAATTAAAAATTTTGATAAATTTGTATGTGAAAGAAGATGTGAAGAAATAGGTGTTCCATGCATTATTGGTGGAAGTAAAAATTGGTGCCCTTTCTTTGAAACTATCAAATGCACATATCTTTTGATCCAGTAAGCCCGCCTCTACAAAATTATCCTACAGATACACTCACGCATGTGCACAAAGATATCGGCACAAGAAATTTCCTGCGGCATTATTTGAGGAGCAAAGTCTAAAAGAACCTGAATGCCTGCCAGTAGGGGGAAGGGATATTAAAAATGATTATTGTGCAAAATGATGCTATATATTGTTCACAGATGTATATATGTATGTATATGACATATAAAAAATTACAGAAAGGGTGTAAATAATTTCCAGTAGCGCTCCCCTCTAAGGATGGGAGGAAGGATGCAGGACTGACCACAAAGGCCACAGAATATTTCAGACTTCATCTGTAGCATTTTACTTATTTTTATGTAAAAAAAGAAAAAAAACAGCTATACTAAATGTTTTTTATCAATTCTGGTTGGTGGAGACTTCATTTATTACACTCTTATTTTTATGTATTTTTTCCAAAAAGCATGATACAGGGGGGTGGGTATAAGATGATATCTTTTGTGTAAAAAGAGGCCCCCTGAGCTTGTTTATGTGTAAATGTCCCTAGAAAGACAGTCAAGGTCACAGTGGCTGGTGTGGCAAAAGGCAACAAGGAAGTGGGTGGGGAGACTGGTTTTTCATTGCACGTTCTTACTGCTTATATATTTTGCCATTTGAATGTTCTGCTTACAAAGAATGATTATAAAAACAAGCAAACAGAAGGCATGCCTCCTGTGCCTGAGAGGACGGGAAGGGGAAAGAAAAGGCTGCTTTCCCTTCTCTGAAGCCTTTGCCTGAGGCCAGTGGGTAAATACTGATGCTGAGAGGAGGGAGGAGAGAAAGGCAGAGAGAGACAGAGACAGAGATGGAGACACACACACACAGAGAGACAGAGACACACAGAGATGGAAACAGGGAGAGAGAGAGACAGAGACGGACAGAGACAGAGGCAGAGAGAGACAGACAGAGACAGAGAGTCCCCTGAGAGGCTGGTCTGCTTTGGAAATATTCATGGTTTGCCCAGAGGAGCAAGCAATGTGGGCCAAGCTAAGAGCCTTGAGAGCTATTAACACACCAAGTAGGTAGTGACCCAGGCAGGAAAAAACACTAAGAAATGTCCAGTGTGGGCCAGGCGTGGTGGCTCATGCCTGTACTCCCAGCACTTTGGGAGGTTGAGGAGGGAGCATCGCTTGAGGCCAGGAGCTCACGACCAGGCTGGGCAACAAAGTGAGACCCCCATCTCTCCCAAGAAGTAAAAAAAAAATTAGCCAGATATGGTGGTGCATGCCTGTAGTCCCAGATACTTGGGAGGGTGAGGCAGGAAGATCACTTGAGCCTGGGAGGTTGAGGCCGCAGTGAGCCATGATTGCGCCAGTGCACTCCAGCCTGGGCAACAGAGGGAGGTTCCATCTCAAAAAGAAAAAAATATATATCCAGTGTGGCCAAGATATTTTAGGGTGAGGAGAAGGATCAGGAAGCCTCCTGGCCAGACTTTCAGCCTGCAATCCTATCCTCAGTATCTGAGACTACCAAATCCTCAACAAGAAACAAAAACTGAGGGTCCAAACGATGAAAAACAAACCGTAAAGAACGAATTACCCACGTGAATAAACTTTGAAGGCGTTGCGCTAAGGGAAATGAGCTAGTCACAAAGGACGACTACTCTCTCTACGATTCCACTCATATGAGGTACTACGAATAGTCAAATTCAGAGACAGCAGAACGGTGGCCACCAGTGGCTGGCAGGGCAGGATGGGGCGTTAGTGTTCAATGGGGACAGAGTTTCAGTTGGGAAAGAAAGAAAGTTTCTGTAGATGAATGGTGGTGATGGTGGCACAAAAATGTGAGTGCACTTAATGGCACAGAACTGTTCACTTGAGCATTTTAAAATTGTTATTTTTTTAGAGACAGGTTCTTGCTCTGTCACACAGGCTGGAGGGCAGCGGTGTGATCAGAGCTCACTATAGCATTGAACTCCTAGGCTCAAGTGATCTTCCTGCCTCGGCCTCCCAAGGAGCTGGAACTACTTGCCCAGTGTGCCACGATGCCCAGATAATTAAAAAAAAAAAAACCTTTTATTTTTATTTTTATTTTTTTAGAGATGAAGTTGCTATGTTGGCCAAGCTGGTTTCAAACTCCTGGCCTCCAATGATCCTCCCATCTCAGCCTCCCAAAGCTTGGGATTACAGGTGTCAGCCACTGTGCCCAGGCCTACTTAAAAATCGTTAAAATAGTATATGTTATTTTATACATATTTTACCACAATTTTAAAAATAAAAGAGTTACCCTCCCAGTTGACTGACAATCCTGGTATGCCTAAAACCTTTCACTAGACATTTAACCAGTCTTACTACCTCCTCCTGATCTTCAACTAAACCCTCCTCTGTCTTTTTCCTGTAAATTTTCTGCCAACACTGTGAAATACAACTTTGATACACACTTACATATGTTTTAAAAACACCTAATAACAACAACAGAACTAAACTAAAAATAACAGACAACTCCCATGTGCTGGAGGCAGTGAATCTCAGGTTTCCTTCACACAAAGCGGAAATGGCCAGTAAACCCACTTTGTTTCCCCACTGGCCAAGGGAGAAAAGCCGCACTGCAGACACCCACCCGACCCTTCGACCTCCAGACAGACACAGTGCTTTCTAACAAAACAAAAACAAACGAAAAACAACCCAACGGCTTAAAACCACAAAAGAAACCTTTACCCAATCCAAGCGACCCCTTGCTTCCGTTTGGGCAGATGGCATTTCACCACTTTTTGACCTTTCAACCAGTACCCTTGCTGAATTTCTTTCCAAAGCCAGAGTCATAATACGTGAGAGCGAGCATTTCTCAAGTGCTGGGCTTCAGGGAGGGCCCTGGTCTTTGGACGGTGAACAGAACTGGGGCAGAGGGAGTCCTATCTCGAGGAGATGACGCTGCTGCCCTACAGTAGCCAGCGCTGCTTTTGTAACTCTAGCGATGGCCCAATCTCTGATTGCCCCCACTCTGATCAGCCCTCTTTATTTTAGTCTCGCCTTTGAAATAAGTCTGGGTGACAGCCAAGATGTCCAGTGGCCAAGTCATGCTATGCCACTTCTACCAATGAGATGGTCCCTCCAGCCTCAGCCAGCAGAGACTGTCCTCTGGACCTAGAGCCCCACGAGTGGTGCCACGAGAGCAGCACCTGGGGCCCCACGACCTGGAAGTGTAATTAGTTTCAGACTCAGATAGAGAAATGGAAAGTCCTGATATTGATTGGAAAGCCTAGTTATAATATTCCTAATCTGGCTTGATCCTTGTCTAAAAAGACCTTTTATTTTAGTTGTAGCTTATTTGCCTGGCAAACAGGAGCTCTGGTTTAGGGAGGAGGAATGGGAATGGGGAGAAGTAGGCTATTATAATAATTGAGTACAATTTGAATCCTTTACACATTATGGCTTTTTCGTTTTTTTTTGTTTTTGAGATAGTCTCGCTCTGTCACCCAGGCAGGAGTGTAATGGTGTGATCTTGGCTCACTGCAACCTCCACCTCCTGGGCTCAAGCGATTCTCCTGCCTCAGCCTCCTGATCAGCTGGGACTACAGGCACCTGCCACCATGCCAGGCTATTTTTTTTGTATTTTTAGTAGAGACAGGGTTTCACTATATTGGCCAGGCTGGTCTCAAACTCCTGACCTCATGATCCACCCGTGTCGGCCTCCCAAAGTGCTGGGATTACAGGCGTGAGCCACCGCAATCGGCCCCACATTATGTTTTTAATCACCCTCAAATAGATGCTAATAAGTTGTCAGAAACATCATGAGCTGTTGCTGGGATACAGCCCTTTCACAGCCCAAAGAGCCCCTTGACACATCTTGTTTTTTTCTGGTGAAAAAATAAGAGGACTCATTTTAGTTAGACTCATTCACAAAAACCAGGCGGGCTCATTCTAGAGTCATATGGCCTCCAAAAGCTCAGACCAGAAGCGTACTGTGCTCCTGTCACACTCTAATCTGACTCTCTTTCTGGAAGAATTTGGAGAGGTGAGTGCCAATATCATATTACTTTCTCAGGCTGAGAATTTGAGGGTGGAGTCCGGCAGGCTCCTGAGGGAAAGAGAATAAACCAGGAGGAAAGGGGAGCTCGAGCTCGGCCCTTTGGTTTTCCTTGGAGGCCTTGCTTGGGGGCCAAAGGTTCTTGGCCTGCGTCCTCCCCTCCTTCTCCCTGGGCACTCAGTAGCAGAGTGCCAGCCTCGCTTCCACTGCAGGCAACCCCACACTGCCCCTCGGGCATCCTCTCCCCCTCACTCACTCACAGCTCATTCGAAAAGGCTTTACTCACCAACTTTAAGTTAATTGCTTCAACTAAATTACACCTTTTTTTCATATGAAGTCGCAGATGTGTTCCCAGATGGTGCCTGGCCTGGTGTTCTGAGTCATGGGTCTACAGAGGCCGCCACACCTTGACACCTGGTGAAAGGTCGCCACAGTGCCCTCGCTTGTGATTAGCCCTTTGTAAGTGCAGTGCTCATTTTACCCTGTGGTTCTGAACAAGCAGGAATGACTGAATCCTGAAGTTGAAGTAGCGTAGCTTTTCCCTGAGATTCAGATGTGTTTACTTTTACACCTTTAAAAAAAAACAACTTTATCAATACAGCTTCACAGACATCACTGCTCCCGCCGTTGCTTTTTCTAGCTTTTAAGGCTGGACATATACCAAGCAAGCTCCCCATCACCACCAGGCCCTTGCCCAGGTCCACAACAGGGATCAGAAACTTCAGCCTAAGCCCCACTGCTGTGGCTCAGGTGCCATCAACAAGTCTTACCAAAGCAGGAACTTTTCTAAGCTTCTAGAATGTAGTTGTCATACCTTGACTAGCTGTCATCAACTCCCTCCCCACGGAATAGTAGCTCTGCATACCTGCTGAGATCCTGCCATAAATGGTCAGGCCACCAGCAATTACACTGTTGCCACACCCTGACTTTTTTTTTTTTTTGAGATGGAGTCTTGCTCAAGGAACTTAGTACTTCATACACCACCACCCTATCTAACATGCTATTTTGCAGTGATACTTCATATCTTTACATATCCATCATCAATGTAACATACAGTTATACAGCGAATGCATGTTTAGATTTATTTAAAGCTTTATTAGTTTCTTTGCTCACCATTGCTTTCCATTTTTTGGAGGGATCACTCTTTTTTTTTTCTTTTGTGTGCATGTGTATGTGTATGAGAAACAGATCATACATGAAAAATAAATGAAAAACTATGCACATATCGCAGTATTGGTGGATGAATACTATGATGTCTGAGATACATCTCAGAATAATCTGGGAGGGGAGAAAGTGAGTGACGGTGGAGATAAAATAAAATTGGTTGTGTACTAATAATTATTTAATAATTATTAAAGTTGTGGCTGGGTGCAGTGGTTCACACCTGTAATCCCAGTACTCTGGGAGGCTGAGGCAGGTGGACTGTTTGAGCCCAGGAGCTGGAGACCAGCCTGGGCAACATGGCAAAACCCTGTCTCTACTAAAACTACAAAAATTAGCTGAACGTGGTGGTGTGGGCCTGTAATCCCAGCTACTTGGGAGGCTGAGGTGGGAGGATTGCTTCAGCCCTGGGGGCGGAGGTTGCAGTGGGCCAAGTCTGTGCACTGCACTCCAGCCTGGGCGACAGAGCAAGACCCAGTCTAAAAAGAAAAAAAAAGAAAAATTGAATTTGTGTACTGATACTTATTTAATAATTATTAAAGCTGTGGGCCGGGTGCGGTGGTTCACGCCTGTAATCCTAGCACTTTGGGAGGCCGAGACGGACGTATCACGAGGTCAGGAGATCGAGACCATCTTGGCTAACACGGTGAAACGCCGTTTCTACTAAAAATACAAAAAATTAGCCGGGCGTGTTGGCGGGCGCCTGTAGTCCCAGCTACTCGGGAGGCTGAGGCAGGAGAATGGCGTGAACCTGGAAGGTGGAGCTTGCAGTGAGCTGAGATCGCGCCACTGCACTCCAACCTGGGGGACACAGCGAGACTCCGTCTCAAAAAAAAAAAACAAAAAAAAGCTGTGTACTAATAACTATTAAAGCTGGAGTATAGATACAGGGAGCTAGCTCTATTTTTGTATGTGTTTGACATTTTTGTATGTGTTTGTGTTTGAAATTTTGTATGTGTTTGAAATTTTACATGTTAAAGGATATAGAAAAAAGTAAAAGGTCCTGGGGCTCAATGTTCACCCTGCAGCTGACGAGTTGTGTCACTTTTTTTTTTTTTTTTGAGATGGAGTCTTGCTCTGTCACCCAGGCTGGAGTGTAATGGCGTGATCTCAGCTCACTGCAACCTCCGCCTCCCGGGTTCAAGTGATTCTCCTGCCTCAGCCTCCGGAGTAGCTGGGATTACAGGTGTGCACCACCACGCCCAGCTGATTTTTGTATTTTTAGTAGAGAAAGGGTTTCACCATGTTGTCCAGGATAGTCTCCATCTCTTGACCTCAACTGATCTGCCCGCCTTGGCCTCCCAAAGTGCTGGGATTACAGGTGTGAGCCACCGCGCCAGGCCCGAGCTGTGTCACTTTTTATAAGTCACTTCCTTCCTCTGCACCTTGGTTTCTTTCTCTCTAAAATAATGCAGTTTGACTAGACAATCATTTAAGATCCCTTCCTGCTTTGACAGGGTGAGATATCATTAATCTTTTGTGTTGTTTCTGTTATTTTGTTTTTTACTAAGATAAAATTTACATCCCATATAATTTGCCTTTTTTTTTTCTTTTTTTTTTTGAGATGGGGTCTCACTCTGTCGCCCAGGCTGGAGTGCAGTGGCACAGTCTCAGCTCACAGCAACCTCTACCTCCCAGGTTCAAGCGATTCTCCTGCCTCAGCCTCCTGAGTAGCTGGGATTACAGGCGCCTGCCCCAACGCCTGGCTAATTTTTGTATTTTTAGTAGAGACGGGGTTTCACCATGTTGGCCAAGCTGGTCTTGAACTCCTGACCTCAAGTGATTTGCCTGCCTCGGCCTCCCAAAGTGCTAGGATTACAGGCGTGAGCCACTGTGCCCAGCTGTGAAGTGGTATCTTGTTGTGATTTTGACTTTCATTTCCCTAATGACTAATGATATTGGACATTTTTCATGCCCTCTTATAGATCTTCTTTGAAGAAAAGTCTATTCAAATCTTTTGCCCATTTTTAGATTGAGTTATTTATTTATTTATTTATTTATTTTGAGACAGAGTCTCAGTCTGTCTTCCAGGCTGGAGTGCAGTGGTACAATCTCAGCTCACTGCAACCTCTGCCTCCCAGGTTCAAGTGATTCTCCTGCCTCAGCCTCCCAAGTAGCTGAGACTGCAGGTGCCTGCCAGTATGCCTGGCTAATTTTTATATTTTTGTAGAGATGGGGTTTCACCATGTTGGCCAGGCTGGTCTTGAACTCCTGACCTGTGACCCGCCCTCCTCAGCCTCCCAAAGTAATGGGATTACAGGTGTGAGCCACCACACCCAGCCGAGTTATTTATCTTTTTATTGTTGAGGTATAGGAGCTCTTTATATATTCTAGATATAAAACCCTTATTAAATACATGATTTGTAAATATTTTCTCCCATTTTGGGTTGTTTTTTCGCTTTCTTGATACATAACAGCCTTTACTTTTGGTGAAACCTAATTTATCTAATTATCCTTGGTTGCTTGCATTTTAGATATTATACCTAAGAAATGATTGCCTATTCCAATATCACAAATATTTACCCCTATATTTTCTTCTAAGAATTTTTATAGTTTTTGCTCTTACATTTAGGTCTTTGATCATTTGAGTTTATTTTTGTATATAGTGTGAAGGTGTGAATTTAGGGGGTCTAAATTCACTATTTTGCATATGTATATCTGTTGTCCAAGCACCATTTGTTGAAAAGACTGACCTTTCCCCACTGAACGGTCTTGCCACTCTTGTCAGAGATTGACCATGGATGTATCAGCTTACATCTGGACTCTCCATTCTGTTGCATTGAAATATACATGTTTATTTTTATGTCACTACCACACTGTCTTCATTAGTGTAGCTTTAAAGTAAGTTTTGAAATTGGGAAGTGTGAGCCCTCTAACTTTTATCTTCTTTTTCAAGATTGTTTTGGTTATTCTGGGTCCTTGCTTTTCCATGTGAGTTTCAGGATCACTTTGTCTATTTCTGCAAAAAAAAAAAGTAGTTGGAATTCATGAATCTTTAATTCACACCAAACTCCTCACTACAATGTCCTCTATGAGAACTAGCACGTTGTCTAACTTGGTCATTGTTGTATCTCCAACACCTAGCACAGGCCTGACCTAGAGTAAGCTCTTAATATTTAATGAATGAATGGCAAGAAAAAAAAGCACAGTTTAGAGAATAGCAATAAAATGTACCCAAAGGAACATTACCATACCTCAGAAGCCACCTGCATGCCACTCCATGATGAACTTCTCCATCATTTCTGTTTTTTTGAGACAGAGTCTCACTCTGTCACCCAGGCTGGAGTGCAGGGGCGTGATCTCGGCTCACTGCAACCTCTGCTTCCCAGGTTCAAGCAATTCTCCCACCTCAGCCTCCTGAGTAGCTGGGACTACAGGCTCACACCAGCACACCCGGCTAATTTTTGTATTTTTAGTAGAATCGGGGTTTCGCCATTTGGCCAGGCTGGTCTTGAACTCCTTATCTCAGGTGATCCACCTGCCTCGGTCTCCCAAAGTGCTGGGATTACAGGCGTGAGCCACCGCGCCTGGATCCCTCCATCATTTCTTTGCTTTTAAAAAAATAACAAACTGTGGCCAAGCAGAGGCAGGTGGATCACCTGAGGTCAGGAGTTCGCCACCAACCTGACCAACATGCTAAAACCCCGCCTATACTAAAAATACAAAATTAGCCAGGCGTGGTGGCACATGCCTGTAATCCCAGCTACTCGGGAGGCTGAGGCAGGAGAATTGTTTGAACCCGGGGCGGGGGCGGAGGCTGCAGTGAGCCAAGATCACATCACCACACTCCAGCCTGAGTGACAAAGCAAGACTCCGTGTCAAAAAATAAATAAATAGGCCGGCATGGTGGCTCAGGCCTGTAATCCCAGCACTTTAGGAGGCCGAGGCGGACGGATCATGACGTCAGGAGATTGAGACCATCCTGGCTAACATGTGAAACCCTGTCTCTACTAAAAATACAAAAAATTAGCTGGGCATGGTGGTGGGCACCTGTAGTCCCAGCTACTTGGGAGGCTGAGGCAGGAGAATAGCGTGAACCCAGAAGGTGGAGGTTGCAGTGAGCCGACATCACACCACCACACTCCACCAGCCTGGGCGACACAGCAAGACTCTGTCTCAAAAAATAAAAATAAAAATAAAATAAAATAAATAAATCAATAGCACCTTATTTATTTATTTGGGTTATTTCCAGGCTTTTGCTATAATAAATCATGATGTTGTTACATATTTCCTTATGTCCCTCATACAGGAGGTTCTATGCCTAGCAGTGGAATTCTGGGGTCTTAGGATATGCACGTATTCAACTATACCTGGTAATCCAAACCTTGCTCCAAAGTGGGTATACAAATTTACATTTCCACCCAAAGTAGGTGAGAATTATTACCATTGTTCTTTCCTTCTGGGTTCAGTTTTCTTCTTCTGCAAGTATACACTTTAGCTGTTTTTTTTGTTTTTTTTTTTTCAGAGAGGAACCGAATGTTAAACTCTCCTGGTCTTTGTTTTATTGAAAATGTCTTTATTTTATTGAAAACATCTTTATTTTGTTTGCACTCTTGAGTGAGAACTTCTATGAATATAGAATTCTAGATTGATAATGTTTTTGTTTTTTTCTCAATACTTTGAAAATACTATTCCATTATCTTTGGGCCTTTATTGTTGGATTTAATTGTAGTTCTTTTGTCTTCTGTCTCTGGTAGCTTCTAAGATTTTTGTCTGTGGTGCCTGCAATTTCACCATGATACGTCTAGGTGTAAATTTCTTCTTGTTTATTGGTTTGGCACTTGTCATGATTTCTGAGTCTGAGGATTCATATCTTTCATCAATTCTCGGAATTTTTTTTTAATTCTGGGAAATTATCAGTGATGATCTCTTGAATATTTATGATCCTCCGTTCTCTCCCTTTTCTCCTTCTGGATTACCTATGAGTGTTACAGTAGACATATTATCCTCCTTGCTTCCAAATCTCTCTCTCTTTTTTTTTTCCCTAGACAGAGTCTTGCTCTGTCACCCAGGCTGGAGTGCAGTGGCGTGATCTTGGCTCACTGCAACCTCTGCCTCCCAGGTTCAAGCAATTCTTCTGCCTCAGCCTCCCGAGTAGCTGGGACTACAGGTGTGTACCACCACGCCTGGCTGATTTTTGTATTTTTAGTAGAGATGGGGTTTCACCATATTGGCCAGGCTGGTCTCAAACTCCTGACCTAAAATATCCACCCGGCTCGGCCTCCCAAAGTGCTGGGATTACAGGCGTGAGCCACGGCACCCGGCCGCCAAATCTCTATTTTCTGTTTCTCATTTTATGCTGTCTTCTGGGTAAATTCAACCAGCTGATTTGGCTGTGTCGAATCTGCCGTTTAACTTATTCACTAAGTTTTATTTATAATTTCTGGAAGTTTGATTGTTTTGCATTTCTACCTGTTCTTATTTCATTCACTCTTGTTTATTCTTGCATTTCTTCTTTTACACATTTTAAATGTGTAAAAATACACATACACATTAAAAATACTAACTTTATCGTATATCCTCTATCATATTGTTCTAAAAGTAAACCTTAAGCTCACATAAGGCACAGGCTCATGGTTATTAATTCCTCAGGGAAGGTTTTTTTTTTTCCCCTTGTCCCCTACCTTCTAGAGCAAATGAAGCTTGAATTCACAGGTACTGTAGTGGTCTTGGTTCCCTTTGTGTTTCAGGCACCTAGTTATTTAACTTTCTTTCTTGAGTGTTCAGCTTTGTATTTATTTTAGTTTTTGGAGACAGAATCTCATTCTGTCACCCAGGCTGGAGTGTAGTGGCATATCCATAGCTCACTGCAACCTCAAGCTACTGGGTTCAAGAGATCCTCCCACCTAAGTCTCCCAAGGAGCTAGGCCTACGGGTACATGCCACCATGCTTGTTTTGTAGAGATGGGGGTCTTGCTATGTTGTCTAGGTTGGTCTCGAACTCCTGGCTTCAAGTGATCCTCCTGCCTTGGGCTCCCAAAGTGTGCTGGGATTACAGGCAGGAGCTACTGCACCCAACCTGGCTTTTTTTTCCCCCTGAGATGGAGTCTCACTCTGTCGCCCAGGCTGGAGTGCAGTGGTGCGATCTCGGCTCACTGCAACCCCCCGCTCCCGGGTTCAAGCGTTTCTCTTGCCTCAGCCTCCCAAGTAGCTGGGATTACAGGTGCCCACCACCACACCTGGCTAATTTTTGTATTTTTAGTAGAGATGGGGTTTCACCATGTTGGCCAGGCTAGTCTTAAACTCCTGACCTCGTGATCTGCCCGCCTTGGCCTCCCAAAGTGCTGGGATTACAGGTGTGCACCACCCCGCCCGGCCCTGGCTTTGTATTTAAAAGAAGCCTTATTGAGTTTACTCAGCAGTTGTAGGTGTTTGTAGCAGGATAATTTTCAGATTATCTGGTCTGCCCATTTGTTAAACTTGAGATCTATTAATTAACTCTATGTTTTCATTAAGCCATTTTTTATTATGGTAAAATACACATACCATAAAAATTATTAATTAACATTTAATAGGATGAGTAAAATTGCAGACAGAGAGCCCATTTCAGTCGTGCCACTGCACTCCAGCATGGGCAACAGAGCGAGACTCTCTCTCAAAAAAAAAAAAGAGCCCATTTTAGTTGCTGTGTGAGGAAGGACTTCGTAATAGGCTAGTAGGAAGCAAAGGATTTCCAAGGAAGGAGAGAGAGGCAGAAAGTGAAGAATATATTTTGGGAATGGTAAATAGTTGGTTTGGCAGGAGCTTGGTACGTGGTACATGTAATAATAATGTGAGTGAATTTCTGAAATATTAAGTTAGGGCCAGATTGTGGAGAGCCTTGGATTTCAGCTTAAAGGAATTCGGACTTTGAGAGCTTTTGAAAGTTTTTGAACTTAACTCATTTTGAAAGTGGGTCTTGGCAGCAGTAGATGGAGTGGATTGGAGGATGTTGAGATTGACGACAGGGAGACCAATTAGGAACATATTGGAGTAGTCCAGGGAGGCATGAAGGCACAGAATAGGGATAAGGTCTGACAAAGGCTCAGAGCTGTTGAAATGACCAAAGCATAATTGTAGTTATTAACCAAATTGGGGACAAGAGGAGATGCCAATACAGACATATGACAGCATTCTCTAGAGTAAGTCACTTCCCAGCGGAATAGCATTATGAACTCTTAGAGACTTGCTGGTGTCTTCTAATGAAGTCACATGCTGTTTATAAAATGTCGGCTAATTGGCCTATGGAGCCATCCAGAGCCCTCCTTTGATCTGAACCCAGACTTGAAAAAGCATGCGTCAGTGCAATTTGAAAAACAGTATTAAAATAGAGAAAGTAGAGTAAAACAGATAGATCTGTAGCTCTACAGAGTATAAACAACCGTTTTTAGCATCAGCTCAAAGAGTTTTAAGTGGTCTCCCGTTATTTGCTTCTACCCTTAATAAGATCTTCTAAAATCATTGCTCTGGACTTTCAATCTTCAAATTTCTTAGCAGGACAATTTAATCATCACCTATTTCTATTGGGTTATATATCTTTTTTTTTTTTTTTTTTTTTTTGAGACAGAGTCTTGGTCTGTTGCCCAGGCTGGAGTGCAGTGGCGCCATCTCGGCTCACCGCAACCTCCGCCTCCCGGGTTGAAACAATTCTCCTGCCTCAGCCTCCTGAGTAACTGGGATTACAGGCATGCACCACCTCGCCCAGCTACTTTTTGTATTTTTAGTAGAGACCGGGTTTCACCATGGTGGTCAGGCTGGTCTCAAACTCCTTACCTTGTGATCTGCCTGCCTTGGCCTCCCAAAGTGCTGGGATTATAGGCATGAGCCACCGCACCCAGCCTGGGTTTTATATCTAGTTAGCATGGTGACAACCCAGATAACTTGGTTTGCATTTGTTTTCCCATTGCTCTAGTATGTTCCAAGGTCGTTTTCATATATATCCTGTATGTGAATTCCCCTTTCCCAAATTGTTGTGGATTGTATCATAACTTGTCAATTAGCTAAATGTAAATGAGCATCAGCTTTCTAGAGATTTAATTTTTTTTTAGCGTTTAATTGCTGAATGGAAAGCAATAGCACTATGAAGCCAAGAAGTTATTTGGAGAAGAACTTGAATTGCTTGATTCTGAGGATGGGTAATCAAAATGTGATTGTGAAGAAATGGAGTTATTGTATATGTTATATATAATTTATTATATATGTTATATATAATTTATTACATATATATTTAAAACTTGAATGATATATTGAAATTACATTGAGCGTACTAATAAAAAGCATTCAGATACACTTGGCTCCCTTTTTCCCCTTTCCTTCCTTCTATTAACAATTATTGAGCACTCAGTGTGGGCCAGGCACTGTGTTATATGCTGGAAGTTATAGTGGTTTATTCTTCAATTTTGAAATAATTTGGCAGTTGATAAAAATCTTTAAAGTTTGTTTTTTTTAAAATAGTCAGTTCTGGCCGGGCGCGGTGACTCACTCCTGTAATCCCAGCACTTTGGGAGGCCAAGGTGGGTGGATCACCTGAGGTCGAGAGTTCGAGATTAGCCTGGCTAACATGGTGAAACCCTGTCTCTACTAAAAATGCAAAATTAGCTGGGCATGGTGGTGCACGCCTGTAATCCCAGCTACTCGGGAGGCTGAGGCAGGAGAATTGCTTGAACGGGGGAGGCGGAGGTTGCAGTGAGCTGGAATTGTGCCACTGCACTCTAGCCTGGGCGACAGAGTAAGACTCCGTCTCAAAAAAAGTCAGTTCTTGGATTTTGATGACATGGTACTATGTAGGGCTTACAGGGTTATTAGTGCCCTGAGTCCACACTTCACAGAGTTATTAGATTTAAATTTTCAAATTTTATTTTAGAGACAGGGTCTTTTTCTGTTGGCCAGACTGGAGTGCAGTGGTGCAATCATAGCTGACTGAAGCCTGGAACTCCTGGGCTCAAGCAATGCTCCCACTTCAGCCTCCTGAGTAGGTCGGACTACAGGTATGCACCACTACACCTGGCTAGTTAAAAAAAATTTTTTTTTGTAGAGACAAGGGCCTTACCATTTGCCCAGGCTGGTACTGAACTCCTAGGTTCAGGCAATCTTCCCACCTCGTCTTCCCAAAGTGTTGGGATTACAGGCATGAGCCACCTTGCCCGGCCTCATCATTAGACTTAAAGATCTTTTTGTCTTTGGTAGTTGTTTTACAATTTTAAACAACTAGTGGCTGTAGTAGGCATTCTTAACCAGGAATAAAGTCATAAATGTAAATGTATGGTCTCGGAGGAGCAGGGGCAGTCCTCTGTGAATCTGTAAATATTTGGTGTATATAGTTATTTTTCTGAGGGTATAGATGCTCAAAGGAGCCTATAACCCAAAAAAGGTTCAGAGCAACTGTTTGCCTTGCTTCATTCAGCTTCCAGAATAGTGGCCTTTGTTACGTAGACTAGTGACTATGTGCTTGGGCATTACAGTCACACTCCCTGTATTTGAATCCTGGCTCTGCTATGTAATAGCTGTGTGACCTTAAACAAGTCATTTAACCCCCTGTGCCTCAGTTTCCTCATCTGTAAAATGGCGATAACAATAGTATTTATGTCATGGCGTTGTGGTGAGGATTACATGAGTTAACGTATATAAATTACTCAAAAAATGCTCAGCACATAGTAAATATTCTATACATATATCAGCTATTGTTATTATAATAATTACATGGGTATGGCATTGATGGTAATGATGGTGAAAACCATGATGACTTCTGCCTTCCTGAAGCCACTTAAGAGTGAGTAACAACAGCCAAAGTTACTTAGGAATAAAAGATTAAAAAAAAAAAAAGGAGCATGACAATGGACGGCCACAATAAATGTTACCCAGCTGGTCATTCTAGGAAAAGCTGATACCGCCCTTCCCTTCCTGTTCTAGTTTATGGCCAGCCAGGCTCTGAAGGTTCGACAGTCTGACTCAACCACTGAGAGGAATATATTCCAGTTGAAGCACAGTGGCAAGAGCAATTTGTTTTTTAGATTTAGCTGAAATATATTCTGATTCTATTTTTTAGCCTTGGATGGAACTGGCTGTTTGCCACGGTTTGTTTTTTCCCCATGGAATGTGTGTTGTTGATGCTCTACCATGATAGACAGCAAGTGGGGAAATGGGAACTTTTATTAGCTGACCTAAAGCTCGTCTCTCCTAGTTCTGCCACAAAACACTCTGGCAGTCTTAAGAGACATGTCCTGTATCTCCATCTCCACCTACTGACCTCCCCAGCTGAAAGGGTTAGGCAAAGTAAATCAGCTTAGAATTTATTCCAAAGGTCTTTGACTTTTTCTAGCTTTTAATGACCAAAGTTTTCAGATAATTGAGTTTCAGGGCTATCTGATCACCTTTGTTGGGTCAATTTTGCCTCTCCTCAAATGCCTGAGAATGATGTTTTTTTCATGTATTATTTTTGGGGTCTCTACTTTTTTTCTTTATCCCTTCCTTGCACAAATAACTGCCAGTTCCTGAAGCCACTGCCCCCAGGAATTTGCTTCCTGTAACAACAGGTACTTCTCTGTCTGGGCTCTCCCTCTGGAAAAAGCTCATTCAAGGATCCCCTGATTCCAAAGTGCCAAGTAGAAATTGTATAAATTGAATTAATTCAGATGCTGTGTATCAGGCTTAAAATCCAATAGATATGTAGGTAATTGTCTGAATATTTTCCGCAGTAAAAGACTGAAGTCTAAGGTCTAACTCCCATTGCAGTACATAAATTGCAGTGCCCAGTGCAAAGGGAAAATGAAGGGTCTCTTATTCAAAAGTTATTAAAAATTTCAAGACAGTAACAACAGAGCATCAAACCAAGAATAGGGGCCAGGCGCGGTGGCTCATGCCTGTAATCCCAGCACTTTGGGAGGCCGAGGTGGGCAGATCACCTGAGGTCAGGAGTTCAAGACCAGCCTGGCCAACATGGTGAAACCCCATCTCTACTAAGAATACAAAAAATTAGCTGGGTGTGGTGGTGCATACTTGTAATACCAGCTACTTGGGAGGCTGAGGCAGGAGAATCGCTTGAACCTCAGAGGCAGAGGTTGCAGTGAGGTGAGATCGCACCATTGCATGACAGCCTGGGCAAGAAGAGCGAAATGTGGTCTCAAAAAAAAAACACAAAAAACAAAACCCAAGCATAGGGCACTTTCGAGTACAGGGCCCCGAGCAACTAACTGCATAGGTCATCCACCTAGGAAGCCAGGCCTGCATGGAGCCCACGAATCAGAATCTTTGGAATCTGACTGGAAAAAAAAAATCTGACTTTTGGGGCCTACCAGAATCTCTGGGATAATATCTGGGAATTGCCTTTTTTTTTTTTTTTTTTTTTTTTTTAAATACAGGATCTTGCTCTGTTGCTCAGGCTGGAGTGCAGTGGCTTGATCATGGCTCACTGCAGCCTCAATCTCCTGGGCTCAAGCAAACCTCCAACCTCAGCCTTCCAAGTAGCTGGGACTACAGGTGTGCTCACACTGGTTATTTTTAAAAGGGTCTCACTATGTTGCTCAGGCTGGTCTCGAACTCCTGGACTCAAGTGATCCTCCTGCCTCAGCCTCCCAAAGTGCTGGGATTACAGGTGTGAGCCACCGTGCCCAGCTGGAATTAACATTCTTAATAAGCTCTCTAGATGTTGACTTTTGAGAATCTCACACCTATTTTCTTCATTTGCTTGGGAAGAAGGAAGAGCAATGTTGGGTTTTTGTTTGTTTGTTGTTTGTTTGTTTTTGAGATGGAGTCTCGCTCTGTTGCCCAGGCTAGAGAGCAATGGCGCAATCTCGGCTGACTGCAACTTCTGCCTCCCAGGTTCAAGCAATTCCCCTGCCTCAGCCTCCGGAGTAGCTGGGACTACAGGTGCACCACCATGCCTGGCTAATTTTTTGTATTGTTTAGTAGAGACAAGGTTTCACCATGTTGGCCAGGATGGTCTTCATCTCCTGATCTTGTGATCTGTCCACCTTGGCCTCCCAAAGTGCTGGGATTACATGCATGAGCCACTGCGCCTGGCTCATTTTTTTTTTTAAGAGACAGAGTCACCCTCTGTCACCCAGGCTGGAGTGCAGTGGCATGATCATAGCTCAATGTAGTATCGATCTTCTGGGCTCAAGTGATCCTCCCACCTCAGCCTCCTGAGTAGCTGGGACTACAGGTGTGTGCCAGCCACCATGCCTGGCTTTTTATTTTAATTTCTGTAGAGATGGAGTCTCACTATGCTGCCCAGGCTGGTCTTGAACTCCTGGGCTCAAGTGATCCTCCTGCCTTGGCCTTCCAAAGTGCTGGAATGACAGGTGTGAGCCACCATGCCTGGCCAATTATCTTTTCTTTTCTTTTCTTTTTTCTGAGACAGAGTCTGGTTCTGTTGCCCAGGCTGGAGTACAGTGGTGGGAACTCAACTCACTGCAGCCTTAGCCTCCTGGTTTCAAGCAATTCTTGTGCCTCAGCCACGGAGTAGCTGGGATTATAGGTGTGTGCCACCATGCTTGGCTAATTTTTGTATTTTTATTAGAGACAGGGTTTCGACATGTTGGCCAGGCTGGTCTCAAACTCCTGACCTTAAGTGATCCGCCCGCCTCTGCCTCTCAAAGTGAGCCACTGTGCCTGGCCCCAATTCTCTTTTAAAAGTGTTCGGCTTGCTTTCCTAGATGGGCAACTGACAGCACTTATGTTGCATCTCTAGCAGCATTTCTTTGAGCTCTTTTACTCTTTTTCTGTTTTCCTCTTTCTCCCCTATCCTCTTTTGTTTTACGCTTGTCTTGGGCCTGCCCGCAATACCTCAGGTGTGGCTAGACTTGGCTGACGACATCCAAGGCATATGAGATTATTAGAGAAAGTTTGAGGGGAAGGAGTAAGACTTTTGATAGTCTGGATTTTTCATTAAGAATTTTATTTTTGCTATAGCCTGCTTTTCCTACCCAGTTTTGCTTTTGCTTCTAATCTAAACCAAAAGAAAAGGAAAAAAAAATTTTGAGAAACAAAGTTATGAGAACAATCTCAACCCCTACCTCAGTGATTATTTAGTCACAATCATTGGAATTCAATTCCAGATCAGTTCTTCTTCCTCCACCGTAAATGCCTGCCAGTCCTTGCAACTTATTTCTGCAAATTGTCACTTCACCAGATTGTGACCTCAAGGGCTCAGGGATTCATCCTGTATAACTTGATGAAAGTATTTATATCAAACTATCCTGACTAAACCTGGTCCTGAGTTCTGAGTTTAGCTATACATCATTGAGATATTGCAAGGTTAATAAACCTCTTTAGATTATGGATTTAAAATTTTAGCACAACAAATAAAATGCTCTTTTTTTGGCTTACAGTTCTGTGTGTGTGGGTGAGCGCATAAGCAGTCACTGAGTAGAACAGATGCTGTCTTGAATTTTTTCTTAATAAAAAGATGACAGATTTTTAATTACTGGGTGCTTCTAAATTACTTAAGAAATGACATTTTTCTTTATTGTTTTCACCTGTATTTCCTGTTGTTCCGTAGTTGTAGCTTCTAATACGCATCTTTATTACTCTCTATTTTTAAGGTAATGAAAACTTTGTGTTTCTATTTTCATTCTCACAGCAAAGGAGAGATTAAATGGAAACAACCCTTTATAACTTTGAAATATTATGTAATCCTGGCATTCTTAAAAGAATTTTTTGCTTGCCTTTTACTTTGGCAAAATACTTGTATCTAAAGATATATAAAGAACACTGATGGCCAGGCATGGTGACTCACGTCTGTAATCCAAGCACTTTGGGAGGCCGAGGCAGGCAGATCGCTTGAGGTCAGAAGTTCGAGACCAGCATGGTCAACATGGTGAAACCCTGTCTCTACTAAAAATACAAAAATTAGCCTGGTGTGGTGGCACACACCTGCGATTCCAGCTATTTGGGAGGCTGAGGTATAAGAATTGCTTGAACCCAGGAAGCGGAGGTTGCGGTGAGGAGAGATTGCACCACTGCACTCCAGCTTGGGTGAAAAAGTGAGACTCTGTCTCAAAAAAAAAAAAAAAAAAAAGAACACTTATGGCTCAATAATAAGAGGGAAAACAGCCCATTTTAAAAAATAGGTAAAAAGTTTGAACAGACACATCACAAAAGAAAATATAAGAAAGGCCAATAAACACATGAAAAGTCTCAACATCATTAACAATCAGAAAAAGGCAAATTAAAACCACAATGAGATAACACTGACATACCCACTAGAATAGCTAAAATAAAAAATTTGACAATACTAAGGGTTAGCAAGGATGTGGAACAACTGGAAATCTCATATATTGCTGGTGAGGGTGTAAAATGGGGAAACAATTTGGCAGTTTCTCATAAAGTTAAACATAAATTTATATGATTTTGCTAATTCACCCCCTTATCAAAAGTAAATGAAAACACATGTCCTCTAAAGATTTGTACATAAATGTTCACAATACCTTTATTTATAACAATCAGGGACTAGACGTTGGGCACAGTGGCTCACATTTGTAATCCCAGCACTTTCGGAGGCCAACATGGGAGGATCGCTTGAGGCCAAGAGTTTGAGGACAGCCTGGGCAATTTAGCAAGACCCTGTCTTTACAAAAAATAATAAAATTAGCGAGGCATGGTGGCACATGCCTGTAGTCCCTGCTACTTGGGAGGCTGATATAGGAGGATTGTTTGTGCTCAGGAGATCAAGGCTGCAGTGAGGTACGACTGCATCACTGCGCTCCATCCTGGGTGACAGAGTGAGACCCTGTCTCACAAAACAACAACAACAAAAACAAGAAATTACCCAATCATTCATCAATAGGTGAATGGATAAACAAATGGAATACTACCTAGCAACGGAAAGTGACGAACTATGATGAATGCAATAGCATGAATGAAACTCAAAAACCCCATGCTGAGAGAAAGTCGACAGAGCAAAAGAGTACATATCGCACGATTCCATTAATGGGAAATTCTAGAAGAGGCAAAAGCATTCTATAGTGGCAGAAAGAATATCAGTGGTTGCTTGGAGCCAGGCTTGGGAGAGGAAATACTGACTCCAAATAGGCACAGGGGGATTGCGGGGGGTGTTGGAGATGTTGTATATTTTGACTGAGGTTATGCTTCCACGGGAGTATACATTTTTCAAACCTCATTTGAACTGTACACTTAAAAAGAGGGTGCATTTTATATAAAATATACTTCAATAAAGTTGTTTTTCTCAACTACTAAAAAAGTTCAGAGAAGCCTCTAATATATGTCCATGTACATACCACCTAGGATTCATAAATGTTAAATGTTTTGTTACTTGCTTCATCTTTTTCATATAGAAGAAATGAAATATTACAGATAAAGATGATCTCTCCATAGCTCCCAGGCTTATTCTTCACCCCTTCCCACCGGCAAGTACATTCCTAAAGTTGTATTTATCCTTTCTGTCCATCTAAAACATGTATTCACCGACATCTTCATTTTATTGATGAAGGTATCAAAGCTTAACAAGAGCTAATGCATAAGCCATAGATAAACAATGCCTTTGTCAGCAGCACAGCCAGTAATGATGTTCTATCTTAAGTTCAATCTGCAGGACTATGTTATCTAATCTGCGTTTGAGGAGCTGCGAATGTAATTTATGTAATTATTGGAGTGTTTATACTGGTCTTTCTCTTCAGTTTTTTTTTTTGTTTTGTTTTGTTTTTTTTTTTTTTTTTTGGAGACGGAGTCTCACTCTGTCGCCCAGGCTGGAGTGCAGTGGCGCCATCTCTGCTCACTGCAAGCTCCGCCTCCCGGGTTCACACCATTCTCCTGCCTCAGCCTCCCAAGTAGCTGGGACTACAGGCGCCTGCCACCACGCCTGGCTAATTTTTTTGTATTTTTAGTAGAGATGGGGTTTCACTGTGTTAGCCAGGATGGTCTCGATCTCCTGACCTCATGATCCGCCCGCCTCGGCCTCCCAAAGTGCTGGGATTACAGGTGTGAGCCATGGCGCCCGGCCCTGATTAATGTAGTTTTAAACAACATAACAATTTGATATCAGTGATTCGTTTAATTGCAATTAAGATGGAATACAGATATTTATGTATTTCCCTCTAATTTTCTCAAGTAGATTACTAGACTATTTGCAAAGCATCTAACACCACTGAATCCTAAATAGCTGGCTGGATTTCACTGTTCTATGGACACTATATGAGACAACCAGAGGGACTGATGTGACGACATTCCTTGCCCTTTCTTTTGATTTATCTTTTTTATGGTGTATCTTCTATGTTGTCCAGATTTCCCCCTCAGTTCTAATGTTTATATTTTGAAAGCTGATAAATATTGGAGCTGAAAAGAAGAGTTTAGGCTAGAATTAAGTATTTTGTAATAACGAAGCTGTTAATTTCCCTTTGTAATTTTTTTTTTTTAAACTCACAGACACAGGTCTCTGAAAGAACACTCTAATTCTGGTTTTCACTGGCGAAGTAATTTGTCTTTTTTCCTTCTTAAAAATAGATACGATTCTGATAAGAAAAATGATAGCTTGTCTTTTCTCTATAAGAGAAGCAATATAAACCAGTTTCAAACTCAAGTTTAAATTTGCACTGGGATCTAGGGTATTTTTTCTTTCAGAATTTGAAAGTTGGCTCGGTACAATGGCTCACACCTATAATCCCAGCACTTTGGGAGGTAGGAGGATTGCTTGAGCCCAGGAGTTTGAGACCAGCCTGGGCAACATAGTGAGACTCTCTTTTTATGAAAAAAAAAAAAAATTTAAAGCTGAACGTTCATTTGCTTTTAGCTTTAGATACATATTCTTCTTCTTCTTTTTTTTTTTTTTTTTAGAGATGGGGTCTCACTCTGTTGCCCAGGCTGGAGTGCAGTGGTGCCATCATAGCTCACTGCAGCCTGGAACTCCTGAGCCCAGTGATCCTCCAGCCTTGGCCTCTGGAGTAGCTGGGACTACAGGTGCGCACTACCATGCCTTAGATACATATGCGAATCTCATTGGCTATTGCCTTGGATATCACAATGGAGTTTAACTCTGTCCATCATGTCAGCAATATACTATAGTGTCACTGGAGCCACAACTGGATTATGGATGTGACTCACCTAGTGATGCGCCATCCTTTTCAATAACATCTGATAATTGCAGAGATGACTACATCAGACTAGTTGAGCCACAGGGTACTGTTGGGTCACTGGTGACTGGCATGTGGGATAGGGGTGGAAGGGAATCTTTTTTTGGTGCTGCAGAAGATAAAGGGCTCTACCCTCCTGTGGAGTAGTGTGATACCCCAAGAATGGAGAGAACAGAAATTCTAAGATACGCAGCTGATGCTGGAGGTTAGAGAATTTTACTGAGTTTTTCTTGTTTTTTGGACAGCTAATCAGAAGACAATATATAAAGTTTAGTAACTGAAGTATGGTCAGGGAGAGGGCCTGAAAATTCTGCTTTGGAATATTTAATGGTGACATTTAGATAAGGGTTAAGGGTGAAGCCAGCCTTATGGATGTGGGGATCAGGGGAATGTTCCTCAGGTGCTCAGGTCAGGGACAGTGGCAACATCCTCAATAGTTAAGGAGGTGTGGGTATTTTGAGGAAATGATGTGGTTTGTTTCATCACTATATAAGCATCAGGAACTGGCAGTAGTGATATGTGAATGGGATCAAGGTAACCGAGAACAAGATGTGAAACTTTAGGGAAATGGTAAGTCTGTCTTTCATCTGGTTCAGCACACGGTGAACTGTTCCAGAGGTAGCTTCTTAAAGCCCTTCGTTTTGTCAAACCAGAATCTTTTTTTTTTTTTTTTTTGAGACAGAGTCTTGCTCTGTCACACAGGCTGGAGTGCAGTGGCACGGTCTCAGCTCACTGCAACCTCTGCCTCTCAGGTTCAAGTGATTCTCCTGCCTCAGCCTCCAGAGTACCTGGGATTACAGGCACGCGCGACCATGCTTGGCTAATTTTTTGTATTTTTGTAGAGACGGGGTTTCGCCATGTTGGCCAGGCTGGTTTTGAACTCCTGACCTCAAGTGATCTGCCCATCTCGGCCTCCCAAAGTGCTAGGATTACAGGTGTGAGCCACCACGCTTGGCCTGGAAACCAGTCTTTAAGAGAAAGGGATGCAGGAAAGATTGGAGATCTTTGAAGAATCTCTTTTTAAGAAAATTATCTTTTTCGCTCTAGTTCTGTCACCTTTAGTAGACTCTTTATTAAGCCTAAGAATCTTATACTTCTTATCTCTGTTCTATGTGAGTTGGTATAACGGGTCAAATTCACAATCCAGAAATGCCTGTATTGTTTCTGATGTGCTGAGGAGGTGTACAATTGTCTTCCTTGATTTCAACCTCAAAAGCTTTACATCTTTACCTGGGAACATAGAAGTCATTATTATTATGTCTTTCACAAATTATGTAAACTTAAAAAAATTATATTTTCAATGTAAACCACTCCTTGGAGGAAATTAGTTCCTTTAACATTTATTTCCTAATTTTAATTTCTACTAGTTTTATCTCTTTCAAGCTTAAATGAGTGGGCCTTAGTTCTGTATTATTGCCATCTTAATCATGTTCTTTGTGATTTTAGTAGCTTTACTTTTTAAAACTTACATTTCCATAATGAAGACTTCTGTATTTTTGTTTTTTTCGTCATATATCCGACTCCAGCTCCCTCAAGACCTGTCAGCTTTTCCCTGCACCCTTTGTTATCTCTTGCTGTGGTCCAAAGGTAAGGACAGTAAGCCGTGGGCACAGACTTTCCCTAAATCGTATGGATTTCCTTTAGTCAATAACAAGAATTTTGATAGTTAAGGCATTTACGCCTTAAGAATGTGATAAATTCCCCCTCCTACTGAATGTAAAGAACTATTTTTCTACGCAGACTAACTCTTATATTCACTTTTCTTATAGAATAAGTACGTAACCAAATCTGTTCTTGGCTTCTAAGAAGTTAGAACTCAACGTAAAGATGACTTGTGGAAAATTACTTACTCATTCTGGGTAAATGGACGCAGGTATTTAGTGCTTAAGTAGGTTCTGATATACCATTACATTAACATCATTTTAAAAATCGCTCTGAATTATATGTATTTTAAGAGTGACTGGGTTTTAAAAAAAATAGAAGTGGTAGAGCATAAATCATAATCTTTAATAAGGTAATAAAAGGCAAACACTATTGCTCTGGGCAAAACTGGGCTAATGCTTTTGGATTTCTTTCCGCAGTCTTCACAGACGACGCTCAGCATCCTATCAGCCCTTGGCAGAGACACACGATCCAGCCTAAATCCTCAAATTCTGGCTCTTGCCCAAAGTGTGTAGCCAGTATCCATAGAGACTGCGAAAAGCATCCGCGAGCCGGGGCGGCCCCCTCCTCCTCAGCTCCAAATTGCTTCCTTTTTCGGTGGGAGAAAAAACTCCGAGGAGTTGTGTGAGCGCCTAAGGAGCGCACGCTCCTCCGGCCCTCAACACCCAGTATAGTTTTCGCTAAGTTCCTGGCCGAACCACAGCTCCCACGATGCACCCAGGTTTTAGAGCGGTCAGAGGGGCGGCTTCCGGTTTAGGACAGCGCGGCTGCGCACGGCGTGTGGTCTTATTGGCTCGAACCGCCTCGTGCGATGCGCGTCACGGCGACGTGCGGTCGTGGGGGCGGGGAGACGCGGCGGCGGCGGTCGCTGTCGCGGCGGCGAGAGCGCGATTCCAGAAGCGGCATCGCGGCGGCGGCAGCGGCGGCGGCTACACCGGGCTTGGCCCCCTCCCTCCTCCGTTCCCCCCTCCTCCCCCCTCCCCTCAGCGGTGGCTCCCAAGAAGTCCGAGACACGCGGTGAGGCGGCGACGGGCTCCGGGTGAGGGTCTCTGGAGTGTGGGCGCCGTTTCCTGGGCGCAGAGGGAGAGCTTGGGGTCGGGGGGAGGTGAGAGCTGAGGGGCGAATGTCCCTGGCGCGGGCGGGAGAGCGCGCTCTCGGCCCGGCCCGCAACTTGATTCCTAACTCTGACCTGCCGCCCGGCGCGCCTTGGCCTGAGGGTCGGCCGTGTGGGGACCTGGAGCCGCCCTCCTTGCGACCGCTGTCGGAGGAGTCCGGCGCCCGCTGTTCCCCTCGCCTCGCCTTTCGCGGCGGAGGGTCGGAGCCTGCTGCCCTCTGCTCACCTTCGGGTGCAGTTGCTCCAGCTCCCTGCCCGCGGAGAGGATCTGCCCGCCCCTCTTCGTCTCTTGTCTGTTTTTATCACTTCTAGGAATTTGTTTGGTGGAGGCTTGGGATGGGCTCTCTCAGCGCTACTTTCACAGTGACTGGGGTGGGGAAGAGTTCCCTCACCTTTTTCAGGTGGCGCGTCAGGCAGCCTGCTTGGTACCTGGAGTCCTGTTTTCCCAAGCCCCCGTCCGTCAGTGTTCGCTTCTTCTAAAATTACCGATGACAGGGTTATAAATCAGTTTTTAGGGGGCTCGGAGAGAGTTTGGGTTGGAAACTGTTAGCTCTTTTTTCCTCCTGGCTTTTGATCTTGATTTAAGCGTTTGCCTCTGAAATTTTGACAACTTCATAAGATGGTCCAAAAGTGAATTTTGGTAGAAAGATTTAAATGCACAGTTGGGATTTTATGGGGGTACGGTGACTTCATTGCAGGTTGTTGACTTTTTTTTTAAAATAAGATGTTCTTTTAATTTTTTGACTCTGGGTTTCTGAGCCTTGGTTATTGTCCCCCATTTCTGTTCCAAAAGCAGACTTTTTTTTTTTTTATCACCCCTTCCCCTCACCCAGAGAATCCCTTTAAACGCCAAGAAAGCTGTCATAACATTTAGCATTATTTGATCACAGAACTTTTCCAAATGAAATGCTAAAAATTCCTTCAGAAAAAAGCATCCATCTACCCATAGCATTATTTTTTGGGGGGAGGCTATACGTCTTGTCAGTTCTGAAAGTTTGAAGTGACCTCTTATCAAAGGCCACCCTTATGTCTCCTTAAACGACTCTTAGGTAATTCCTAGATGTTTTCATCCGTTCTGATAAATTTGTTGTCAGAGTGTTGATTGTGATGATCTGCAACTAAAATTATTTCATCAGTAAAGATTTCCACACATGTGGCAGCTGCTTGTTGGTGAATTATGAAATTTGAAAAAATTGCAAATTAAATGTGAAAGGCATATTTCTTTTAACTTCTGATTGTAACTGTCTGTCCTCCAGTATACGTTCCTATCTAGACTTTGGTCTGCTTAGCAGATTTCCTCTTTTCACTTGACACTAGGAATGGGAGTAGGATTTCCAGAGCCTAAAAGAGAGTTTGTTTTTTTTTTCTATCCCTAGGCTCCTTGTATGAATTTATAAATAAATGGTTTTTTCTATCAATAGTATCAATTTAGCTGGTGCACTTTTTTTTTTTAGTATAAATCACATTTTGTTTCCTAAAATGAAAATAATTTTGTTTTATTCTTTATTTCAGGGATTGACAGATTTTAAAGCCTGCAGGCCCAGTCCTGCCAGTTGCCTCTTTTTGTAAATAAAGATTTGATTAGGCCTGGTGCGATCGCTCACGCTGGTAATCCCAGCACTTTGGGAGGTCGAGGCGGGCAGATAACCTGAGATCAGGAGTTTGAGACCAGCTTGGCCAACATGGTGAAACCCCGTCCCTATTAAAACTACAAAAATTAGCCGGGTGTGGTGGCGCACTCTTGTTATCCCAGCTGCCCGGGAGGCTGAGGCAGGAGAATCGTTTAAACCCGGGAGGTAGAGGTTGCAGTGAGCCAAGATTGCACCATTGCACTCCAGTCTGGACAACAAGAGCGAAACTCCGTCTTAAAAAAAAGAGGAAGAAAAAAGTTTTTATTAGAACATAGCCATATGCAGTCGTTTAGGTATTGTCTGTAGTTTCTTTTGGGGTACAGCAGCAGAGTTGAGTAGTTGTGCCAGAGAGCCATGTGGCCTGTAACACCTTATATTTATTTACTATGTGGACCTTAATATAAAAAGTTTGCCGAGCTCCATTAAAAATGATACATAGTCAATGTTGAAAATTTAAATGAGTCAGAAAATTGTAAAGGAGAAAGTAAAAGTTATTTACAAGTACACCACTTGGGGCTTTTTTTCTGTGATTATAGAATTTGTTGGTGATTATTTTTTATATAAATGAACTCAAATTGATAAATGTTGGTTTGTAATCTGCTTTTTTTTTTTTTTGTTCATTTTGTTTTTTGAGACGGAGTTTCGTTCTTGTTGCCCAGGCTGGAGTGCAATGGCACGATCTTGGCTCACTGCAACCTCTGCCTCCTGGGTTCAAGCAATTCTCCTGCCTCAGCCTCCCTAGTAGCTGGGATTACAGGTGTGCGCCACCAAGCCCGGCCAATTTTTTTTTTGTATTTTTAGTAGAGACGGGGTTTCACCATGTTGGCCAGGCTGGTCTCGAACTCCTCATGTGATCCACCTGCCTCACCCCTCAAAGTGCTGGGATTACAGGTGTGAGCAACCGTGCCCAGCCCTGTAATCTGCTTTTTTAAGAAGTATTTCATTATTTGTATTTGGATTTTGATTGCTTTTGTATTTTCTGCATTGGAGGTCTTTCTAGAAAGGGGCTTATGAACCGGGTTTTCATGATTAGTCTTACCAGTCAAGATTTAAAAAGAAAATCCAGGAATAATAAATGCTTGGTAATGAAGATGCTGGTTAACATTTATTGAGCACTTACTATGTACTAGACAATTTCCACTACTTTACGTGTATGAAATTATTTAATTGCTGTGGCAGCTCTGTGAGTGTATACTATGATTTCTGTTTTACAGGTGAGGAAACTAAGGCAAGGAGAAAAATTAAGTAACTGTTGGAAGTTTATCAGCTAGCAAATGGTGGAGCTAGGATTTGATTTCATGCAGTCTGATTTGAGAAACCCAAATTCTTAACAATATGCTACAGAGCCTCTACTTACATTATTGCTCAGTGTAGAAAGTTTAGACAGTCCAGAGATATACTGTCATCCCTTGGTGTCTGTAGGGACTGCTTCTAGGACCTTTGGTGAATATCAAGATGCACAGATGCTCAAATCTCTGATATAAATGGCATAGTATTTGCATATAACCTGTGCATATCCTCCCAAATACTTTATATCATTTCTAGATTACTTATAATACCTAATAGAATATAAATGCTATGTAAATAGTTGTTATACTGTATTGTTTGGGGAATAAAGACAAGAAAAAAAAGTCTGCATGTTTCAAATACAGATGCTATATTAAACTTTTTGGATCCAAGCTTGGTTGAATCCACAGACATAAGAGCCCATGGATATGGAGGGCCAACTGTATAATGTAAAAAAATTCCTTCTCATGCGCTAGTTTCCAGTTTTCATCCTTTGTAGATAACCAGGGGCAACAGTTTGATATAGGTCTTTTCACCTCTCTTTGTGTGCATATACAAGTAATTATTTGCAGATTTGTCTGCATATTCAGAATTTAAAAATTACACTTTTTTTTAGCAGCTTTAGATGTACAGAAATTTGAGCCGATAGCACAGAAAGTTCCCATATTCCCTTCCCTTCCCTCGTTTCTCCTATTGCAAACATCTTGCATTAATTTGGCACATTTATTGCATTTGATGAGCCCATATCAATATGTTGTTATTTATTGGTCTATAGTTTACATAGGGCTTATTCTTTGTGTTGCAGTTTTTTTTTTTTTTTTGTTTTGTTTTTTTAAGATCTCACTCTGTATCTCAGGCTGGAGTGCACTGGTGCCGTCATGGCTCTGCAGCCTCGACCTCCCGGGCTCAAGCGATCCTCCCACCTTAGCCTCCCAAAGTGTTAGGGTTACAGACATGAGCCACTGCACTTGGCCGAGAGTTATTTTTTACAAAAATGGGATCAAGCCCAGTGGTGGCTTGCGCCTGTAGTTCCAGCTACTTGGGAGGTTGAGGTGGGAGGATTGCTTGAGGCTAGGAGTTTGAGACCAGTCTGGGCAACACAGCATGACTCTGACCAGTCTGGGCAACACAGCATGACTCTGTCTCTTAAAAAAAAAAAAAAGTGGGCTGAGGGTGGTGGCTAACGTCGGTAATCCTTGCACTTTGGGAGGCCAAGGCAGGTGGATCACCTGAGGTCAGGAGTTCGGGACCAGCCTGGCCAACATGAATGAAACCCCCTCTCTACCAAAAATATATTAAAAAAAAAATTATCTGGGTATGGTGGCGCGCGCCTGTAATCCCAACTACTCAGGAGGCTGAGGCAGGAGAATCGCTTGAAACTGGGAGGTGGAGGTTGCAGTGAACCGAGATTGCACCACTGCGCTCTAGCCTGGGCAACAGGAGCAAAACTCCATCTCAAAAAAAAAAAAAAAAAATGACGAAACCCGTCATTCAGCAGTCATTCACCTTTTTTGGTGGTTTTCAGGATATAGTGCTTTTGGACTTTCTAATGTAAACATTCTTGATTTACTAATTTTCAGATTAATGACAATTTATTTTGGGAATGGAAGGCTGGCTTGGATGTTACTTTTTCTCTCTTTTTATTTTTCTATTTTTTTTTTTAAGTGTATCTCATAGTGGCAGCAGCTTTTCCCCAAAGGAATGCTTATTTTTTTTGACGGGACATTCTGGCTATACCTAATCATCAAAGTTCTTCTTTTTTCTCTTTATCTCTGGATTTGGAAAATGATTCATTTTGGTTTTCTTCCTCATAAATTCTTTTTGGTCTGTCCAGCCATTGCAGTTGCTAGTCATGTCTCCTTGTCAGACTTTGGCTTTTTATGACTGTCATCAATGTTAGAAAAAATTACTTGCTCCTTATCACTATTTCAATACATTTCCTCTTGGGCTTTCCCTGGGGGCAGCACTGAATTTTTTCCTTAGTTGAGCCATGCAGATTTTCTAGAAGTCATCGTTTAGTTTGGCTTTTCACTCCTCCATGGGTGCTGTTCAGCTTCTAGGAGATTTCTTGCAGTTTCTACTTGTCAACAGATTCACCAGCAGCACCCTCCTCCTCACTGAGACTGGTGCTTCCCCACCCATCTTTATCATTTTCAGCCTTCTCTTTTTCTTTCTCTTTTCTTTTTTCCTTCTTTTTTTTTTTTTTGGTTACAGCGTCTTACTCTGTTGCCCAGACTGGAGTGCAGTGGTGCAATCGTAGCTTACTGCAACCTCCGCTTCATGGGCTCAAGTGATCCTCCCACTTCAGCTTCCCAAGTAGCCGGGATTACAGGCATGCACCACCATGCCTGGCTAATGTTTGTATTTTTTGTAGAAACAGGGTTTTGCCATGTTGTCCAGGCTGGTCTTGAACTCCTGGCCTCGAGCGATCCTCCTCCCTCAGCCTCTTGAATAGCTGGATTTAACAGGCAGGAGCCATTGTCCCTGGCCATATTCTTGCACTGTTGATTTTACTGGGGCCTCTGTCAGCTTACCCTGGAATTCTGCATCATCTGAGGATTTGGAAGAACTGAATCACAGTTATAGTAGACAGCATCATATTCTTATCCTTGTGTGTTTTATACTGGGACAGGTCTTGAGGAAGTTCTTCTGTCATGGCTAGGGGACATTGAGCTATTACCTCTTATAGCACTGATTTGGACTGTCATGTCTTCCCTAAAGTTCTTGTCCATAACATAATGGATGGTCACAGTCATGAGCAATAACTGAGTGATCTCTGGGACTAACAGGTGATGAAATGCATGTTTAGCAAACAGTGATTTCTGTTACTTCTCTGTGGTGCAGCAGCAGAAACTTTTGCCCAAAGGCATAGAAGTTAGAGGGCTTATGAATTTCTGCCAATCTGGAGATAAGATTTATGAGCATCATGTTAACTCAAACCTCTGCTTAGAGATTTCTAGCTGTGTGCTTCAGGAGTGTTTTGGTAAAACTTTGAGGATCATGAATAAAGCTAATAGCTTAAAAGTTAAACACTGTGAGTTTTTTCTTCTTTTGTTTCCTGGGCACTTTTCATAACCTTTTCAGTGTTTTGTGTTTGGAGCCACTCTTCCCAGTGACATACTGCACTTGTAGGTCTCTTGTCACTTTATCCTCAGATTCTGAGTCTGTCCTATTTGTTTCTCTTCTTCATCTTATCCTAGGAAGAATGTCAAGGTGGCAACCAATATCTCAAAACATGCAGTTGTGATGACATTGACAGTTTTGGCATCAGTCCGGATGTTTCTTGTAGAGTTCAGTCATCACATCCAAAGATATCTTGGCTGCAGTTACATTGCTGTCTCTTAACACGATGTATATGAAATTCTGCAGTACTATATCCACTTTATTCTTGTGTTTTACAGTTATATTCTTGCTATCAGTCACAACATGAGTATGTAAAGTCTCAAAAGCTTATTATGGCAACTTGGAAGTTCAAAAAAGAGCTCTAGCAAACTTGATGGATGGATATGATACTTCTCAGCAAGATCAAAGCTTTGTAAAATGTTATTAGATGATTTTGATTCAAGACAGTACAGTATAATTGTAGGAAAGTAGATCTTTTAGCTCTTGAGGAAAGTTACTTAGATGTTCTGGGTAACAGTGACCAATCTGTGCCATAAATATCACCAGCTCTGTCAATTCTTTGCCAGGTTTATTGGTTTTAATTTGAGAATCTCCATATTGGATTTGTAGTGTATATAGTACTGCTGTAGTAACCCTTTAATGTCAGCCAGTGGCTCCACTTTATTAGATTCTATAACTGCTGCTTGTTACTGGGCAGCTAGTTTCTGCAGGACATGTTGGCTGTAGACTGGATCCACAGTGAGTAGTTCTCAGAGAACCCGTACTGCTGACATTTGCAAACCCATTTCAGCTGTGGTGTGGAGCTGTGGCGTTGTACTTCTGGATGTGACCAGAAACAGTGTTTGGGAGCTCAGCAGGTGGTGCTGTCTTGGCTGATTGTGTGTGTGTGTGTGTGTGTGTGTGTGTGTGTATTTTATTTAATTTCTGAGACAGGGTCTTGCTCTGTCACCCAGGCTGGAGTGCCATGGCACAATCACGGCTCACTGCCCTCTCGAACTCAAACAGTCCTCCCAACTGAGACTCCCACGTAGCTGGGACTATAGATGCACGCCAGGCTAATTTTTGCATTTTTAATGGAGACGAGGTTTTGCCATGTTGCCCAGGCCGGCCTTGAACTCCTGGACTCAAGTGATCCTCTTTGCCTTAGCTTCTCAAAGTGCTGGGATTATAGGCTTGAGCCACCATGACAGGCCCTGTGTGTGTGTTTTTAAAATTAATATTTGTGGCTTACTTTACATCTGCATCTACTCTCTTCTTTTTAGTAGTTCTCTAGTGTAGTATTATTAAATGGATATGCTATAACTTAATACTGCTCTTACTGATGGATATTTAGATTATATAAATGGATTGTAAATTGCCCATACATTTTATGTATATTTATTGCAAGCTAATTCCCCTTTAGTAATTTTGTAATAGTTGAAGAAAACACATTTTTCATTTTGATGTGTGTTATCACATTGCCACCCAGAAAGGTCACAGCAATGTAAACTCTCACCAGAAATGTGGGTGGAGTCTAGCTTCTCTGTGTCATTACAAATTAAAAAAAAAAATCTTTGTTTATCTGATAGGAGGTTAAGCATTTGCAGTATATTCTATCTAACTGGGAGATATGCTTTGTTTCAATAGCATTCTTTTAAAGTTGATTTACGATTACTTCAGGTGGAGCATGCATTCTGTTCCCGGGCCTCCCTTAGGTGGAGCTGCTTCACCTATTTACATTCTCTGCTTGGCTCTTGAAAGCATATGGTTTTGTTATCACTGATCAAAAAGAATCTGGGTGCCTGCCTAATAGACTATATATTTCTTGAGGGTAAGGAACGTGTAACTTTCTTGATAATCTACTGGCAGTTCCGGTATATAGCAGGTGGTAAGTAAATGGTCTTTTAAAAATCTAAATTGGTTCATGAACCAGTAACTGTTGGGGTTACTGCTGAGTGAAGTGCTTTAATTTTGTTAAAAATAATATTTTCAAATTGTGAAATACAAACTTGAAAAACTGCAGTGCATGCTGGGTGCGGTCGCTCAGGCCTGTAATCCCAGCACTTTGGGACGCCAAGGTGGGCGGATCACCTGAGGTTGGGAGTTTGAGACCAGCCTGGCCAACATGGCGAAACCCCCGTCTCTACTGAAAATACTAAAACAAAACAAAACAAAAAAAACCAAAAACAAAAATTAGCCAGGCATCATGGCCACTGCCTGTAATCCCTGCTACTTGGGAGACCGAGGCAGGATAATCACTTGAACCCGGGAGGCAGAGGTTGCGGTGAGCCGAGATAGCACCATTGCACTCCAGCCTGGGCAACAAGAGCGAAACTCCGTCTTAAAAAGAAAAGAAAAACTTCATTATAAAATTGTCACTTTGGCATATGTTGTCTCTCATCTTTCAACTCTAAGATAAGTTAAATAGGACGAACTGATATCTTAGGACCTGTTAGGAAATAATTAGCCTATTTTATAAGTACATTTGGTATTTAGAAATTGGAAGTTGAGGAATTTATTAAAAAGGGGATTTGTTTAACATTACTTATGGTTTTGAGTTTTCTGGATTGGAGTATACCATGTGTTAGAAGGGGATATATGTTGGCCAATGATATTATAGATTGGCTTAATTAGACAAGTGTCCAGACAGAAGGAAAAGGGAAGCTAAATTCTGAGAATTGCCAGATTATCTTCAGGCATGGGAAAAATAACTGGAAAAGGACACTTAAGTTTTTTAATGGAAGACTACAACAAAATGATATTTTCTTTATAACTGATCATATTACACATTCTTACTGGATTTATTGAATATAAGAATATTCTTATTTCCACAATGTCTGTGTACTAGAGAACAAAACACAAAGCATATGGTCTTAAAAGGGGCAAAATTAGTTAGCTTATTACACTTTGGCCATTTAGGCCTTTCTTTTGTATGTTTGTTGTTAGTATATCAGCTGATTATTTTTCATTGACAGCATATTCACTTTAATCTTGTATGTTTTGAAATTAAGTTTAGTGAACATGTATGCCTAGTTGTATCCATGTATCCATTCCTTTGGTTAAGGAGGATGTCTTTGTGGTAGGGGTTACATTATGAAAACTTCAGCAGAATGGCACAGAAGATTGACTTTATTTTCTTGAAATTTATTTTATCCTATTTCTTCCAGAAAGGATATCTGGTAACTTAAAATAAAAGATCTGGAAGTGTAATAAAATATGTGTAAAAAGAAGAAATCAGGGAAAGGACAAAGCATATATTCTTTTCCCAAGTGACAGCATAATTCAATGACTAAGAATAAAAATTGGGTTTGAGTTTGCTTGGCAGCGAGGGTAAAAATGGAAGTATGGTAAAATACATAGCACTAAACTAAAAGGAGGAACAAGACCAATTTTTCAGGGGTGAAATCCTCTCTTCACAGATTTCTAAGAAACTATTTAAACTGGACATTATATAAAAGCTGTTTTGTTGTTGTTAGTGGCCCTAGATTTAAAAAAAAAAAAAAGGTGAGGGCTAAGCATTAAGATTTCAAGCCAATGAAATACATTTTAGGGGTTGATTTGAATTTAGGCTGCAGATGTATGTTTTATTTGGCCAATATATGTTTTTTTTCCTTAAAATATTTCAAACATACATGAGACTACAGAGACCAATATAATTAACATTCATATATTAACCATACAGCTGTAGCATATCTTAGCATGTTCCCATATTTCTCATTTTTTTGAGGAAAAAAAATCATGTACAGTTGAAGCAACTTCTTGGATTACAGTTTACTTTCTTCCCAGAAGTTAACTATTATTCTGAGTATGGTGTTGATCTTTTTTTTTTTTTTTTTTTGGAAACAGGGTCTCACTCTGTCACCCAGGCTAGAGTACAGGGGTATGATCATGGCTCACTGCAGCCCATCTCCTTTGCTTGAGCAGTCCTCCCACTTCAGCCTTCCAAGTAGCTGGGAACTCAGGTTTACACCACTGTGCCCAGCTAATATTTGTATATTTTGTAGAGATTGGGTTTCGCCTGTTGCCCAGGCTGGTCTCCTGTGCTCAAGCAGTCCATCCACCTCGGCCTCCCAAAAGTGCTGGGATTACAGGTGTGAGCCACCACTCCTGGCCTGATCATTTTTAATGCATGTTTTTATGTAATTACTACATGGGTATATATTCACAAATCATAGTATTGCTTTGCATATTTTCAGATTTGATGTAAATGATATATTCTGCTTATTCTATAATTTGTCTTTCATGAAAATTTTTTTGATTTATATGAAACTGCTGATACGTTACCATTTTGACCTACAAAAATGACAGTTTCATATGGCCCACCCTAATAGTCATACTTTTATCTGCTGTAAAATTATTTTCTATTATATGAATATAGCCAGATAAAATTTATTTATTCTCATGTTGATAGGCATTTAGATTGTTTCCAGGTTTTCATGTATTAAAAATAATGTTACATTGAACATTCCTTATTAGGAATCATTGTGCTTACATTTAAGATTTTTGGCAAGTTTTAAAAACTGCATGTTGTGGCTGGGCACTGTGGCTTGAGCCTGTAATATCAGCACTTTGGGAGGCTGAGGTGGGCGGATCACCTGAGGTCAGGAGTTTGAGACCAGCCTGACCAACATGGTGAAACTCCATCTCTCCTAAAAATACAAACATTAGCTGGGCGGGGTGGCGCGTGCCTGTAATCCCAGCTACTCAGGAGGCTGAGGCAGGAGAATCGCTTGAACCTGGGAGGCAGAGGTTTCAGTGAGCCGAGATCACGCCATTGCACTCCAGCTTGGGTGATGAGCGAAACTCCATCTTAAAAAACAAATGAACAAACAGAAAAAACCCCACATGTCGCGACTCCCTAATGGATTGTGAAATCAATTCAGGAATTAGAAAAATATCAGGTTGTATTGCAAACAATAAGGATAAAATGTTTTGTGAAATTTTTATTTCTGTGTGTATGTATGTGGTTATTAAGTTTGAAATGAAGCCCTCTATGGTGAATTACCCAGAAGTGCAATTATTGGGCTGAAGATTTTGGAGGTTATGGGAATTTTTTTAGCTGTATTGGATATTGTCAAATTTGCTGTCACTTTGCATATTTTAGCACTAGAGTATGAGAATTTGCCATCTTCCGATTGTTATGATTAATGGCATTGTCAGATTTTTTACATGTTTACAAATCAGATGAGTGTGAAATGTTACCACATTGTCTTAATTTTTATTTTTGATTATGGGGTTGAGTATGTTTTCAAATGTTAGATGACTATTCAAGTGTTTGTTTCTTGAATTGGCTGTTCTTTTCCTTCCACAGCCATTTGGGTGGTCTTTCTAAATTGATTTTAGAAAGTTTTAAGTTCATTACATACTTCGATTATGTTTGTTAAGTGAATTGCAACTGTCTTTTCTCAGTCTGTGTGGCTTATCTCTTAACTTTATATGGTTTGTTTTGTTAAATAGAAATGATTATTATAAAATATATCACTATTTTCTTGTTTGTGTTTTATTTAAGAAACCTGGGGTGATCACTCTGTGGTTCTCCTCATGCACATTAACAAGTTTGTTACTTCATTTCTTCAGTTGATCTCCCTTTTGTGAGGTGGTTTTTAAGTGAATCATTAAAGAGCAAAGGAGAAGTTTTCCCGTGGCTCCCACGCTGCTATTCAAAACTTCCTGGGTTAGTAAGCCTTCTTGTGAATTGTCTTTAAAATGTTTATTAAAAACTCTTAGGAACTCTCATATAAAGTCTTAAATTTGTGTACAAAGATGCTCTCTGACATTGCTTGACTAGTGAAGAAAGTTAAAACAATCTAAATGTTAAAAATATATTATATGTATCCAGACTTCAGAATTTTTTTGTAGACATTAAGAGAATAAGCTAGAGCTATACGTTGTGACATGAAAATGCCTACTATATACTAGTTAAGTTTTTTAAAAAGTATTTTGCAGAGAAAATATGCACAGTATAATCTTACAGTGCAAAATTTTTGCAGGCACATATGTATATGATATATGCAATCTATATATGCATATAGAAGGGTCTGAAAATATATAATAGTTGCCACTGGAGTGGTATGTGTGTTTGTGTTGCTTTAATTTTTTTCAGTACACATTTAAACAGAAGTAAAAAACAATTTAAAAGAAATTTGGCTGGGTGTGGTGGCTCATGGCTGTAATCTCAGTACTTTGGGAAGCTGAGATAGGAAGTTTGCTTGAGCCCAAGGGTTCGAGACCAACCTGGGCAACAGAGTGAGACCTGTCTCTACAAAAAACTTAAAAAATTAGCCAAGTGTGGTAGTGTGTGCCGGGACTGAGGTGGGAGGATAGCTCGAACCTGGGAGGTCAAGGCTGCAGTGAGCTGTGATTGAGCCACTGCACTCCAGTCTGGGTGACAGAGTGAAACTCTGTCTCACGAATAAATAAATAAATAAATAAATAAATGGGAGAATCTTAATAACCTTGGAGTATGGAATAGATTTGTTTGTTTTTTTGTTTGCGACAGGGCTCAAGTAATCCCACCACCCCAGCCTCTGTAGTAGCTAAGACTAGAGGCATGTGCCACCACACATGATTAATTTAATTTAGTTTTGTGAGGACAGGATCTCACTATGTTGCCCAGGCTGGTCTCAAACTCCTGGCCTGACTGATCCTCCTGCCTCAGCCTCCCAAAGTGCTGGGATTACAGATGTGAACCGCTATGCCCCCACCAGTTTTTTTTTTTTTTTTTTTGGGTCTTGGTTCTACCTGGAATTTTTTTTTTTTTTTTTTTTTTGGTGTGTGATGTGAGGCAGGGATCAAATTTAATTTTATTATATGTATACCCAATAACCATATTACTGTTAACAGAGTGTTTTGAATTTTTGAGTTAATAATTTTTAAAAGCAGCTCATGGTTTCTTGTTAAGCACAATTGCAGTCTTTTTGTCCTTCACCAGGCTGCTTCATATATTCAAGTTTGTGATCTCTGTGACCAGAGTGATATGATTGGTGGATGACTTGATCCAGAAATAGAACCTAGAAGAGTAGATACAGAGTATATTTTGTAGGTCTCACTCACATGTCATTTCTCTTACTATTTAAATGGAAATTAGATTGCACTTTCTTTCTTCTCTAATAAACTTGCTTTCACTTAAAAAAGAAATTGGATTGCAGACAATTTGAGGATATACATTAATGAGGAAACAGATTGCTGGTTTTTTGCATTGCTGGCTACAGACCTTGGAAACTAGAGAAGCACATGGTTGATTGATTGATATCTTGTTCTAAAACTTGAGCATACTTAAATGTATTTGGTCATCCAGCTATTATCACATATACTAACGTTTGAGACTTTTAATTTTGACTTTAGGGTACATGTATCAATACAGTTGTCTTAACTTTCTAAGATGTTTGATATAAAACACTGTAAATCACTTAGTTTAAGTATGAAGACCATTTTTGTTTCCTCTTAAGAGGGTTTTTATTACACTTTTAGTCTAAGAAGTGTTGCTGCTGAGGCCTTCAGATGTATATTCTAAATTTTTCTTTTTTCTTTTTATTCCTTTTCTTTCTCATACTGGTGGTCAGAAGAAGGCCTTATGATTTAGTAGAATTGAGCAATATTGATAAAGATTGTAGATACAAGTTTATTTTTAGATTTCTTAGACTTGTAAAATTGAGAAAGATAATTAACCACTTCCTTGAATTTTCCATTTGCAGCATTATAAAGCAAAACAAACAAACAGACAAAACAGACTTGTGCTCTGGAGGGTAATATGTGAGATGAGATAGAGCCCCGAATGATTGTTATTTAATAATGGGAGAAAGGTGCTTTATCACTTCAAAGTAGGGTTTTGATTTTGCCTGAAAGGTTAACTGTACAGGCCACATGTTTTATCTGAACAGATTTTATTTTTGAAGTAGTTTAAACAGTGGGCTATGTGGTATTATAGTACAGATGATTTATGGAAGGAAGTCTTTACATATTTGATATATTTTGGCACAAAATATATAATCCTAGATTTTTCAGGATTTCCCTGACTTTAATATTTAGAACTGTTGTTCCTTGTATTAGCATTTTTATGTACAGATTGAGCATCTCTAATCCAAAAATCTGAAATCTAAAATGCTCCCAAACCTGAAACTATTCGACGCCACAAGTGGAAAATTCCATACCTGACTTCCAGTGACAAGTTGCAGTCAGAACTTTGTTTCATGCACACAATTACAAAACATTGTATAAAATTACCTTCAGGCTATGAAACAAATATATTTTGTGTTTAGACTTGGGTTATATCCCCAAGATATTTTATTATGTATATACAAATATTCCAGAATCTGAAAAAATTCCAAATCCAAAACACTTCTGGGTACTAATCTTTGTTTCAAAAACAATAGTCATTATTATAGATCTTGGGAAATGAGGATAACCGTTGTAATATGGCTGTAAAAGAGTTGTAGAAAGACTTTTCTCCTTTAAAGACATTGTTTTTGTAGCTTTGACCACTACCAGTGGCTATAATGCATTGTTTGTGGCTTTATTGAAGTCCTATAAGATGGTGATAAAAGCATGGACTTTGAAGTCAGATAGATAAAGATTTGAATTCAGGGTCTTCCACTTAAGTTTGTGTTTTGATGAATTGCTTGATCTCCGTGAACCTCAGTTTCTTCATCTATAAAATGGGACCCCACTTCATAAGGATTGTTGGAGATGATAGGTGAAGGGTCAACTACTGGGCCTTGTTCAAAGTTGTCTTCAGTAGTAAAGTAACAATTCACCTTCTCCTACAGAGAGATAACATCATGATGTGGGAAGAAGGGAACTACTTACTTTTGTGGGAGGCAGTGTTGTATAATAGGCCATTTGTTGCTTCTCTGTTTTGTACGTTGTGTAACCTTAGGGAGATTATCCAGAAAGTTTACCCTCAGTCTTCTCATTGGTAAGTAGAGATAATGTTACCTATGTAACAGCAGAGTTTTAAAGCTAAATGAGAATATTTATAAAAGCTCACTTTATCTGGCACATGGTAACATGGTAACTTCTATTAATAAAATTTTATGGTAATAAGCAATATTATGCTTCTGAAGTAGGTCACAAGAAGGGCTTTTGGTTGGAGAAACCAGAATTGTTATGAATTAGTCCGTGTTTACTTTGAGGGAGTAAAGACTAGGGAGTATTCATTGAAGGAAGACTGTTTAGGAGGCTACTATTACTTGGCTAAAATACAAATAATGTGACTCAATAGTTTCTCAAAATTTTGTGTAATCTAGGCTTATGTAAATAAACTTTACTGTTTTATTAGGATTTAAAATCAACTTTATTGAAATATAATTTAAACAATGAAATATACTCATTTTAGGGGTGCAGTTAGATGACTTTTGATAATGTACATACCCACCCAGATAACCATCACCCTAATCAAGGTAATGGAATTTCTGTTATCTCCAAAACCTTCCTCGTGTCCCTCACAGTCAGTGCACCACACCCCTCCCCTCCTCTGGTTCAAGGAAACCACTGATTTGCATACATTCATTTTGTCTCTTAGAATTTCATGTAAGTGGGCTGGGCAAGGTGGCTCATGCCCATATTTCCATCACTTTGAGAGGCTGAGGTGGGAGGATCTCTTGAGCCAGGAGTTCAAGGCTGCAGTGGGCCAGGATCACACCACTGCAGTCCAGCTTAGTGACAGTGTGAGACCCGGTCTCAAGAAAAAAACTTTGTGTGTGTAAATGGAATCATACTGTACATATTCTTTAATGCCTGGCTGCTTTCACTCCGCATGTTTTTGAGAGTCCTCCATGTTGCTTTGTGTTCCAGTAGTTTGTTGCCTTTTATTGCTGAGTAGTATTCACTGTGGTATGGCTATACCACAATTTGTTTCTTCATTCACCTGATATTTGGGTTTCCAGTTTTTGGCTATTATGATTAAAGTGGCAATGAACATTGATGTACAAGTCTTTTTGTGGACTTAAGTTTTTATTTCTCTTGGGCAAATAGGAGTAGAATAGCTGAGTCATATGGTGTATATTTTGCAGTTTCTTAATAAGTTAAACAGTTTTTCAAACTGATTGTGCCATTTTATCTTCCTGTAATCTCATTTACATTATATGCTGTGTTTTTAATTTTAACTTTTTTTTTTTTAGTGTGAATTGATATCTTATTGTGGTTTTTATTTACATTTTTCTTTTTAAAAGTTTTGTTTTTTGTTGTGAGACAGGGTCTTGTCTGTTGTCCAGGTTGATGTGATCCTGGCTCACTGCAGTCTTGACTTCCCAGGCTCAAGGAATCTTTCCACCCCAGCCTTCCAAGTAGCTGGGACTACAGGTGCATGCCACTACATCCAGCTAATTTTATTTTGTAAAAATTTTTATGTAGAGATGAGATCTTGCTGTGTGCCCAGGCTGGTCTTTAAATCTGGGGCTCAAGTGATCTTCCCGCCTCAGTCTCCCAAAGTGCTGGGATTATAGGTGTCAGCCACCATGCCTTGCCTTATTTGCATTTTTCTGATAGCAAATGATGTTGAACACTTCTTCATGTGTTCATTGGCCATTTGTATATCCTTTTATTAGATGAGGTGTCTAATTCTTAATTCATTTTTAAAAAAGCTTTTAAAAATTACTGAGTTACAAGTTCTTTATATGTTGTGGATACAAGTACTTTGTCAGCTGTGTGAATTTTGAATATACAGTCAGCGCTCCTTGTCTGAGGGTTCCACATCCACAGATTTAACGAATCTAAGATGGAAAATGTTTGGTAAAAAAATAACAATATGCGAATAAAAAATAATACAAATAAAAAATACAGTATAACAGCTATTTATATAGCATTTAATCATATTAGGTATTATAAATAATCTAGAGATTGATTTAAAGTATAAGGAAGATGTGCATATGCAAATATGGGTTTTTTTTTTTTTTAAATAAGGGACTTGAGCATCCTCGAATTTTGGTGTTCAGTTTTGGGTGGATTAGGAGGGTAGAGAGGGGTTCTTGAAACCAGTCCACCAGGGATACCGAGAGATGACTGTATTCTTTTGTTCTGTGGCTTGCCTTTCATTTTCTTAACAGTCTTTGGAAGAGCAGATGTTTCTTAATTTTGTTGAGTCCAGTTTATCACTTTTTACTTATGGTTAGTGCTTTTTGTGTCTTAAGAAGTATTTAGCTACACCAAGGTTGTAAAGATTTTCACCTGTGTTTATTTTGGAAGCCTTACAGTTTTAGACATTACATTTAAGCCTATGATCTATTTCAAGTTAATTTTTGTGTAGGATGTGAGGTAAAAGTTCAGGTTCTCCTCTCCCATATGAATATCCAGTTGTTCAAGCACCATTTGGTAAAAAGACTATCCTTTCCTCATTTAATTACTTTGACCTTTGTTGAAAATCAGTTGTCCATAAATGAGTGGGTCTTTTTATTATTGCATTGATTTGTATACCTATACTTTTTTTTTTTTTTGAGACAGAGTCTTGTTCTGTCATCCAGGCTGGAGTGCAGTGGCACAGTCTTGGGTCACTGCAACATCCGCCTCCCAGGTTCAAGTGATTCTCCTGCCTCAGCCTCCCGAGTAGCTGGGATTACAGGTGTGCACCACCACGCCCGGCTAATTTTTGTATTTTTAGTAGAGATGGGGTTTCACCATGTTGGCCAGGCTGGTCTCGAACTCTTGACTTCAGGTGATCCACCTGCCTATACCTCCCAAAGTGCTGGATTACATGTGTGAGCCACTGTGCCTGGCCCTGCATATCTATACTTATGCCAGTACTACACTTGATTACTGTAGCTTTATGGTAAATTTTGGTTACTCTAGATTCTTTGCATTTCCATAAATTTTGGTATTAATAGTGTCAGTTTCTATCAAAAAGCCTGCTGGAATTTCAGTTTGTGTTGTATTAAATATACAGATCATTAGGGAGAGAATTGTCGTTTAAAAAATATTGAGTCTTCTGGTCCTTGAAAATGGTGTATCTTATTATTTTTTAAGGTTCTTTAGTTTCTCTCAGCAGTGTTTTGTAGTTTTCAGTGTAGGAAGTGTTGGACATCTTTTATTGGATTTATTCCTAATTATTTTAAGTGCTTACATGGGAATTTTTTTAAAGTTTCATTTTTTCCAATTTGGTGCTAGTATGTAGATTACAATTGATTGGTGGTCTGTCTAGCATGTAGAAATTCCTTAATAAGTAGTCAGATGGAATTTAATTTGTTCTCATCTAACTTTCTGGAGAAAATAATCATCTAAAAGAAAAAAGATTATCTCTGAATTTGAATGGGTTTTAAATTTGTATGACTGTGGCTTATTTTAATTTCTCTGAATTTGTAACGTAGAAGTACATTTGGATTTTATGGTAAAATATACGATATTGGATATAAGTGGAGACATGTAGAGATCATTCAACAGATGAGAGGATATAGCTATAGAAAAGCAGAGTTGAAAATTTTTAGATGGTAAAATATTCAATTTTATATTAAATATAATATTTTAAAGTAGAAAGTGCTTGAGTAGTATGATTAAAAAGAGGAAACTTGTTTTCATTTGAATACATTTTGGCCTACAAGAATGTCTGTTACTGGCTTAAGTATTTTTGTTTGTGTATACCGTCAGATGATTTACCATTTCCTAGCCAAACCTGATTTGTTGGCCCAGTACAACTCTCTTCTCTCTTTTAAGCTGTGTCTTTGATAGTATTTCTGTTCATCCTGCCTAGAAGATTGTGTTCTCACACAGTTTTCTGTTGTTGGTTCTAAAACATGGTGTAAATGAGAGGATTGTAAAATGCGCCAATCAGCACTCTGTAAAAATGCACCAGTCAGTGCTCTGTGGCTAGCTAGAGGTTTGTAAAATGGACCCCTCAGCACACTGTAAAATGGACCAATCAGTGCTTTGTAAAATGGACCAATCAGCAGGATATGGGCGGGGATAAATAAGGGAATAAAAGCTGGGCACCCCAGCCATCAGCTGCAACCCAGTCAGGTCCCCTTCCATGCTGTGGAAGCTTTTTTCTTTCGCTCTTCACAATAAATCTTGCTGCTGCTCACTCTTTGGGTCCGTGCCACCTTTAAGAGCTGTAACACTCACCGTGAAGGTCTGCGGCTTCATTCTTGAAGTTAGCGAGACCACGAGCCCACTGGAAGGAACCAACTCTGGACACATCTTGGTGACCCAGACGGGACCATTGGACCCCTTTTGCTTGCTATTCTGTCCTATTTTTCCTTACAATTCAGGGGCTAAACACCAGGGCACCTGTCGGCCAGTTAAAAGCAACTAGCGCGGCCACCGGACTAAAGACACGGGTGTTAGGCTTTCTGGGAAAGGGCTCTCTAACAACCCCCGACTCTTCAGAGTTGGGAGCGTTGGTTTGCCTGGAACCAGCTTCCTCTTTGCCTGTACTTCTGGGCTGAGCCAAGGGTTGACAAGAGGGGAAAGCCATTCAGCTGCGGGGTCCCAACAAAAAGTTGGTTGACCCTGTAGCCATGAGGGGAACTCTGTAGGTCAGCCAAAGGTTCAGTGGGTCGGTCCAGGGGTCCTTGGTAGAAGTTGTTAGTTGAACTCATTTGGGGTTCCATTTGTAAGACCATCTATAGCTTGATGGCATCGATCCTGGAGGAAACAAATTTGACAAGGAGTTTAAAAATACGGGCCTGAAGGCGAGTAATAGCAAGATGGCTGTTACGGGACCTAGAAAGGGGAGAAGCCATGTTGCCCAGCTCCAGAGGTTGGTATAAGAGTTTGAAAGGCGTTGTCTGATTTCAGAAGCCTTTTCCTGTAAACGCCAGGTGGCGTCTCATACTATCCCTCACTGGTTAGTGTAAAAGCAACATTCTTCCCCTAAGAAGGTGCATAGTCCTCCTTTCTCAGCAGTGAGGAAGTCTAGGCCTTGGCGGTTTTGGAGAGTCACTGCTGCCAAAGAGTCTATCTGGGATTGTAGAGGAAGGATAGATTTTGTTATTTCTTGCAAGCTGTCTGAGAAATCCTTTGAGAGTGTGTGGTAGTAGGATAATGAAGTAGATAAATCTGCTATTCCAATTCCTGTAGCAGTGGCCATTCCTAACCCTATAAGTAGGGGTATTAGTTGTATGGCCCTGTGCTGATGGACTTGAGCTTTGAAGGGGCACTGATAGAGTCTGATTTCCTGGGGCAATGTTAATGTTGGGACTTAGGAAGACTAAGGTGTAGGTGCCTGTCCAGTTGGTGGGGAGGCAGATACAGGTTGAAGTTCCACTTAAGAAGAATATGCCTTGGCTGGGTAGACAGAAATTTACCCTGGCTTTTAAAGGAATAGGGTACACTGTTTTTTCTTTACTACTTCTATCTCTGTGTCTCTCTTTGTCTCTTCCTCTCTCTCTCTCTCTCTCTCTCTCTCTTTCTCTCTTTCTGACTTCTTTTCTGTCTCTTCCTCTCTCTGTTTCTCTCTTTCTGACTCCCTCTTTGTCTGTCTCTTCCTCTCTCTCTCTTTCCTCTCTGCTGGTCTTTCCCTGCCTCTGCCAGCTGCTTATGCTGCTGTTCTCCCCTCTCCTTTCAGCAGTGTAAGACTGCCACCTCCTTGGGTTTTTGCACTGTGTGCAATAACTCCGTGATTTCCTTATGGTATTTAATGGGGTTCACCCAGAGGTTAGGAACTCCCTTTCTTTCCATATTGCATCATGGGCACGAAGGATTAGATAAGCATACTTGTTATCTATACACATTTATTCTTTTTCCCTTTCCCAGTTCTAAGGCTTGGGTAAGTGCCACTAGTTCTGCTATCTGGCCGCTGGTCCCTGGGGGAGGAGGCTTACTTTCAAGTACTGTTACATCACTAACTATGGCATAACCTGCCCTTTGTATCCCATTCTTCACAGATGAACTGCCATCAGTGTATAGGTTAAGGTCAGGATTAGCTAAGGGGACTTCTAAGAGATCCTCTTGGGTGGCATAAGTCTGGACTATAATTTGTTGGCAGTCATGCTCGATTGGTTCCCCATCCTCTGGGAGAAAAGTGGCAGGGTTGAGAGCCGCACAGATGCATATTTGAAGCATCGGTCCCTCAAGGAGTAGCACCTGGTATCCAAGCAGGCGGTTGTCTGATAGCCATAAACTTCCTTTGGCACCTAGTGTGCCATTTACATCATGAGTAGTCCAGACAGTGAGATCCTTTCCTAGTATTATTTTGATAGCCTCTGATATAAGACGGCCACTGCTGCAACTACACGTAAACAGTGAGGCTAGCCTTTTGCCACTGGTTGTAGGGTTGTCCCGTGAGTCTGAGTAAGGACTTCAAGAGCTATTCCTGCTCTCTCTCTGACGTATAAAGAGAAGTTTTGTCTTGTGGGAAGGCTTAAGGCTGGAGCTTGTACTAGGGCCTGCTTTAAGGATTTGAAGGCTGTTTCTGCCTCTGGTTCCCATTCTACTAGATGAGTATTTGCCCTCTGGGTCTCCTTTATTAGAGTATAGAGTGGCCTGGCCATCTTGCTGTATCCAGGGATCTGTAGTCGGCAAAAGCTGGTGATTCCAAGGAACCCCCGCAACTGTTTTAATGTCTTAGGGCGAGGATAAGCCAGTATAGGCTGTATTCGTTTCTTGCTGAGGGCCCTGGTTCCTCTGGCTAAGATTAGGCCTAGATATTTGACTTGTTGTAGGCAGAGCTGGGCCTTTGATTTAGATGCCTTGTACCCTTGATTAGCTAGAAAGTTCAAGAGATCTCGAGTAGCTTGCTGGCATGAGGCTTCCGAACTGGCAGCCAAAAGTAAATCATCCACAAACTGAAGGACCAGAGTGCCTGGACTTGAGAAGTGGCCTAGATCTTGGACCAGTGCCTGACCAAACAGGTGAGGGCTATCCCTGAACCTTTGGGGCAAGACTGTCCACGTAAGTTGGGACGTGTGATCTGTAGGATCCTCAAAGGCAAAGAGAAACTGGGAGTCAGAGTGCAGGGGAATACAGAAGAAGGCATCCTTGAGGTCCAGAACTGTGAACGATTCTGCTTCCTTTGGTATTTGAGAGAACAGGGTATAGGGCTTGGGTACAACTGGATATAGAGGAATTACTGCTTCATTGATGAGTCTAAGATCTTGCACTAGTCTCCACTGACTGGTTTTTGTACTCCTAGAATTGGGGTGTTGCAGGGACTGCTGCATTTTCTTACTAGGCCTTGAGCTTTTAAATGTCTAACAATATCCTGTAATCCTTTATGAGCTTCAGGCCTTAAGGGATATTGCCTTTGATAAGAAAAAGTGGTGGGATCTTTTAGCCTTATTTGGAGTGGGTGGGCATATTTTGCCCTTCTGAATTGTCCTTCCAATGCCCAGGCTTCAGGGTTGATTCCCTCCTCAAGCAGGGGACAACAAATTGGTAACTTGTTCCCCATATTCATGTAGATAATAGCTCCAGCTTTGGCTAATATGTTCCTCCCTAATAAGGGTATGGGACTTTCAGGCATAACAAGAAAGGCATGTGAAAAGAGCAAAGTCTCCCAATTACCACTGAGAAGGTGGGAGAAATACCTGGTTACAGACTGTCCCAGGATTCCTCGGATGGTAATGGACCTTGAGGACAGCTGTCCGGGACAGGAGATTAACACTGAGCCTCGGATGGTAACGGACCTTGAGGACAGCCGTCTGGGACAGGAGATTAACACTGATAAAGCTGTACCGGTGTCCAGGAGGAAGTCAATTTCCTGGCCCTCAATGGTTAAACATACCCGGGGTTCAGTGAGGGTGATGACATGAGCTGGCGCTTGCCCCGGGCACCCTCAGTCCTGTTGGATCATCTGGTTGGGGGCTTCTGGCCCAGAGAACCTTTGTCCTTTGGGGCAGTGCACCTTCCAGTGATTGCCTTGGCATAGTGGACATGGGCGAGGGGGCAGCTTGTTTCTCGTTGGACAATCTTTTTTAAAGTGTCCTTGCAAACCAAATTGATAACAAGCCTAACCGGGTGATTGGCCTGCTCCATTTTCTGTCCTCTCTGAACCACCAAGGTCTGTTTGTCTGAGGGCCATGACTAAGGCTGTAGCCTTTCTCTTATCTCACTTTTCCTTTTCAGCCTGTTCTTCTCGATCCCTACTGTAGAACACGGAGGTTGCCAGGTTTAATAATGCGTCCAAATTTTGTTCAGGGGCCAGGGCTAGCTTTTGGAGCTTTATCCTGATATCTGCAGCTGACTGGGTAATAAACTTATCTTTTAGGATCAATTGACCCTCGAGTGAGTCGGGTAACAGGGAAGTATATTTTCTTAAGGCCTCCTGTAGCCGCTCGAGGAAGGCGGTAGGATTTTCTTCCTTTCCCTGAGTTATGGTGGATGTCATTGAATAATTCATGGGCTTTTTCCTAATTCTGCTTAGTCCTTCTAGGACACAGGTTAACAGATGTTCACGACTCCAGTCCCCATGATCTGAGTCGAGGACCCGGTGGGGATCCACACTGAGAATGGCTTGCTGACCAGTAGGGAATTTGTCCCTTTCTTCGACTGTCATTCTGTCATTTACGTGACTGAGATGCCAGGTATCTCCAAACTCTTGGGCTGCAACTAAAGCTGCATTCTTTTCATTAAAGGCCAGGGTTTGATCTAACAATAGCATGACATCTCTCCAAGTGAGGTTGAAGGTTTGCCCTAGACCCTATAGGACATCTATATACCTATCAGGATCATCTGAAAACTTCCCCAGGTCTACTGTCATCTGCTTTAAATCAGAGAGAGAGAGAAGGGGACATGTACCTGGGTTGGGCCAAATTCCCCTCCCCCTACAGCTTGAAGGGGACATAACCGATAGCCTGGGAGTTTTTGTGGTCCTTTGGAGATTTCTTTGCTTGTTTCCTTCTGGGTGGTGGAGATTAGAGGAGGCTTATCATTAATAGGAAGGGGAGCTGTAGGAAGGCTAGGATATGGGGGTAAGCTGAGAGGTCCTCCTCCCCAATATTGCAAGCTTTGCATAGTTGTGGATTATCCTTCAGTGAAAAGAAAGCTTGGACATAAGGTATTTCACTCCGTTTGTCTTCCCTCTTACAGAAAAGGTCAAGCTGCAGGATAGTATTGTAATTTATATTTCCCTCAGGTGGCCATTTTTGACCATCAGAGAGAGAATATTGGGGCCAGGCCATAGTGCAGAAAAAAATGAGCCGCCTCTTTTTCAGGGTTTGCAGGTCAAATTGGTCCCAGTGGCTTAGGATGCATTTCAAGGGTGAGCCTGTTGATGCCTGTGTGTTCCCCATCTGAAAGAAAAAACCTCCTGTGGTTTTGGTTTGTTCCCCGCTACCCTCTCAACCCCGAGTTATCGTGGCTTTAAAAACCGGACCATTGTCGCTTTGGCTGGCCTATAGAATTCCCCTCTGGAGGACACTACCACTGCAGGGCCCCTTCTTTACCCCTATCCAGCAGGAAGTAGCTAGAGTGGGCATCGCCCAATTCCTAGCAGCAGTTGGGGTGTCCTGTTTAGAGGGGGGATTGAGAGGTGAAGCCAGCTGGACTTCTGGGTTGGGTGGGGACTTGGAGAACTTTGATATCTTACAAGAGGATTGTAAAATGCGCCAGTCAGCGCTCTGTAAAAATGCACCAGTCAGTGCTCTGTGGCTAGCTAGAGGTTTGTAAAATGGACCAGTCAGCACCCTGTAAAATGGACCAATCAGTGCCCTGTAAAATGGACCAATCAGCAGGACATGGAGGGGGACAAATAAGGGAATAAAAGCTGGCCACCCCAGCCAGCAGCGGCAACCTGGTCGGGTCTCCTTCCACACCGTAGAAGCTTTGTTCTTTCGCTCTTCACAGTAAATCTTGCTGCTGCTCACTCTTTGGGTCCGTGCCACCTTTAAGAGCTGTAACACTCACCACGAAGTTCTGCGGCTTCATTCTTGAAGTCAGCGAGTCCATGAACCCACTGGAAGGAACCAACTCCGCACACATAAAGATGAGGAAAATTGTTCTTTTGGTTTTGACGACTTTACTATGTGCAGTTAGCATTGCTGAATGTGGTGGTCTCTGAGAGCAGTGTAATTCTGATGATACATACAGGCATTTGTCTATTAAAAATGGGATGAAATTGAAGATGGTTTATTGCCTTTTATATCATCTTTTGGATTTGTGATAAAGACAAACCTTTGAAAATGTTTGTAGTTATTAATATGACCAGAAACTGAAACTGTTTCAGTTTGGCACAGGAGAGATTAGTAGTAGTATTGCTGTTAGTCATTATGTAAGAGATGATAATGTTTGGATTTAACCTTCGATTGTTTGTAATATGATATTCCTAACATTCCTGACTAAAAGGCTAGTGAATAAAAAATAATGCATTTACAACTATATTAAAACTGCATTGCAGAAAGCATATGAAATTTCAAGTTTAGGAAATTTCCTGCTTTGAAACTTTTTTCTTCACACTTCACGCTTTCAGCACTTATGTGTGATGCATCTAGAAGATGCATCTGGTTTTGCCAAATACAGTACTGCACCTGAATTACATTTTCGGTATTTATTCAGTATTTATTTTCAGTCTTTATTTCCTAAAGGTTAATTTTCTTTAAAACCTTAGCAATTTTTCATCCAGCCCTTTTCATGTTATAATCATTTGCTTGTGTGATTTTACCACACACTGTATCCAACTAGGTAGCATTACTGGAAAACTTATTTGATTTTTTGCCAAATGGGAGATGGCTGGAATATTTTTTGTAGTAGAGAATATGTGGAGAAAATGCTTTAATTGATCCCTGACCAAATACAGCAAGAAAAACTTAAGTAAACCTTAATAAGCAGGCAATAGAAGTTAAGGTGATAATATTCTGACTTTGGATATAAACACTCAAACATGAGCTCTGCTACTGGAAAGTAAAAAATAAAATTAGTGTTAAGTTGAGATGAGTCAACTTGTTGATCATCTGCCTAGCCTACTGTGATAGGAATGGTTGTAAGACTTGGAAGTTTTTCCTTCCTAAGTTGATAAGCATTTGAGTGGAAAGAAAGTCACTTTTCTCTTGATGTTTTTTCACTTTGGAATTTTCAGACTGTTTAAAGTCTTTTAAAATTTTCTGAGTCACTTCTTTATTTTCTAGGCTGCTCATATTAAGAGAAGTATTGCCTTTTTATCCTTTAAAATGTAATACCCTCATCTTTAGTGGTTGTCCCTGCTTAGGTTATATTGCTTAGAACATAACGTTTATGTTTGGTTAAAATTTCACTGAGCCACCGGGCACGGAGGCTCACACCTGTAATCCCAGCACTTTGGGAGGCAAGGCAGGTGGATCACCTGAGGTCGGGAGTTCGAGACCAGCCTGATGAACATGGAGAAACCCTGTCTCTGCTAAAAATACAAAATTAGCCAGGCGTGGTGGCACATGCCTGTAATCCCAGCTACTTGGGAGGCTGAGGCAGGAGAATTGCTTGAACCTGGGAGGCGGAGGTTGTGGTGAGCTGAGATCGTGCCATTGTACTCCAACCTGGGCAATGAGAATGAAATTCCATCTTAAGGAAAAAAAAAAAATTCAGCTTCTGAAAAGCACTAGGGACTAAGCAAGTTGACTATGTAGGCTTTATTATTAGATTTGTGTGTTTGTATTATAAGGAAAACAAATTTTTAGTAAAATATAATGTATTTTGTTCATTGTTTAGTTCATTGCTGGATTGCTGGTCTCTAGAACTTTTCCTGGTACAGAATAAACATATAATAAGTATTTTTTAAATGATGTACTTAATTTTATTACCCTACCATGCTTGAAACTGTGACTTTATATTATAGTTTCCTTTAGCAAAAGGTGAAACTATAGTCAATATATAGATTATAAGTAAATTTTTAAAAATCTTCATTTACCGTAATAGCATCATTTTACATGTATACCTGCTTTTCAGATTTGTAACTCATTTGGTTTAAGTTTGGGGCATTTGGATGTTTCTGATGTTGAATGATAAAATGTAGGCTTAAAAAAATTATCCTTCGAGTTTTATGCTGCTGTATTGTGTATAGCCTCTCTTTCATAATGATACTTGGACTGTGATGGTATAAAGTGACTCTTATTTTAATCTGAATGCATTCGAGATATTTCAAGTTCTTGAAAGACTGTTACACTTCTTGGGATGGTCATCATCATATTTTTGAAGCAGAGATCCTAAAACTTAAAAACCTCAGAGAAAGTCCAGCATCTATTTTCAACTCCTTGTTTTTTAAAGCTTTAGAACTTGACTTTGTACTCTTTGGTGAGGTGACAAAACAAATTCAGATTTTTTTTTTTAACTGAGGACTTCAAAAAATTTTTGTGATGTTTATAGTATTTTGTCTCTTTTTAGAAAGTCAAATTTGTTGAGGTATAGTTTACACTCAGTGAAATTCACCCATTTTAGATGTATGGTTCTGTGAATTTTGACAAACATTACTGAAATGGCTAAAGTCGACTGCTATCTAGCAGACAGTGCTAAAATAGCAACTTAGCAGTTAAAATGTCATCTTTTTATCACTTTGGGAAGATTCTCATTGGTATCTTTCCATGGGTACAATAAGAGACCAGCAGTGTGGCAGGCTTTCACTGTCTTTTTCCCTCAACTCTACCTCACATAAAGGTGAGATTTTCCTATTTTCTTAGGAAAGTCAGCTAGTGGGGTAGGGTGATAAGCTAGGACGGGTTCCTTGTGATTTTATTTAAAGGTTGGTCTACTTAATGCTGGGGGAAAAAAGAAGTGTAGTGATACAACATGTTGCCTACCTTTACATTTTCAAAATAATTTTAAGGAAATAAACTGCTGTTTGATTCGAAATGATTCTTTGTGTTATGGCAGTTAAGATTTTATTAACACCAGGGCTCGAGAATGCCTGTTAAAAATCTAGGTGTTGCTCCTTCTCAGCTACCAACTATATCTTTTTTTAAGGGCCATATTAGTAACATATGTTGGGAACTTTTGCCATGTTACCAATTATGCTTTTTCAGTTTTTTTTTTGAGACTTTTCTACTCAAAAAGGTTCTGAGTATTTAGAAAGTACTCCAATTGTAATCATTCTTTTTATTGCTTCTGGAATGTAGCAGGGCTCCATGTTCTTCCCCATTTCTTGACAGTTTCTTAATATCTTGGAACATTGTTGTAGAGTATAATGTCCTATCTGTGTTGAAATACTTGGCTTTGGCATTTAAGTGCTATCATGCATTTATTTGAGAACAGTTTATGGCTCATTCAGACATTGTGGATAAGAGCATTGACTTAGGTGTCAGGCAGAATAAATTTAATCTGACTCTGCCATTTAGTAACTATATGAACATGGATAAGTTAATTATAACTGCTCTAGCTGTTTTGTCATCTGCCAAATGGGGAAAATAATCATATGTATCTTCCAGGATTGTTGTAAGGATTAAAGAGATAATCCTTGGGAAATATTTTATTGCATGTAGTAAACACTCAGAGCATGTTAGCTGCTCCTGTCATCCTCACTCAGCAGAAGTTTTTTTTTGTTTTCATCTTTTTTTTTTTTTTGGAGATAGTCTTGCTCTGTCCCCAGGCTGGAGTGCAGTGGTGCAGTCTCAGCTCACTGCAACCTCCGCCTCCTGGGTTCAAGCAGTTCTCCTGCGACAGCCTGTGGAGTAGCTGGGATTACAGGTATGTACCACCATGCCCAGCTAATTGTTATAGTTTTTTAGCAGAGATGGGGTTTTACCATGTTGGCCAGGCTGGTCTCGACCTCCTGACCTCAAGTGATCTGTCTGCCCCGGCCTCCCAAAGTGTTGGAATTACAGGCTTGAGCCACCGTGTCTGTCCTCTTTTCATCCCAGACCATGCTTGGTGTTGTGGATACAAAGTGAATTCTAAAGAAGGCCTCCCCATCTTAAGAAGTTTCATAGTTCAAGAAGGGAAGACAGGCATGTAAACAGATAAATGCAATAAGTTGTGACATATGCTATATCAGAAACAAATGAAAAGAATAAAGGAGTTAGTATCATAAGCCTGGGGAGGTCAGGGAAAGACATTTCTATCCCTGACTTATTTTTGATGTGTGAATAGTAGTTTCCTGTTGACTTATTTGACAGATATTTACTGAATACACTTTACTTTTGCCAGGCACTATTTTAGGTGCTGGGAATACCACTGGTTTCATGGAAGACAATTTTTCCATGGACTGGTGGGCAGGGGGTGGAGGGGATGGTTTTGGGATGATCCAAGCACATTACATTTATTGTGCACTTTATTTCTATTATTACTACATTGTAATATATAATGAAATAATTATATAACTCACCATAATGTGGAATCAGTGGGAGCCCTGAGCTTGTTCTTTCACAGCTAGACTGTCCCATATGGGAGTGATGGGAGACAGTGGCAGATCATCAGGCATTAGATTCTCATAAGGAGCGTGCAACCTAGATCACAATAGGGTTCAGGCTTCTATGAGAATCTAATGCCACCGCTGATTTTACAGGAGGCGGAGCTCAGGTGGTAATGCAAGCAGTGGGGAGCAGCTGTAAACACAGATGAAGCTTTTGAGCCCCTCCTGCTGTGAGGCCAGGTTCCTAACAGGCTATGGAATTGGCTTGTAGCCTAGGGGTTGGGGACCCCTGCTGTATAGGAGTTGTGAAAGGAAATTAAATCTTGGGGCCCTCAATCCCTAAACTAAAGGAAAAAGTCAAGTGGGGAACTGCTTAGGGCTAACCTGCCTTCCATTCTATTCAAAATCATCCCTCTGCTCACTGAGATAGATACATATCTGATTGCCTCCCTTGGAAAGGCTAATCAGAAATGCAGCCATTGGTCTCTCACCTAACTTTAACCTGGAAGCTCCCTCCCTGATTTGAGTCTTCTTGCCTTTGCTTTAAGTTGTCCTGCCTTTCCAGACCAAACCAATGTACTTCTTACATATATTGATCGGTGTCTCAAGTCTCCCCGAAATGTATAAAACTAAACTTTGCCCCGGCCACCTTGAGCACATGTTGTCAGGACTTCCTGAGGCTGTGTCATGGGAGCGTCCTCAACCTAGGCAAAATAAAATAAACTTTTTTTTTTTTTTTTTTTTTTTTTTTTTTGAGGTGGAGTCTCACTGTCATCCAGGCTGGAGTGCAGTGGCACGATCTCGGCTCACTGCAACCTCCACCTCCCGGGTTCAAGTGATTCTCTTCCCTCAGCCTCCTGAGTAGCTGGGATTACAGGCACATGCCACCACACCTGGCTAATTCTTGTATTTTTAGTACAGATGGGGTTTCACCATGTTGGCCAGGCTGGTCTTGAATTCCTGACCTCAACTGATCCGCTTGCCTTGGCCTGCCACAGTGCTGGGATTACAGGCGTGAGCCACTGTGCCCAGCCTGCAAAATAAACTTTCTAAATTAACTGAGACCTGTCTCAAATTTTCAGGGTTCACAGAGTAAAGAAGACAGATAATGTCTCTACTCTCAGGAGCTTTCAGTCTAGTGGGAAAAGATCAGTAGTAAACAAAAATATCAGAGACAAGTGCTATGAAAGAGACTAAAAGGTGATGTAATAAGGAGAGACTGAGGGGTTGCTTTACATTGCATTGTCAGGGAAGGATCCTTTGAGTAGGTAACCTTTGAGATCTTCCTACAAAAGAGTCAGCCATGGCAAAGATTAGAGGGATGAGCATTCTACCATAGGGAACCATGTTACACAAAGCCCCTTGAGCTCTTGGAGTATTTAAGGAGCAGACAGGTCAGTGTGGCTGGAATGTAATGGGCAAGGGGTAGAGTGGTGCAAAATGAGATCAGAGATAGTCAGGGTCTAAATCATTTAAGGCTTTGTAAGCCAGAGTAAGGAGTTTCTAGGTGTAAACGAAAGCCAGTGGAGGGCTGTAGCAGGGGGAACGCCTTTTGAAAAAGATTACTGTCGCTGCCGTGTGAAGACTGGATTCTGAGGATAAGGGTAACAAGGGTGGAATTTAGGAGACCTCTGGAGGCTGCTGTATTAGTATAGGTGAGAGGTGGTGGTGGCTTGGGCCAGAGAGTAAATTAGTGGAGAAAAATAGGTTGATTTGGGCTGTGTTTTGAAGATTGAATCAACAGGACTTGCTGACTGCATGTGATCAAGGCAAATCCTAGGACTTGAGCACTTAGAAGATTGGTGGTGCAGTTTACTGAAATGGATAAGACTGGAGGGGAGAGCAAGTTTGGTGGGACAATCATGAGTTCTGTTTTGTTAAGTTTGAGGTGCCAATTAGACATCTATGTAGAGATTTCATACTTGGTGGTAGGTAATAGTAGTACTGTGGAATTCAGTGAGAGTTTAGGGCCAGGGATAAATATTTAGGAGTAACTGATGTATGTCTGCTAGATTTGGTAAGTGACCTTGACAAGTGTGGTCTTAGTGGGAATGGAAACTAGATTGTAGAGAAGTATCAGGTAAAGGATGGAATGAGAATATGAAGTTGGGGAATGGAGACAGTGACAATAGACTCCTAAGAAATTTTCCTGTGAAAAGGGAAGCAGAAAAATGGTTGTGACCACAAGTAAGGCCCAGATTCGAATCTTACTTTTATACTTGCCTGGATACAGTTATTATTTGAGTGCATTCTAAAGTTTAAGATATTTTATGTACCCTACGCAGTCCTCTCTACAAATATTGAGGTAGATGATACTTTTCCTTCTGTGACATGAGAGTCCTTAGTTTAGGGAAGTTAAGTGACAGTCCAGGTAGAACCTGTATTTGGACTCACTCACTTTGACTGTAGATGCAGAGTATTTTTCATTATACCAAAATGCTCCTTAAACTTTTATTATCTTGGTCAAATCCAATCTACCTTAGAGTTTTTGGAAGGATTACAAGATGAGAGATGTGAAAATTCTTTGCAAGCTCTAAATTGTTACACAAATATAGAAATTCCTTTCTTTAAAATGCCCCATTATGTCTTCTTTGTGCATGACTTTTTAGGATATAGTAGGTAGTGGCCTTGAAGTTCATTTTGGATCATAGCCTATCTCATTAGAGCCCAGAGAATGTAAGCAGATTGTTAAAGACATAGAACCTGTCAAAGCTATCTATGGCATATGAATCGAACATGGATCATGTTTAATTGAACATTTTTACCCTGGTTTAATGATCTTGTCTCCTTCGCATGTTCCATGAGGTCTCATAATCCTCCCCAAAGGAGCTCTTCCCAAAAATAATTCCTTCTAAAAATGTGGAAGGGCTGGGCACAGTGGCTCATGCCTGTAATCCCAGCACTTTGGGATGCTGAGGCAGGTGGATCACCTGAGGTCAGGAATTGGAGCCTGGCCAACATAGTGAAACCCCGTCTCTACTGAAAAAAAAAAAAAAAAAAAAAAAATTAGCCAGGCGTGGTGGTGGGTGCCTGTGCCTGTACTCCCAGTTACTCAGGAGACTGTCGGAAGAATTGCTTGAAGCGAGAGGTGGAGGTTGCAGTGAGCCAAGATCGTGTCACTGCATTCCAGTCTGGGTGACAGAGCAAGACTCCATCTCAAAAACAAAACAAAACAAAACAAAACAACAACAACAAAAGTGGAAGTAATTTTAAAAAAACTGCAAAAAAGCCAATCCTGAAAGGTTACAAACTATATCATTCCAAAAGCCGTGGAAAACAGTAACGTGAGTCCTCAAAGAATTAAAAATAGAATTACCCTGTGATCCAGCAATTCTACTTCTGGGTATATACTCAAAAGAACTGAAAGCAGCAGGGTCTTGAAGGGGTATTTCTACACCCATGCTCATAGCAGCATTATTGACAAATGCTGGAAGTAGTCCAGCTGTCCCCAAATGGAGGAACAGATAAGCAAAATGTTACTGGTATACATACAAAATGGAATCTTTTTTTTTTTTTGGGAGACAGAGTCTTGCACTGTTGCCCGGGCTGAAGTGCAATGGTGTGATCTTGGCTCACCGCAACCTCTGCCTCCCGGGTTCAAGCGATTCTCCTGCCTCAGCCTCCCTAGTGGCTGGGATTACAGGTGCCCGCCACGACGCCCAGCTAATTTTTTGTATTTTTAGTAGAGACGGGGTTTCACTGTGTTGGCCAGGCTGGTCTTGAACTCCTGACCTCGTGATCCACCTGCCTTGGCCTCCCAAAGTGCTGGGATTACAGATGTGAGCCACCGCACCCGGCCACAAAGTGGAATCTTATTTCACCTTTCAAAGGAGAGAAATTCTGACATGCTACAACCTGGATGAATCTTGAGAACAATACACTAAGTGAAACTGGCCAGTGAAACCAGTCACAAAAAGACAAATACTGTATGATTCCACTTTAATGAGGTACTTAGAGTAGTACAAATCACAGAGACAGAAAGAATGGTAATTGCCAGGGGTTGAGGAGAAGAGGGAATGGAGAGTTACTGTTTAACGGGTATAGTTTCAGTTTTGCAAGTTGTAGAGTTCTAGAGCTAGATGGTTGTAAGGGTCACACAACAATATAAATGTACTCAGTAACATTAACTGTGCACTTAAAGATAATTTAGATGGTAAATTTTATGTTATGTGTATTTTACTATGCCATCATGCCTGGCTAATTTTTTTGTTTTGTTTTGATTTTCTGGTGACAGGGTCTCACTCTGTCGCCCAGGCTGGAATGCGGTGGCACGATCACGGCTCACTGTAGCCTCGACTTCCTGGACTCAAGTGATCCTCCCATCACAGCCTCCCAAGTAGCTGGGACTACAGGTGTACGCCACCACTCCTGGCTAATTTTTACTAACTCACTCCCTTTTCTGCCTCCTTTCAGTATTCATTCATTCATTTAACAGATAATGACTGAACAACTGTTAGGTATTATTAGGTATTATATATTATTCCTGGGAGCAGACTATTAAGAGTCACTCTATACCATCACAGTCCCAAGTGTCATTATGAAAGAGGGGCTATACACAATACAGCAGTATAAAACTGTAAACAGATTTTTTAAGCCTACATTTTATCAGTCAACATCAGAAACATCCAAATACCGCAAACTTTCTTTTTTTTTTTTTTTGAGACAGTTTCACTCTTGTCACCCAGGCTGGAGTGCAATGGCGCGATCTTGGCTCACTGCAGCCTCCGCCTCCTGGGTTCAAGTGATTCTCCTGCCTCAGTCTCCCGAGTAGTTGGGATTATAGGCATGCGCCACCATGCCTGGTTAATTTTTGTATAGTAGAGACGGGGTTTCACTATATGTTGGCCAGGCTGGTCTTGAACTACTGCCCCCAGGTGATCCACCCGTCTTGGCCTCCCAAAGTGCTGGGATTACAGGTGTGAACCACCACACCTGGCCAAATGTCCCAAACTTAAACCAAATGGACTATAAATCAATTCCCTGAAAAACTGGTATACATGTAAAATGATGCTATTACATTACAGTAAATGATCTTTAAAAATTTATTTATAGTCTATATGTTGACTACAGTTTTACCTTTTGCTAAAGGAAACTATAAAGTCGCAGTTTCAAGTATGGTAGGGTAATAAAACTAAGTACATCATTTAAAAATACTTATTAAATGTTTATCTTTGCCAGGCAATGTTCTAGAGACCAGCAGTCCAGCAATGAACTAAACAAAATGAACAAAATACATTATATTTTACTAAAAATTTGTTTTCCATATAATACAAATACACAAATTAATAATAAAGCCTACGTTAATGCATTGTACTAATCTGTCTTGGTGAGAAGTTCAATTTATGAAGATACAGTAGAAATGATTTTAATTTCTTTTTTTTCCCCTAGAGAATGTGATGTTTATTCATTAATTTATTCATTCACTCAAGAAATCTTCATTGAATGTCTACTGTGTATCAGTTGCAGTTTGGGATTCAGCAGTGAACAAAACATAAATGCTTGCCCTTATGGAACCTACAATCTGTTGGTTTTAAAAAAAATCTCTCCTGGATTAGTGTTAGATTTCTAGACCAGAAGTGTCAATTAAGTTTAACAATTTCTTCAGGCAGAGAAAATTGCTTTTGAGGTATCACTTAAGCAACCTTAGTGCTTCTAAGCAACATAACTGCCTTTTGAGGTATGAACTGAAGGGAAGTGAAGTATAAGCAATAGAGTTGGGATTTTTTTTTTCTTGAGACGGAGTTTCATTCTTGTCACCCAGGCTGGAGTGCAATGGCACCATCTTGGCTCACTGCAACCTCTGCTTCCTGGGTTCAGGGGATTCTCCTGCCTCACCCTCCTGAGTAGCTGGGATTACAGGTGCATGCCACCACAGCCAGCTAATTTTTGTATTTTTAGTAGAGACGGGGTTTCACCATCTTGGCCAGGCTAGTCTCGAACTCCTGCCCTCAGGTTATCTGCCTGTGTTGGCCTCCCAAAGTGCTGGGATTACAGGTGTGAACCACCACCCCTGGCTGAGTTGGGATTTTTTAATTTTCCATAGATTTCCCATTAGGAAGGCAACCTGGTGTGACGGTATTTGAGAGTCAAGAGATCTGGGTTCTAATCCTCATTTCATCATGTAATACTTTGTGTGTTTCAGAATTCTTCACAGTGATCCTTGCTTGTCCTCACTCCTTTGTACAGCTTTTTTTTTTAAAGGATTTTATCCACTGTTGTGCCAGTAACTATGCTAGTGTCACTTTTTATGCTAGTAATAGTTCTATTTTCAAGTTCATTCTGTTTCCTGAGTTTAAATTTGTGTTTCCTAGTGCCAACTGAACATTTCTGTCATTTCATACTCCATTTCCAAAAAGAAACTCATTATTGTTCCGCTTTGAATTTGCTTCCCTTCTTTATGATCTTTTCATCTCGGCAAATAGCATTGCTATGTACCCAGCTGCCTAAGGAAAAACCCTGAGTCGTCATCTTTCTATATTTCATTGACCCTCATTCAGTCATTCAAATATTGCTTCTCTTGAGTATATCTTGAATCTATCCTTTATGCTCTAATTTCTGAACAGAACTGACACTCTTTGTCCTGCATGTTCTACTTTCTTTGCACAGAATACCTTCTCTTTAGTTGGCAAACTCCAACTCATTGGTTAATGTCCAGCTCAAATGTTAACTCCTGTAAAACCTTCACCATTTCTTTTAGGCAGAATTAGTGATTCCTGAGTCTTTGCTCTTAGAGCTTGTAGGTCAAGTGTGTACTGTATTTCTGTTCTTTCACAGTTTTTTATTCGATTGTCTGTAGAATAGACTTTATTATTGTCAAGGGGAAGACAGCCTTAGCAAAATTTTGAAATAAGTCATTGTGTGCCTAAGCATAAATTAGTTTGTGAGAACATACTTTTTAAAGAGAAATGTAGTAGGGTGTATAGTATGTTTGAGTATCTTTTTCCAATAAGCATTGCATGTATAATCATTCACTCATTGCATGTATAATTATTATTTAAATATTCTTTATTAATTAAAGACCTCTCTGGTCTCTCCAGAAGTCTTCCATGGCTGCCCTCATCCCCACCCTCCAGAGGAATCTGAAGCCACATGTGCTCCCTGGCACCCACAGCCCCTGCCTCTCCCAGAGCAGCAGTACCTGAGCCTCAGTGGATTCCAAGAATCGAAACCCTTGGTCTGCTGCCCCTCCCTCCCAGAATGTTTCTGTCTCATTCTTACCTACTCAAGGCCCTTTCAGTAGCCCCTTGGGGTATTCTCTTCCTATGCACCAGGGCAACTTCTGAACTCACCACTTTCCTGGAAAGACCCCCAACATCTTCGGGGAGCGGTCCCCTACAGGCCTGGCTGCAGATGCCCGTGCACACAGGAACACTGTTTAAAAAAAAAAAAAAAGGATACTGGTGGGAGGGGCTTTGTAACTGAGGAGGTTTAGGAATTGAAAACTCATGTGTATTTTCTTTCTTTCCTCATTGTCACTTCCCAGCTACCCAGAGATATTGAAGGACAGCTGAGCTCCCCTACTTGCTGAAAATGCATTGATCAAATTTGTGTAGGATTTCCACATCTATTTATGGGCTCAGAACACTTTCTAGTTACTTGTTCCTTCCTATCAGCTGTTTTCTGTTTGTGTTAGATTTTTTTTTTTTCTGAGATGAAGTCTCGCTCTTGTCCCCCAGGCTGGAGTGCAGTGGCGCGATCTCAGCTCACTGCAACTTCCGCCTCCCGGTTTCAAGTGATTCTCCTGCCTCAGCCTCCCAAGCAGCTGGGATTGCAGGCACCTGCCACCACGCCCGGCTAATTTTTGTATTTTTAGTAGAGATGGGGTTTCACCATGTTGATCAGGCTGGTCTCGAACTCCTGACCTCAAATCCGCCCACCTCAGCCTTTCAAAGTGCTGGGATTACAGGCATGAACACCACACCTGGCCTCATGCAGAGCTTTAAAAAAAAATGTTAACACGGCTGGGCGCAGTGGCTCACGCCTGTGATCCCAGCACTTTGAGAGGCCGAGGTGGGTGGATCACTTGAGGTCAGGAGTTCCAGACCAGCCTGGCCAATATGGTGAAACCCCGTCTCTACTAAAGATACAAAAAATTAGCCGGGCGTGGTGGTGGGCGCCTGTAATCCCAGCTACTCCGGAGGCTGAAGCAGGAGAATTGCTTGAACCTGGGAGGCGGAGGTTACAGTGAGCCAAGATGGCGCCATTGCACTCTAGGCTGGGCGACAGGGCAAGACTCCGTCTTAAAAAAAACAAAAATAAATAAATAAATAAAAGAAAGCTCTGCATGATACAATACAGTATTCATAGAATTTTGGCCAGTGAAAATTTTCTGTGTTAGTAGAATAAAAATGAACTCTTCTGATTTACAGATATTGATAGTCTGGTCTTTCCATCTTCCATCTTGACTCTCTTTTACTGTTAAAAAATCTTAGAACAAAGTAAAGCCAGTTCCAAATACTTTTCCTAGTTCTGGACTGTTTTTTTTTTTTTTTTTTTTTTTAACAAGACAGTCATTTGTCCGAGTACAACAGAACAGTTCATTGTTAATACTTTGGTTCTGTGTGCTTTAAATCTTTTTTCCCCCTCTACCCATAATCTCCCTTTGTAAACTTTGAATGTTTTGTCAGTAGATCATCATCATAGGTAAAGATACTGCACATCAAGACTGTTGGTCTTCCCCATTCTTCCTGGAATATACTGGAAGCTGTCAGGACTGAGGTTAATTTCTCCATTCCTAGAACTATATTGTAATAAATATTGGAATACTGGCTTTTGTGTATTTTTTTGTGTTACTTAGTTTTTGGAGAAAGGAAATATTTCTAGACTTTCTTGACTTGTCATAACTTTTTATTGTTAAAGAATATAGTTTAAAAATTATTAAATATTAGGGAGCCTTCTGCTTCATTGGGACTTTAAGGAATGATAGCCATAGGAAGGGATATATCTTATATTATCATAAAGCTTTTAAAAAATAATATATTTATTACAATTTTTTAAATTTATTTTTTATTTTTAGAAACAGGGTCTTACTCTATTGCCCAGGCTGGTCTCAAACTTCTGGGCTCAAGTGATTCTCCTGCATTGACCTCCCAAAGTGTTGGGATTACAGGCATGAGCCAATGAGCTCAGCCAGTTGTTTTTTTTTTTTTTTTTTTTTTTTGAGTGTTTTTTTTTGATAACTTCTAATTATTTTCTTATCCTATCCCTAATAGTTGGCATCAGTTAATGAACTAGTTTTGATTCCCCAAAAGCCCTCTCTTAATCTCCTGTATTTTGCTTTACTTTCTATCTCTTTTGTTTATTTCTTAGAGAAATGTCATTTATGTAATCAGTTCTTATTTTGTAATACTGGGCCGTAAGAAAGCAGGGAAAAGCACAAAACTTGGCACATAGTAAATTTTGTTGCTTGAACAAATTAATGAATGAATGAACTTGCAGCATAAGAGTGCACCCTATTTAGTGGTACTGTTTAATTATTTCATGATCCTTAGCCAAGAACGAAGGCATACCGGAAGGGAACACACAACAAAAAAAGGTGAGGGAAAAGTGTTAATATATCATTTAAGTGACTGTATTACAACAATATTACATTATGTTGTCACTCCTGAACATGAGATGTGATTCTCATTTACATTTCAAGCTAATTTGGTTAGCTGGGGGAATTCTTAGGCATCTCAAGAGATAATTAGATATACCCCTTAGGACCTCACATAATTATAATCACTATTAGGGGTATTAAAGTTTTTTTTTTTTTTTAAACAAAAACTTAGGGGGAAAAGTTGTGATTGGTAAGCGTTTTTTTCTCTTAGTGTTCTCAGAATCTTAGGAGATACGTTATTTGAAACAGTTGTTCAGGCCGGGCGCGGTGGCTCACACCTGTAATCTCAGCACTTTGGGAGGCCAAGGCGAGTGGATCATGAGGTCAGGAGATCGAGACCATCCTGACTAACACGGTGAAACCTCGTCTCTACTAAAAATACAAAAAATTAGCTGGGCGCGGTGGCGGGCGCCTGTAGTCCCAGCTACACGGGAAGCTGAGGCAGGAGAATGGTGTGAACCCAGGAGGCGGAGCTTGCAGTGAGCCGAGATAGTGCTACTGCACTCCAGCCTGGGTGACAGAGCAAGACTCTGTCTCAAAAAAAAAAAACAAAAAAAACCAAACAACACTTGTTCAATCAATTCTACTTTAGTAGAAACCAGCTCTCTATATTGTTCTCTAACATTTTGTTATCTTGGCTTTTAGATGAAATCTTTAGCATCAGTTGGGCTCATTAGCACCTCTACTAAGAGAAGCAAGCACAGAATGGAAGGGAGAGCAAATCATAACTTTTTAAAAAGTTATTTCTCCTTAGTTAAAAGTTTGGAAGAGAAGCAAGTTGAAACTGTAGGCTGATTATGTAAAAGTTTAAGTTATCAGCTCTCTTATATGTAATGCAGGTTGATTATAAGTTTCTGGGCTGTTGTGACAACAAGAAAATTATGTTTATTATTAAAAACTTGTTTATACTGCATATATGTGAAGGGCATTATACTGTGACAAAGCTAACAATAAAACATACATTTTAATATTTCAGATTCCTTATTTTATTTGTTTGTTTAGAGACAGGGTCTTAATGTTGCCCAGGCTGGAGTGCAGTGATGCGATCATGGCTTACTGAAGCCTCAAACTCCTGGGCTCAAGCGATCCTCCTCCCTCACTCTCCCAAGTAGCTGGGACTACAGGCATGTGACACTGCGTGGCTGATGTTTTGTAGAGGCGGCATCTTATTATGTTGTCTAGGCTGGTCTCGAACTTTCTCCCGCTTCAGCCTCCCAAAGTTCTGGGAGCCACTGTGCTGGGCCAGATTCCTTTTTTTAAATTGTGGGAAAATACACGTAACATAAAATTTACTATATTAACCATTTTAAAGGGTGCAGTTCAGTGGCATTAGGTATATTCACAATGTTGTACAATCATCACACTACCTAGTTCCAGAACTACTTTATGATCCCAATCAGAAACTATGCGCATTATACAATAACTCCTCATTGTTCTCTTCTCCCAGTTCCTGGTAAGTTCTATTACACTTTCTGACGCTATCAGTTTGCCTGTTCTAAGTATCATATAAATGGAATCATATAGCATTTGTCTTTTTGTGTCTGGTTTATTTCACATAGCGTACATGTTATAGCATATATCAAAATTTTATTCCTTTTGGCCGGGTTCGGTGGCTCATCCCTGTAATCCCAGCCCTTTAGGAGGCCGAGCTGGGCAGATCACCTGAGGTCAGGAGTTTGAGACCAGCCTGGCCAACATGGTGAAACCCTGTCTTTACTAAAAATACAAAAATTAGCCGGGCGTGGTGGCTGGCGTGTGCTTGTAATCCCAGCTACTTGAGAGGCTGAGGCAGGAGAATCGCGGGAACCCGCGGGGCAGAGGTTGCAGTGAGCCGAGATCGTGCAGCTGCACTCTAGCCTGCATGATAGAGTGAGACTTGGTCTGAAAACAAAAACAAAAACAAAAAACACCAAGTTTATTTAAAAAAAAAAAAAGCTTAGACTTTTTTTGAGCATTTTTATGTTATAGAAAAATTGAGTGAAAACTAGAGTTCCCATATATCTACCCGCTGCTTGGTACCACCAGTTTCCCGTTACTAACATCTTGCATTAGTGTGGTACATTTGTTACAGTTTATGAACTGATGTTAATACATTTTTAATTAAATTGCATAGTTTTGCATTAGGGTTCACTCTGTGTGTTGTACATTCTGTGGGTTTTGACACATGTATGAAAGGTATCCACTATTACAGTTATCACAGAATAGTTTCACTGCCCTAAATACTCAGTGTTTCATCTACTCATCCCTAAATCCCTGCCAACCACTGATCTTTTTACTGTCTCCTTAGTTTTGTCTTTTCCAAAATGTCATATAATTGGAGTCATATAATATGTAATCTTTTCAGATTGATTTCTTTCCATTGGCAATATACACTTAAGGTTCTCCATGGCTTTTCATGGCTTCATAGCTCATTTCTTTTTATTGCTGAATAGTACACTGTTGTATGGATGTGTACCACAGTTTGTTTATTCATTGACCTATTAAAGACTATCTTGGTTACTTCCCAGTTTTGGCAGTTATGAATAAAGCTACTATAAACACTTGTATGCAAGTTTTTGTGTGCACATAGGTTTTTAACTCATTTGGGTAAATTGTATGCCTTTCTAACTTTTGTATTTATGCATACACTTTTATATAGTTGTAAAACTTAGTTTTATCTAGTTGTAATAATTTTGTTTTATGTTTTAAGATAACATAAACAATCTTCATGCTGTTTTTGAATGCTCCCTAATATTAAAATGAGAAAATGAATTTATTATGTACTTTATTTTTCTGTTACTCATTAATTGCTTCCATTTTCCCCTGCCTTAATAAATACTTTTGTGTGTGTAGTTTTTCCCTTTTGTATTGCTTTAGGATAAAATTCAAGGAGAAACAGTAAAGAGTACAATTATTGGGATCAAGGCCATTTTAGATAATTCTTGATATGCAGTAAAGTTTCACAATGGGAAACCTTGTTAGATTTACAGTGGAGGTTTGCTGCAGTTTATTTTGTGGCTTTCTAGACAAGAGTAGCACCAGTTATCTGTGTAATTTTACTTAGAAAAAAACAAAGAACTTTTCACTGGTTCTTTGAAGTGGTAGTAAGCTTCCCTACTGTTGGTTTTGTTCAAAAATCACTGTTTGCTATCTGAATCTTCTTGATTACTTCAGAACTTTATGTAATAGTTTATTGAGGTTCTTAGGTACAGGTAGCTAACACGGGCTTGACTTTATCTTACTATGGTACAATCTAAATATATATTTAGTGTTGTTAATTAAGGTTATCATTCACAGATGCTCCCTTATATATAGGTGGAGAAACTGAGGCTTCCCTTGAGACAGCATGCTCCTGGATATAACCGTGAGAGCAGTTAAACTCTTGAGACCTGCATTCTTTATTTTTCTTAATTATCAGTACAATTATTGGATCAGAGTTTCTTCTATCTTTTTTGTGAGTCATTAAATTCCATTTTTAAAAGGTATCTTTTGAATACATACATTTACAGGTTTGGAAAATATATTTCTAGTTAAACCATGTGTTCTTATTTATTTATTTATTTTTTATTCTAAGTTTTAGGGTACATGTGCACAACATGCAGGTTTGTTACATATGTGTACATGTGCCATGTTGGTGTGCTGCATCTATTAACTAATCATTTAACGTTAGGTATATCTCTTAATGCTATCCCTCCCCCCTCCCTCAACCCCACAACAGGCCCTGGTGTGTGATGTTCCCCTTCCTGTGTCCATGTGTTCTCATTGTTCAATTCCCACCTATGAGTGAGAACATGTGGTGTTTGGTTTTTTGTCCTTGGCGATAGTTTGCTGAGAATGATGATTTCCAGCTTCATCCATGTCCCTACAAAGGACATGAACACATCCTTTTTTATGGCTGCATAGTATTCCATGGTGTATATGTGCCACATTTTCTTAATTCAGTCTGTCATTGTTGGACATTTGGGTTGGTTCCAAGTCTTTGCTATTATGAATAGAGTGCCGCAATAAACATACGTTTGCGTGTGTCTTTATAGCAGCATGTTCTCTAATCCTTTGGGTATATACCCAGTAATGGGATGGCTGGGTCAAATGGTATTTCTAGTTCTAGATCCTTGAGGAATCGCCACACTGACTTCCACAATGGTTGAACTAGTTTACAGTCCCCCCAACAGTGTAAAAGTGTTCCTATTTCTCCACATTCTCTCCAGTACCTGTTGTTTCCTGACTTTTTAATGATTGCCATTCTAACTGGTGTGAGATGGTATCTCATTGTGGTTTTGATTTGCATTTCTCTGATGGCCAGTGATGATGAGCATTTTTTCATGTGTCTTTTGGCTGCATAAATGTCTTCTTTTGAGAAGTGTCTGTTCATATCCTTTGCCCACTTTTTGATGGGGTCGTTTGTTTTTTTCTTGTAAATTTGTTTGAGTTCATTGTAGATTCTGGATATTAGCCCTTTGTCAGATGAGTAGATTGCAAAAGTTTTCTCTCATTCTGTAGGTTGCCTGTTCACTCTGATGGTAGTTTCTTTTGCTGTGCAGAAGCTCTTTAGTTTAATTAGATCCCATTTGTCAATTTTGGCCATTGCTTTTGGTGTTTTAGACATGAAGTCCTTGCCCATGCCTATGTCCTGAATGGTATTACCTAGGTTTTCTTCTAGGGTTTTTAGGTTTTTAGGTGTAACATTTAAGTCTTTAATCCATCTTGAATTAATTTTTGTATAAGGTGTAAGGAAGGGATCCAGTTTCAGCTTTCTACATATGGCTAGCCAGTTTTCCCAGCACCATTTATTACATAGGGAATCCTTTCCCCATTTCTTGTTTTTGTCAGGTTTGTCAAAGATCAGATAGTTGTAGATATGCGGCACTATTTCTGAGGGCTCTGTTCTGGTCTATATCTCTGTTTTGGTACCAGTACCATGCTGTTTTGGTTACTGTAGCCTTGTAGTACAGTTTGAAGTCAGGTAGCGTGATGCCTCCAGCTTTGTTCTTTTGGCTTAGGATTGACTTGGCAATGTGGGCTCTTTTTTGCTTCCATATGAACTTTAAAGTAGTTTTTTCGAATTCTGTGAAGAAAGTCATTGGTAGCTTGATGGGGATGGCATTGAATCTATAAATTACCTTGGGCAGTACGGCCATTTTCACGATACTGATTCTTCCTACCCATGAGCATGGAATGTTCTTCCATTTGTTTGTGTCCTCTTTTACTTCATTGAGCAGCGGTTTGTAGTTCTCCTTGAAGAGGTCCTTCACGTCCCTTGTAAGTTGGATTCCTAGGTATTTTATTCTCTTTGAAGCAATTGTGAATGGGAGTTCACTCATGATTTGGCTCTCTGTTTGTCTGTTATTGGTTTATAAGAATGCTTGTGATTTTTGCACGTTGATTTTGTATCCTGAGACTTTGCTGAAGTTGCCTATCAGCTTAAGGAGATTTTGGGCTGAGACAATGGGGTTTTCTAGATATACAATCATGTCATCTGCAAACAGGGACAGTTTGACTTCTTCTTTTCCTAATTGAATACCCTTTATTTCCTTCTCCTGCCTAATTGCCCTGGCCAGAACTTCCAACACTATGTTGAATAGGAGTGGTGAGAGAGGGCATCCCTGTCTTATGCCAGTTTTCAAAGGCAATGCTTCCAGTTTTTGCCCATTCAGTATGATATTGGCTGTGGGTTTGTCATAAATAGCTCTTATTATTTTGACATACGTCCCATCAATACCTAATTTATTGAGAGTTTTAGCATGAAGCATTGTTGAATTTTGTCGAAGGCCTTTTCTGCATCTATTGAGATAATCATATGGTTTTTGTTGTTGGTTCTGTTTGTATGCTGGATTACGTTTATTGATTTGCGTATGTTGAACCAGCCTTGCATCCCAGGGATGAAGCCCACTTGATCATGGTGGATAAGCTTTTTGATGTGCTGCTGGATTCGGTTTGCCAGTATTTTATTGAGGATCTTTGCATCGATGTTCATCAGGGATATTGGTCTAAAATTCTCTTTTTTGTTTTGTCTCTGCCAGGCTTTGGTATCAGGATGATGCTGGCCTCATAAAATGAGTTAGGGAGGATTCCCTCTTTTTCTATTGATTGGAATAGTTTCAGAAGGAATGGTACCAGCTCCTCCTTGTACCTCTGGTAGAATTCGGCTGTGAATCCATCTGGTCCTGGACTTTTTTTGGTTGGTAAGCTATTAATTATTGCCTCAATTTCAGAGCCTGTTATTGGTTTATTCAGAGATTCAACTTCTTCCTGGTTTAGTCTTGGGAGGGTGTATGTGTCGAGGAATTTATCCATTTCTCCTAGATTTTCTAATTTATTTGCGTAGAGGTGTTTATAGTATTCTCTGATGGTACTTTGTATTTCTGTGGGATTGGTGGTATCACCACCCCTGTATCACAATCCCCTGTATCATTTTTTATTGTGTCTATTTGATTCTTCTCTCTTTTCTTCTTTATTAGTCTTGCTAGTGGTCTATCAATTTTGTTGATCTTTTCAGAAAACCAGCTCCTGGATTCATTAATTTTTTGAAGGGTTTTTTTGTGTCTCTATCCCCTTCAGTTCTGCTCTGATCTTAGTTATTTCTTGTTTTCTGCTAGCTTTTGAATGTGTTTGCTCTTGCTTCTCTAGTTCTTTTAATTGTGATGTTAGGGTGTCGATTTTAGATCTTTCCTGCTTTCTCTTGTGGGCATTTAGTGCTATAAATTTCCCTCTACACACTGCCTTGAATGTGTCCCAGAGAATCTGGTATGTTGTGTCTTTGTTCTCATTGGTTTCAAAAAACATCTTTATTTCTGCCTTCATTTCGTTATGTACCCAGTAGTCATTCAGGAGGAGGTTGTTCAGTTTCCATATAGTTTGTTTTTGATTCAGAAAATTTGGTCAGAATTAGTGTCTACACAATGGGCCTGTTTTCATGTCCACCAGGCATTATGGCTGAGTGAAAAGCCAGAAGGGCCCGATTTTGAACTTTTCTTCCACTTACCAGCCATGAGACTGAGCAACCTGCACAAACTGTGAGCCTTGAATTCTTCAGTTGCAGAAATGAGGTGTTGAATCCTTCAGGTTGTTATGAAGAATAAATGAGATAATGGGCACCTGACAGCATATATTTATGTTAGGAATATATAATTATTGCTGTTTGAAATTGTAGCCTGTATATATTTGCAGAGTGCCCAAATACTTGTTCCTCAGATACAGAGTTTATGTACATCTCAATGTACCTTTTATAGTTGAAGTTGTTTTGTTTTGAGAGAAGACTGAAGTTATTTGTGGGGTTTTTTGTTGTTGTTTTTTTTCTTACAGTATTGTCATGTGGAAAATACATGTTAATTATCAGGGTTTAGGTTTTCTGCTGAGTGTGTTTCAAATTAAGTCATTTCCCTCTAGAATTGGTAGTTTGTTGTCTTCATGTTATTTATAATCATTTCCAAGTTTACCAGATAGAAAAACCCTTAATGAAATTTTGGAAAAGAAGTACACCAGTGAGTTGTTTGCTAATCTTCCTGTAGTTGTCACACAGACTGACTGTTTATATATTTTTTGGAGACAGAGTCTCACTCTGTCACCCAGGCTGGAGTGCCGTGGTGTGATCTTGGCTCACTGTGACCTCTACCTCCTGGGTTCGAGCAATTCTTGTGCCCCAGCCTCACGCTTGGGTAATTTTTTGTATTTTTAGTAGAGATGGGGTTTCACCATGTTGGCCAGGCTGGTCTTGAACTCCTGACCTCAAGTGATCTGCCCATCTTGGCTTCCCAAAGTGCTAGGATTACAGGCGGAGCCACTGCGCCTGGCCCAGACTGACCCTTTACAGCATCACTCCTGTTCCTTGCATATTCATGCTTCCAATTTAAGATTTTGTCCATTACTTATTACAGTTGCCATGTATGAAGGTCCCTTTTTTTGATAATTGGTTCTTTTCTCTTCTACATACTAAGGCAGGGGTGGGAATAAATGTCACAGCATTACCACTACTTGATTTGATTTTAATGTGTTACTCTCTTGTACTCCTACCTTATTAGTTTTAGTAGTTTATGGCTGGGTGTGGTAGCTCTTGCCTGTAGTCCCAGTACTTTGGGAGGCTGAGATGGATGGATTGCTTGAGCCCAGGAGTTTGAGACCGGCCTGGGCAACATGAAGAAACCCTGTCTCTACAAAAAAAAAAAAAAAAAAAAAGTTAACCAGGCATGGTGGTATGTGCCTGTGGTCCCAGCTACCCGGGAAACTGAGGTGGGAGGATCACTTGAATCTGGGAAATTGAGGCTGCAGTATGAGCTGTGATTGCACTACTGTGCCCAGCTTGGGTGACAGAGTGAGACCTTGTCTCAAAAAAAATTTTTAGTAGTTTCTGTGTTTTGTTTGTAAATTTAACTCTGTATTGAGCCAGAAAAGCACAAGCCCTGTAATTTCTCATTTTAGAGAAAAACATTCATTTTTTTCCTTCCCCAAGGAGTTTCTCCTTCTTCCTATTTTTTTCTTTAAAGAGAGTTTGGCAGAATTCCAGAGCCTAAAATAATAAAATAAAGGTAATTAAATGAATTCTCCAGCCAGCAGAGACCATCTTATCTTGAATTGCTAGTGGTTTATGCTGGTCCCCCTTTGACCTTCTTTCACTTTTTGGAGGTGGATGAACTTTTCCACTCAAAACTATCTTGTCAGCCTCACACATATTTATTAAAGGAGTGAGTATGCTTAAGAGACAGATTTTTTGTGTTGGTTGAAGAAACCATTTTGGATATTTTTCTCTGTTGTGACTGGGACTGAATTTTTAGATTGATTTATATTTCCTTTGAAGAACAAAGGAATATTTTTCTCGAAAATGAGAATTAACAGGAGCATTAATAACAACAAAAAGTCTGTTAAACGTATTTGGGGAGATTATTTGTTTTCAAAGAATAACATTTCTTGTGTGAGTCATTATATTCAGCAAAATTTCTTTTGTGATAATTTTATGCTGCCATAAAATTTTTTGGGAAAATAACTTTAAAAAAACTTCAAAAAATTTTATTTTAGAGGGGCAGTAGTACAGTTGGAAGAGGAATTTTAAGTCAAAGAACAGTAAAACATGAATTCTTTCAGAAGACAGTTGAAAATTTACTGTGCATCAGGAACATTACTTAGCTCTGAACATAAAAAATGATGAAGGTACTGCTCTCTGCCTTTATGTCTTTGCGTGTAGTCTAATGGGAGACACAAGTAAATAAGAAACAATGGGTCAAGGTCATTATAGTAGTAGTTACACAGGTAGGTGCATATGCTTCTAGTCTAGCCAGTGGGATGCTGTGTAAATTGTAGCTATGTGGAGAAGCCTTGAGATTTCCCTCTCTGAAAGTAAAATTATTGCCTTAGGGCAGGGTTAGCAAACTATAGCTAGCCCCTGGGTATCTACCTGTTTTTGTATGGCTCATGAGCAAAGATTGGTGTTTACATTTAAAAATAGTTTAAACAAAATAATGTTTTGTGATAGATGAATGAAAATTATATGAAATGGAAATCTCAGTGTTAATAAAGTTTTATTGGAACACAGCCACATTAATTCATTTACATATTGTCTGACTACTTTTGTGCTGCACTAGCTGAGTTGAGTTTTTTGTAGGAGAGACCTTTTGTGGCCCACGAAACCTAAAATATTTATAATCTGGCCTTTTATTATAGAAAAAGTTTGTTGAGCCTTCTTTAGAGTGTTATGAGCACTGACTTTTTATGACCTCAATCACACATGCAGTTTCCTTAAATTCCTTATTATATGTTTAAAAGTTAAATTAGCTGGGCGCAGTGGCTCACGCCAGTAATCCCAGCACTTTGGGAGGCTGAGGTGGGTAGATCACCTGTGGTCAGGAGTTCGAGACCAGCCTGGCCAACATGGTGAAACCCCGTCTCTACTAAAAATACAAAAAATTAACCGGGCGTGGTGGCACATGCCTGTAATCCTAGCTACTCAGAAGGCTGAGGCAGGAGAATTGCTTGAACCCGGGAGGCAGAGGTTGCAGTGAACTGAGATTGCATCGTTGTACTCCAGCCTGGGCGACAAGAGCGAGGCTCCATCTCAAAAAAAAAAAGAAGTTAAATTTTAAGTGGCTGTATAAAGGATTATGATGATGCCTACCTTGAATGGTAAACTTTTAGATGTAACTTTTCAGTTATTTCTGCTGAAAAATGCTAAAGTGATGTGCTATTCTATTGAAAGCCAAGTGTATTGATTTGCTAGGCCTGCCATAAAGTACTGCAGACTGGGTGGCTTAAATGACAGAAATGTATTTTCTCACAGTTCTGGAGGCTAGAGTTTCAAGATCAACATGTCAGCAGGTTTGGTTTCTCCTATCACCCCTCTCCTTGGCTTGCAATTGTTGCCTTCTCTCTGTCCTCACAGGGCCTTTCCTCTGGGCATGTATTCCTCCCTGGTGTCTCTTCTTACAAGGACATCAGTCATAGTGGATTAGGCCCCCCCACCTTGTAACTTCATTTAACCTTGATTACCTCTCTAAAGCCTCTATTTCCAAATACAGTCTCATTGTAAAGTACTGGGGGTTAGGACTTAACATATGAATTTTGAGAGGCTACAATCAGTGCACACCGCCAGGGAATTTCTGATAGAAACTTCATTTGTTTACACATTAAGCAGATCTTGAGGGTGTGTACTGTGTGACAGATCCTGTTTTACGTATGTATGTGTGTGTACTATGTGACAGATCCTGTTTTAGATACATATGGTGAACGAGACAAACAAGATTTGACACTTAAGAGGCTGGTGGTTTAGTTGAGAAAGACAGATAATTAATAGGAAAATAAATATTTGAGAGAGTGATAAGGACTGTGAAGGAAATTAAACTGTGTCAAGTGTTAGAATGATTAGTGTGACGGGTCGTCAGGTAGGGGCTTCCTGAAAAGGTGACCTTTTACCTGGGAGCTTAAATGGTAAGGGATAGCTAGCTAGTTAAGTTCCCAGGCATGTTTCTAGGGCCTGATGTTGATCAAGATTGGTATGGAAAAGGTTCAAAAGAATAGTGAGTCAATTAGGGAGCTTTATAAGTTGAGGTTGGAGAGGTTGGTGGGGCAAAATCATTAAGGGCCTTGTGGGAATTATGGTAAAGATTTGGCTTCCTTTTGCACAAGGAATAAAATCTGGAGGGATTTTAGCAGGGGAGTGACATGATTTTTCTGTTCGAAAGAGCACTTTGGCTGCTAAATAAAGAGAGGAAACTGCAGGTATGAGAGTAGAGGATAGGGAGGCCTGTTAGGGGATTATCAAAGTATTGTAGGTCAGAGATATTGGTGGTTTAGCTAAGATCATGGCAGGGAAGAGAAAAAGAAAGGGAAATAATTTGAGAGATATTTTGGGAGATAAAATCCATGTATTATTTACTAATGGATTAAGTATGGGGGCTTAGGAAGAGGGAGGAATATCTTTGGCAATAGTGTTGTGTAATACTGTCCACTGTAGCAAGTGAACCTATAGTGTTAGCAAATCAGATAGATGATTGCTGCAGCAGCAAGTTACAGAATATAATTTGGAAAGGAAAAAAGCCTTCAATCATTAAATAGGAAAACAGAAGGCAGGTAAACAATGCTATGGTTTAATTATGTTCAACTTACAGGCTTATAACTACTAGACAACCAATGGGGAATTCATAGTTTGCCATAGAGAATGCCTTTGGGACACATAACCTGTTTGGAATGAAAAAGCCCTGGAGAGTATTGTAAAATAACAAATGTCAGGTTTGATGGAATGACTATGCATGCAATTAAGTGATTTTCTTTAGTGCTAGAGTTCTTTTTTCTTAGGTAAATCATTTTAAAAAATGGACCAGACTTTGTGAAAGTAGATATGTTACATAAAATAATGTTAGCTAAAGATGAATGGAATAGGTTAAGAGTGTCTTCTTGAAAATTTGAACTATATCTCTTTCAAAAAGAATTTTATTACCTCTAGGCTGGACTTGACTGAAAAGTTAAAAAAAAAAAAAGACAAAATCTTATGATTGTTGAACTCCCAATGAGGAGTCAGAGAATTGTGAGAGCCAGGGTCTGTTTTTTGTCACTTTTCTCTCTCTCTTTTTTTAAGATAGCATCTTGCTATCTGCAGGCTGAAGTGCAGTGGTGCGATCACAGCTGCTTGCAGCTTTGAACTCTTAAGCTCAAGCGATCCTCCCACCTCAGTGTCCTGAGTAGTTGGGACTGCAGGTGCACACCACCACGCCTGGCTTATTTTTGCATTTTTTGTAGAGACGGAGTCTTGCCGTGTTGCCCAGGCTGGTCTTGAACTCCTGGGCTCAAGCCATCTGCCCACCTGGGCCTCCCAAAGTGCTGGGATTACAGGCGTGAGCCACTGTGCCCAGCTGCCACTTTTTTCTATGTTTAGAAATCTACCTCTGAGCCTTATTCCCCATCCATAAGGCAGGTAACCACTAGATGGCTAATTTTGAAAGAGCGAGAGCATTCAGAGATGCACAGTAATTCTAAGTTCTGAGTAGAATACAGTCATCCTTTGGTATCCATGGGGGATTGGTTCCAGGACCTCCCATGGATACCAAAATCTGTGGATGCTCAAGTTCCTGATAGAGAATGGCATAGCGTTTGCATATAACCTAAGCACATCTTCCTGTATATTGTAAATCATGTCTAGATTACTTGTAGTACCAAATACAATGTAAATGCCCTGTAAATAGTTACTATACTGTATTGTTTAGGGAAAAAAGTCTACATGTTCAGAATAGATGTAATTTTAAAAATCTGGATAATTTCCATCTGTTGTTGGTTGAATCCACAGATGCAGAACCCCATTGATATAGAGGGCTGACTGAATACAAAAGCAAGGCAAGTGTGATAGCAGCCTTCTTTTACTTTAGGATTCAGGATTTACTTCTTTACTTCAGGATCAAATATTTTTACTTTTCGATTTTATTTTTTTGTTTGTGAAGAGTTGGGAGTTGCTGGGTTTAGTTATGCTACTCTCTTTTTAAGGGAGAATATAGCAGTCCTAGAGGGATTTGCAAACTATAGCTCTTGGGGAAACATTCAAAATTTTCCTTGTGTAAGAAATTTTATGAGTCTCGAGGGCCGGATGTGGTTGCTCATGCCTGTAGTCCCAGCATTTTGAGAGGCCAAGGCTGGAGGATCTCTTGAGGTCAGGGGTTTGAGACTGGCCTGGCCAGCATGGTGAAACCCCATCTCTACCAAAAAAAAAAAAAAAAACAAAGCAGTGAGCCAAGATTGTGCCACTGCACTCCAGCCTGGGTAACAGAGCGAGACGCTGTCTAAAAAAAAAAAAAAAAAAAGAAATTCTATGAGTCTTAAATTACATCAAGTAACTTTGGAGGCAATAGTTTAAATTCTCTAAAATACTGGGCACATTAGCTCATGCCTGTAAGCACTTTGGGAGGCTGAGATGGGAGGATCACTTGAGGCCAGTAGTTCAAAACCAGCCTGGGCAACAGAGTGAGACTCCAGTGCTACAAAAAATTAAAAATTAGCTGGGTGTGGTGGGCACACGCCTGTAGTCTAAGCTTCTCTGGATGGAGGCTGAGGCGGGAGGATTGCTTGGGCACAGAAATTCAAGGTTACAGTGAGCTGTGATTGTGCCACTGCACTCCAGAGTGAGACCCTATCTCTAAAAATATTAAATTAAAAAAAACCCATACAACTCAAATTTCCAGGTACTGTTATTAATATGAGTTATCTTGAACTGTTGAAAAATTAATCACTTATTGTTGATTTCTATCTGCATATTAAAGATCTGGCTTAAGAGTCTTGCATTTGATGAATAGGCTTTTCTATGTTATATACAAGAAAAAGGAGATAAAATAATTTAACTTTTTTATTACATTAAAAAACAGGACTCTGGGAATTGTCACTTTATGATCAGCCTTATATTTTTTCCAGACTGTGTCATTGTGTATGCCTGTGCCACCCAACGGATGAGACCACTGATCATGTTTAGCTCAAATTTATGTTGGATAGAGGTTATAGGATGGTCCTTATCTGAATGCAGAAAGGAATGTTTATTTTGCTGTTATGTTTTATATGGGATAAAATGCTTGAAAAGTCTTTTTTTTTTCTGTATTTTTTTTTTTGAGACGGAGTCTTGCTGTGTCGCCCAGGCTGGAGTGCAGTGGTACGATCTTAGCTCACTGCAAGCTCTGCCTCCCAGGTTCATGCCATTCTCCTGTCAGCCTCCCGAGTAGCTGGGACTACAGGCAGCCGCCACCACACCTGGCTGATTTTTTGTATTTTTAGTAGAGACAGGGTTTCACCACGTTAGCCAGAATGGTCTTGATCTCCTGACATTGTGATCTGCCCGTCTCGGCCTCCCAAAGTGCTGGGATTGCAGGTGTGAGCCACCACGTCCAGCTTTTTTTGTTGTTGTTGTTTTCTGAGACAGAGTCTTTGGCTCTGTCACCCTGGCTGGTTAGTAGTTGGAACTATAGGCGCGTACCGCCATGACCGGCTAATTTTTGTATTTTTTTGTAGAGATGGGGTTTCACCATGTTGACCAGGCTGATCTTGAACTCCTGACCTCAAGTGATCCACCTGCCTTGGCCTCCCAAAGTGCTGGGATTACAGGTGTGAGCCACCACATCTGACCTACTTGAAAATTCTTAAATGGTGCCTTATACTTTCTGGTAATAAAAGCACTATTTTAATGTTCGGAACTATTTTCATTATTTGCTAACCTTACAATTAAAAAATCCTTTTATATTTATCTTTGGATAGATATGAGGGGACCTCAAAAAGTTTGTGGAAAAATGGAATTAAAAGATAAAAATACAAAATATAAACTTTATTCTCAATATAAGCTCTATCGAGTTCAAGAAAATTTTGTAAGCAATAATGCTAGCCATTTAGTCCACTCCTAAAGAAGTCCTGTAACCATATCAGTATGTGCAGTCTTTTTTTTGCATTATTAATTAAAGAAAAATGGGTGCCCTTTAAATTTTTTTTTAAGGTTCGGAAACAAAAAGAAGTCAGAAGGAGCCAATCAGCACTGTTTGGTGGATGCCCAGTGATTTCCCATTGAAACCCTAGCAAAACTGCCCATTTGAGAGGAATGAGCAGGAACCTTGTGGTGGTGAAAGTCAACAAGATTCCTTGAGCATTCCAAAAAGCTTTTGTCATGACCTTCGCTCTTGATGGGTTTGCTTTTGCTCTAACTGGATCACTTTCATCTCTTGGTACCCATTGCTTTGTTTTTTTCTTTGTCTTCAGGATCACACTGGTAAAGTCATGTTTCATCTCCTGTTAAAATTTTTCAAAGAAATTCCACATGCTCTTGTTGCCACTTGTTTAAAATTTGCATTGAAGGCACTGCTTTTGTCTGTGGCCGATCTGAGCACAATGGTTTTAGTACCCATCAAGCAGAAAGTTTGTTCAACTTAAATTTTTTTGTTAGATTTGTATACGCTGAATGAATTTATATGTCTATGGTATTGGCTGTTGTTTGTGCTGTTAATCATTGGATCTCTACATTTAGGTTACAAACGGGATGAATTTTTTCCTAAAAAATTTATGTTGATAGTCTGCTACTGCAGGCTTCATCTTCAATATCATCTTGTCCCTTCTTACAATGAATTATCCTATTTATAAACTGCTGATTTCTTAGGGGCATTGTTTCTATAAAGTTTTCGTAAAGCACCAGTGATTTTACCATTCTTCCACTCAAACTTCACCATAAATTTGATGTTTTGTTCTTGCTTCAATTTTAGCAGAATTCATGTTGCTCTGTTAGGGTGCTTTTCAAACCAATGTCTTATCCTTCTTAGTGCCTCAAACTACATCTTGTTCAGATGTGTTATAACAAGTTAGTACCAGCTTATTTTGGTGCAAAATTTTATTGAAATTCATGCATAGTGTTTTCATAAAACATATGTTACACGAACTTTTTGAAGATCCCTTGTACCTGTAGTCCAAAATTCAGAAGTTACTAAAGAATGTAAAATAAAAATAAGTCTTCTTCCTATGCTTGTTTTCACTTACCCAGTTTCCTTCCTCATCTTCCTGATGGATTAAAAAAAAAATGACATGATCTAAAAAATATGATCTATTTTAGGTCTAAGGACATGTATAGGTTGAAAGTGAAAGGACTGAAAGAGTTATCACATGCAAATAGTAACTAAAAGAGAGCTGGGACAGTTTGCTAATATCAGACAAGATAGATTTTTAGTTAAAAACTCTTATAAACACTTAAGAGGCTGGGTGTGGTGGCTCATGCCTGTAATCCCAGCACTTTGAGAGGCTGAGGTGTGTGGATCACTTGAGGTAAAACTTCATCTTTACTAAAAATACAAAGATTAGCCGGGCATGGTGGTGTGTGCCTGTAATCCCAGCTACTCAGGAAGCTGAGGCAGAAGAATTGCTTGAACCAGGGAGACGGAGGTTGCAGTGAGCCGAGATCAAGCCATTGCACTCCACCCTGGGCGACAGAACAAGACTGCCTCAAAAACAAAAAACAAAAAACAAAAAAAACCCTCTTATAAGAGACAAGGAAGAGCATTAAATAGAAGAGTCGATACACCAAGAAGATATAACAATTATAAACATGTATGTACTGAACATCAGAGCTCCAAATAACCTGAAGCAAATATTGACCTCATTGAGCAACAGACAGATCTAAAATAATAACTGGAGACTTTAATATGCCACTTTCAATAATGGGTAGAACAACTAGACAGATCTAGTCTAGTTAGAAGTAGAGTGGAATTATAGGCATGGTGGCTCACGCCTATAATCCTAACATTTTACGAGACTGAAGTGGGAGGATTGCTGGAGCTCAGGAGTTTGAGACCAGCTTGGATAAATAGTGAGACCTTGTCTCTACTAAAAATTAAAAAATTAGCTGGGCATGTTATTGCACCCCTGTTGTCCCAGCTACTTGGAAGGCTGAGGTGGGAAGAGGAAGATTGTTTGAACCCAGGAGTTTGAGGTTGCAATGAACTGTGATCATGTCCTTGCACTCTAGTCTGGGCAACAGAGTAAGACCTTGTCTCCCCCACTAACTCCACTGCCCCCCCCCAAAAAATAAAAAAAACAAAACAAAACAAAGAAATAAAAGACTTTAACACCGCTGTAAACCAGTTGGGCCTAATAGGCATGTATACTCCACTCAGTAGCTATTTTTCTCAAGTGCACATAGAACATTCTTCAGGATAGACCATATACTATGCCATAAAATTAGTCTTAATAAATTTAAAAAGATTGAAATTACACAAAGTGCCTTTTCTAATCACAATGGAATGAAAGTGGAAATATGAGAATGAGAACTGGAAAATTCACAAATATGTGGAAATTAACACACTTAACCATTGGGTCAAAAATCACAAGGTAAATTAGAAAATATCGAGACAAAAACACAGCATACCAAAACTTAGGGGTTGCAATATATATATCACTTCATACAATTGGCTTTTCAAAATCAGTTAAGACAAAAGGTAAACATTTATATAATTACAGGTACTCTTTCTTTTTTGTTGGGCGGTGGTGGGTGGTACGTGGATTTGAATTGCTGTTTGAGGTCACTTGCTTCCAGGCTTTTGCATTTCTTTTAAGGGGGATCTTCCAGGAACAAAATCTGTTTTATTGCTTTTTAAAATCTGAGAAGGTCTGTTTCGCCTTCAGTTTTGAAATGTAGTTTTGCTAGATATAAGATTGGTTGACAGGTTTTTTTTTTCTTTTATTTGAACACTTTGATTATGTTATCTCATTGTTTTCTGTCTGCCATTGTTTCTGCTTAGAAGTCAGCTGCTAATCTTACTGGGTTCCATTTTAAAATAATGAGTCGTTTGGTTCTTGCTGCTTTTAAGATTTTCTCCTTGACTTTGACTTTCAACATTTTTACTGTGAGGCATCTGTCTGGATGTCCTTGCCTTTCTCTGAGTTAAAATACATTGAGTTTCCTGGATGTGTGGTTTATTGTCTTCAGTACATTTGTGGAGTTTTCAGCCATTATTTCTTTGAATTTTTTTTCCCCTCTACCACTTTTTCTCCTCTCCTTTTAGAGTACCAAACTGTGCCTATTGGTGTCCCACATAGCTCTAAGATTTTCCAATTTACTGTTGAGCCCCCCCACCCTTTATTTTTAAATTTCCATTATTGTAATTTTCAGCTTCATAATTTTTATTTGGTTCTTTTTTGTAGTTTACATCTCTTCATTGATCTCTATCTGAGGTGATATTGTCATTATGCTTTCCTTTACTTTTATTATTTATTTATTCTTTTTTTAGAGACGGAGTCTCTCTCTGTCGCCCAGGCTGGAGTGCAGTGGCGCGATCTCGGCTCACTGCAAACTCCGCCTCCCGGGTTCACGCCATTCTCCTGCCTCAGCCTCCCGAGTAGCTGGAACTACAGGTGCCCGCCACCACGCCTGGCTAATTTTTTATATTTTTATTAGAGATGGGGTTTCACCGTGTTAGCCAGGATGGTCTCAATCTCCTGACCTTGTGATCTGCCCACCTCGGCCTCCCAAAGTGCTGGGATTACAGGCGTGAGCCACCGTGCCTGGCCTGCGTTTTACATTTAAGTCTATGATCCATTTTGAGTTAATTTTTGTATGAAGTGTGACCTAAATTTACAGGTTGAAGTTTTTTTTTTAAGTTTTTTGTCTATGGATGTTCAATTATTTCAGCACCATTTATTGAAAAGGTTATCCTTCCATTATTGAATTGCTTTGGATATTTGTAAACGTGTTTAGGGAAAAACTCTCCTCAAACTGTGTTTTTCCTCTACTGTCATACCACAGCAATAATCAACACAGAAGAAGACTTCTGTGATCACACACATGGGGTTGTTTTCCCCACACACCAAGCAGCAGACAGCAGCCTGAGTGTCCTCTAATTCAGTTCGACACTATCTCCGGGTCATTGGTGTCAGATCCCACAGGTTGAGGGCTCCGTACCTAAGACTACTCCCCTAACACACACACCAGTCATAAGTCGGGGCCTCCAGAACTTCTGACCAACCAGCTTCAAGTTGGGGCTCCCATGGCCCCCTCTTTGGGTTCATTAATTTGCTGGACTGGCGCACAGAACTCAGGGAAACACTTATTTACGCTTACTAGTTTATTATAAAGAATATTGCAAAGGTTACAGATGAAGGGACGTGCAGGGCTACGTATGGGGGAAGGGGTGTGAAACTTTCATGTCCTCCCTGGATGCTCCACCCACCAGGAACCTCTGTGTGTTCAGCTGTCTTGAAGTTCACTGAACCCTGTCCTCTTGGGTTTTTATGGAAGCTTCATGACATCAACATTCCTACCCCAAGGGCATAGATGGGACCCTACATGAGAGAGTCTTAAGACCCGCAATCAAAAAGTCAGGGGAACATTAAGTGTGGAAAGCAGGCAGGAGAAAGAGGCCTGCCTCTGAGGCCTAACACTTCCAACATTATAATGAAAGACTGGAATAAAGGCTATGGGAGTTAAGGCCAGGAACCATGGAAGAAGACCAATAGATATCATAGCACCACAATAAAATAACAGGCATACTTGTGTGGGTCATTTCTGGGTTCTCTGTTCTGTTCTGTTACTCTATGTGTGTATTCTTTTGCTCATACCAACACAGTCTTGACTAGCTATGTAGTTGGCCTTCAGTGAGGTCTTTTTCGATTGTTTTAGCTATTTTGGAGCTTTGCCTTCCATGTAAGTTTTATAATGAGTTTTTATCTACAGAAATCCTTGCTGGGATCTTGATAGGAATTGTATTAACCTATAGAACAATTTGGACAGAATTGACATCTTTACTGAGTCAGTATATTGCTGAGAACATAGTATAACATATTGCTATTTGTTTAGTTTTTTTTTTTTTTTTTTTTGAGAAATGGGGTCTCATGCTGTTGTCCAGGCTGGAGTGCAGTGGTGTCATCATAGTTCACTGCAGCCTCAAACTCCTGGACTCAAGCAGTTCTCTCACCACATTCTCTTCAGTACCTAGACTACACAGGTGCATGCCACTAAACTCAGCTAACTTTTAATTTTTTTTTAGTGACATGGTCTTGTTGCCCAGGCTGGTCTCAAACTCCTGGTCTTGAAGTGATCCTCTTGCCTCAGTCTCTTGTATTTGTTTAGATTTCTGATTTATTTCATCAGCATTTTGGAATTTTTAGCATATAGGGCCTATACGTATTTTGCTAAGCGTATACTTAAAGTATTTAATTTTCTATGGAGCAGTTGTAAATGGTATTGTTAAAAATTTCAGTTTCTGCGTGTTTATTGTTAATATATAGAAAAGTAAATGATGGCTGGGCACAGTGGCTTATACCTTTAATCCCAGCACTTTGGGAGGCCAACGTGAGAGGATCACTTGAGTTCAGGAGTTCAAGACCAGCCTGGGCAACATAGCGAGACTCCATCACTACAAGAAATTAAAAAAAAAAAAAAAAGGCCAGGTATGGTGGTGTGCACCTGTAATCCTAGGTACTTGGCAGGTGGAGGGCAGGAGGATCCGTTGAGCCCAGGAGTTCAAGGTTACAGTGAGGTATGATTGCACCATTGCACTCCAGCCTGGGCAACAGAGTGAGACCCTGTGTCTCTAGAAAGAAAAGAGAAGTGATTGATATTTGAGTGTTGATCTTGAATTCTTCCTGAACTCATTATTTCTAGAATTTTTTTTTGTAGATCCTCAGTAACATTTTAAGATTTGTTTTGAAGTGTTTTATCTTTTTTCTATTGTGATGTATTCTTATTTCATAATGACCAAATATTGTGGGGTTTTAGGATGAAGGCTGTTGAAATCCATATATCAATTTTATGCCCCATCACATTGATGATTTTTCTTATTTATAATTTTTTCTTTAGTTGATTCTCCTGGATTTTATAGATAAAAGAGTCATATAATCTGCAAATAGTTACAGTTTACCTTTTTTTCCCCCAATTTTTATACTCATTTTTTTCCCTCATTTAATTATCTAAGACTTCCAAGATAGAGTTAAATAATGCTGGTAATACCATTTTCTGGCTTTAGACTCTTAGACTTGTTTGCTTTTTTTTTTTTTCTTCAAGGCATTGCATGCTAGTAGGAGTTCATTTTATTTCAGTAGGTAGAATGCAAATAGAGTAAAACATATAGTAAATTTCAGTTCTCTAGTGTGTTCTAGTATTGGGGTGTTCTGTTTTGTTAAATTTATGGGAACCTGAAGGTTGACATAAATACTTTTACTTCAACAGTTCTACTGTTGAAAGTCAATATTATAGGCCTTCCTGCTTTCTGTAGAGTGGCCAATATTTGATTTCTTTGTAGATTTTGCAGCACTTTATTTTCTTCATTCTTATTTTATCATACTTGTCAATTTAGAAAACAGTATTGATAGGAATGTATATTGATCTCAGGACTTTACTGGAGAGTTGATTTTCTTCTTTTTATTTTAAGGAGGATCCTTAAAAATTATTGGGGAACTCTTATTTGTTGTCATTTGATTTCTTCTTCTGAGATGAGGATTACAAAACAATTCTAACTAATGGAGCTTTTCAGTTTTTCTTTTTTATTACGAGATGGGGTCTTTGCTTTGTTACTCAGGCTGGAGTGTAGTAATGCCATCAGAGCTCAGTGCAACCTCGAACTCCTGGGCTTAAGTGATCCTCCCACTTCAGCCTCTTGAGTAGCTAGTACTACAGCCATGAGCCACGTGCCACCACACCCGGCTAATTAAAAAAATTTTTTTTTTTGTAGAGGTGGGTCTCACTTTGTTGCCCAAGCTGGTTTCGAACTGCTGGGCTCAAGTGATCCTCCTGCCACAGCTATCCAAAGTGCTGGGATTACAGGTGTGAGCCACTGTGCCCGCCTGAGCGTGCGTTTATAGTCTCATAAATGAGCAACATTCCTCCATATATAGCTCCTGCTGATGAAAAGTTTGGTGTGCTGATATTTTTCTTTTCTTTTCTTTCTTTCTTTTTTTTTTTTGAGATGGAGTTGCCAGGCTGGAGTGCAGTGGCATGATCTCGGCTCACTGCAGCCTCTGCCTCCCGGGTTCGAGCAATTCTCCTGCCTCAGCCTCCTAAGTAGCTGGGATTACAGGCATGCGCCACCACACCCAGCTAATTTTTTGTATTTTTAGTAGAGACTAATTTTTTGTATTTTTAGTAGAGGGTTTCACCATGTTGGCCAGGATGGTCTAGATCTTCTGACCTTGTGATCTGCCCGTCTCGGCCCCCCAAAGTGCTGGGATTACAGGCGTGAGCCACTGCTCCTGGCCTCTTTTTTTTTTTTTTTTTTTTTAAGATAATGTCTCACTCTGTTGCCCAGGCTGGAGTGCAGTGGCGTGATCTTGGCTCACTGCAAACTCCCCCTCCCAGGCTCAAGTAATCCTCTCACCTTGGCCTCCCTAAGTGCTGGGATTACAGGCATGAGCCACTGTGCCTAGCCTAGTGTGGTGATATTTCAAGAACACTTTACAAAGCTTTATTCTACTTGCTACAGCTTCAGCATCAAGATCCTGACTCTGTAGTTTTCTTGTGATATAAACCAACTACATTTAGGGTTCATTTTCTTATCTTTTACTCACCCCAGTCTTAATTTTGTTGCACAGTGGAAAGCACATGAACTTCATGAGGTTCAGAAACTGGGTATAACACAGCTGCTTCTCTTTGAATCCTAATGACCTTGAATAAGTTATCCAAACTCTAATCCTCAAAATGGAGGATAATAATACCTCAGAAGGCTATATTTAAAGATGCTGTGAAGTACCACATGTAAATTATCTGGTACAGAATTTACCTTTGTTGATTCTCAGTAAATGTTTGCTGCCTCTCCCCTGAAACAAAATGAAATGGTGTGTGTGAATAGCTTTGTGAGCTTTAAATAATATAATTAAATAGAAGCCATTATTCTGTTTCCTCTTTCAGAAATGGGCATTAATAACATAATTTATAATCTCAATAGTATCATGTGCTTGGCCCAGGTACATGCCCAGGTTTGGTATTCTTTAGATTTTTGTTTCTTCTTGCCCTACATACTTCGAAAGCCCTTGGAGAAATCCTACAGCAAATTCACATGATTTATGAAACCAACAGTTGACTAATTCTTACTCTGTTTCTTTGACTAATTCTTAGTCTATGTATCCACATATATGAAACTAAATCCACCTGTTACCTTCTTTTTATGGTATCTGGGTTCTCCTACTTTGCCCTACTCCTTTCCCCACTAAGAACCTTGAACCTCATGGAATTTATTAGCTAGCATATACCCTGGTCTCTTCCTGTTTTGGTATTTCTGGTTGGATTGACTGTGATAATCCTTATTGGATATTCAACTAATTGTCTAAAATAAGCTTACATATCATGAGTTAAGAGGTATAGTGCCAAGGACTTGAAAAGCTTGAACTCCTAGGACTTACTTGCTGCAGTCCAGTTTAGAGAGAAATTAATGATTTCTGAAAATGTTCTTAGCACTCAAGAGCATTGAGATATTATCAAATATTCATTAAACATTTGTGTGCGTAGCACTTTCTGGGAACCCAGATGGATGTAAAACGTGTATGCTTTGGTCCTGAGTTTCTTCCTTCCAGGGTAGTCTAGTTAGAGTTCAGAATAACTCAAAAAAGTTGAAATGTAAGACATTAAGCCTTTTGAATACAAAATATTATGGATAATATGTGCTTATAAATTTGAAGACTTTGTCCTGTTTATTTTTTATAAAGTATGGTGAATTTTGTTTTCCTTTACCTGTGAACTAGAAATAAAAATACCCTGTGGGGTCATTGTGATGTTTAAATGAGATTGGATATGTAAAGCCCAGTTATAATATATAAACTTACATATATTCTTTCTAATACATACAATTAGTATTTAGAATTCTAATTTCTAATTGTATACTATTTTTTAAATTAAACAAGTAATATGATACATGGTTAAAAAAAATGCAGGCAGAACAAAGTAAGTATTCTTCTCACTTCAGACCCGAGGTTCTTCCATATGTTCTTCTGTACCAAGAGTATGGTTTTAAATATTTTTCATTAATTATTCTAGAACATATGCACTTACATATACTTACATATTTTTATAACATATAAGTGGGAACATATTATTCATGTTGTCTTGTATCCTGTGTTTTTCATTTAAAAAGAGATTTTTGGCTATATTCCCTGTCAACAAATATAGCTTTTAAGTACATTATTCTTTTATTATTGATTGCTGAGTATTCTGTCGTTTGGATATGTGATAATATAACTGATATTTTCCCCAGCACTCCTTTAATGCATTTTTTCAAAACTTTCATCTTCTTAGGATCAACTCACTATCCTGAAGGTCCATTCTCCCAAGAAGAGGGGACAGAAAGACAGATCTATTTGTAAGAAAGGCTTGGGTATCCCATGAACGAGCCAACAGAAAACCGATTGGGGTGCAGCAGGACTCCAGAGCCAGATATAAGGCTCAGAAAAGGGCACCAACTGGATGGTACACGAAGAGGTGATAATGACAGCCACCAAGGAGATTTGGAGCCCATTTTAGAGGCATCTGTTCTATCTTCCCATCATAAAAAAGTAAGTCAAATTGGAAGAATGATAAACAAAGGAAAAAATGTGGAGGAAGTGGCAGAGGGAGGATATGGGGAAAAAAAAGTGGGGGTCCATTGCTGGAGGGAGGATGGGGTGGTAAGAAGGAAACTTGCACATTTGTATTTTTTTCTTCTGGATAACTTGAAGTCTCTTATCTTTATTATTATTATTACTACTACTACTACTACTACTACTACTACTACTACTACTACTACTACTATTGAGACGGAGTCTCGCTCTGTCACCCAGGCGGAGTGCAGTAGCATGATCTCGGCTCGCTGCAACCTCCGCCTCCTGGGTTCAAGCGATTCTCCTGCCTCGACTACAGGTACATGCCACCATGCCAGGCTAATTTTTGTAGCTTTAGCAGAGATGAGGTTTTGCCATGTTGGCCAGGCTGGTCTCGAACTCCTTACCTCAGGTATCCTCCCACCTCGGCCTCCCAAAGTGCTGGGATTACAGGCATGAGTCATCGTGCCCAGCTTCTTATTCTTAAATTAGCTTAGATATTATTTGATTTTGATTTTATGGTTAATGTCTTTCTGCTGACTCTTTTTTTTTTAATTTCGGAGACGGAGTCTTGTTCTGTCGCCAGGCTGGAGTGCAGTGGTGCGATCTCAGCTCACTGCAACCTCTACCTTCCAGGTTCAAGTGATTATCCTGCCTCAGCCTCCCGAGTAGCTGGGATTACAGGCACCTGCCACCACGCCTGGCTACTTTTTGTATTTTTAGTAGAGATGGAGTTTCACCATGTTGGCCAGGATGGTCTCCATCTCAACCTCCTTATCCACCTGCCTCAACCTCCCAGAGTGCTGGGATTATAGACGTGAACGACTGCGCCCGGCCTCTGCTGACTCTTAAAAGCGTACTTAACCTGCTTTATCTTGTTGAAGGGAGAAGACGTGGTCTATGGGTACCATATAATCTAATTTAACCATACTTTAGCTATGACGTTATCTGTTATTTTTGGAGAAATTCGAATTGCGTGTTAGAGCTACTTTTCCAGAAATTGTTTACCTCCAGTGTATACCTTGGGAGTCAGTAGAGTTCTGAAAGCTGAAGCAGATTTTATTCTTTCATTTCCTAGAGAAAAGAGCAACCTTTAGGCAACTATACCTATAGAGCAGAAGTATCAGAAAGTCATTGTTACAGACATTTTGCTATGTGCTTTGGAACTTCCAAATTATATAGCATGTGTTTAATGTTTTATTACTAGTACAGTGTTTCTCAAACTTTGGGTTGTACCTATTAGTGGGTTTTGAAATTAATTGTATTATAAAGTGTTAAAAATTAAAGATCAAAATAGAATAAAAACATTGAAGTGTGTATATAGTAAGTAATACACATTTAAATTGTTTTAGTTTTATATAGTTATGTATATAAATATGAATAATAATATGAAATACATTTCTTACTACGGGTTGTGGTTAACATTTTGAAAGCTTCTACTGGGAACAGCAGCTGGGGGAAGAGTGTTTCAAGGTAGAGGAAACAAGCTAGTGCCAAGGTCCAAAGGTGGGAATATGCTTATCTTCCTTGCCTTCCCCTCCTGCCTCCCACCACCACCTGCGCCTGCTTGTATCATCTTTCTCTTCTTTCATCTTCTCCTTTATTTTATTATTATAATTATATTTTTTTTGAGATAGAGTCTCGCTCTGTTGCCCAGGCTGGAGTGCAGTGGCACCATCTCGGCTCACTGCAACCTCCGCCTCCCAGGTTCAAGTGATTCTCCTGTCTCAGCCTTCCGAGTAGCTGGGACTACAGGCCTGCGCAACCACATCCGGCTAATTTTTGTATTTTTAGTAGAGACGGGGTTTCACCATGTTGGCCAGGCTGGTCTTAAACTCCTGACTTCAAGTGATCCGCCACCTTGGCCCCGCAAATTGCTGAGATTACAAGCGTGAGCCACTGTGCCTGGCCTTCTTTTTTTTTTTTTTTTTTTAAAGGACCAAAAGAAGGCCAGTGTAGTTAGAGCATGAGGAACTAGAGGGAAGAGTGAAATGAGATAAGGTCAGTGGGCCAGTCAGAGAACAGATTATACAGGTTTATTCAGGGAATTTAAATTTTATTTTAATAAAATTGCCTGGCACGTGGGCAGCTTTTGGGGTGTTTAAACATGGAGACATTTGTGTTTTTAAAAGTATGACTCTGGTTGTGGAATGGATTATTTGAAGACAGAATGGAAGAGGGACCCAGGTGTTAGAATATAGATGAGAGATGATGTCACTTGAAACAGCATGGTGGGAGCAGCAGAAATGGAGGGAAATGGTTGGATTCTGGATATATTTTGTGGGTCAAATCAACAAGACTTCCTGATGGATTAGCTGTAGAGTGAGGAAAATAGAGGAATCAAGGCTGATTCTCTGAGCTGAACTGAAATGGTAAAGCAAGAGGGAAGAGCGGGTTTAAGGTAGGGAAATCAAGAGTGGTGTTTTGGAAATGTGAGATTCAAGATTCTTGTTAGATATCTTAGAAGATATATTGAGGAGTCAGTAACTGTGTCACGATTAGATTTTTATTTACCTCTGTTTCTTAACTATTTTTAAAACTGAACTGTTATTAAGGAATCTAAGGAATTTTCAAGCTTGAAAGAATTTCAGGCTAGCCAATTTGAGATTCATAATGGCAATAAAATTCTGTTTATCATGCTACATTATTTTTAATTACGTACAAAGATCTAACATGTCACCCAGGGACCATTTCACCCACTGCTCTGTTTGGTCGCCAGTCTTTTGTCTTTCTTTTCAGCAATGGTGAGGCAGATACCCTTTTCCTCAGGGAAGAGAAGTCTGTGGTTTGTTGCCCTTGCCAATAACAAAAATGTTGGAAAGTTGAGTGGCAAAGCTGTTTCCATTGGCATCTTTCATGTGAACCACATCAAAAGATCCAGAGTGCCTCTCTCTGTTGGTTATCACACCAGTTCTTCCCAGGTTAGCACCTACAGTCACCATGCATAGGTTACCATTGTCAAACTTGATGAAATTGGTAATCTTGCCAATCTCCAAATCTGTCTGAATGGTATCATTCACCTTGATGAGGGAATCAGGGTAGCGGATGGTGCCGGGCATCATGAGTCACCAGATGAGGGATTCCTTTTGTGCCCCCAGAGATTTTTCTCACTTTGTATTTGGCCTCCTCAGGTGTAATAGGATGTACAGCAAAGCGACCCTTGGTGTCATAGATGAGACGGAAATTCTCCCCCGTCTTGTCAATGCTGATGACATCCATGAATCCAGCAGGGTAGGTTATATGAGTTCGGACCTTGCCATCGATCTTAATGAACCTCTGCATGTAATCTTCTTTACTTCATCTCCTGTCAGGGCTTACTTAAGTCTGTTCCTTAGGAATATGATGGGGAGACACTCTCTCAACTTGTGGGGACTAGTGGATGGACGAGGAGCAAACACACCGGTCAATTTATCCAGCATCCAATGCTTTGGAGCTGCTGCCCACTTCAGATGCTTCTTGGGACCACGCGCCATGGCTGCGTTAGGCAGGGAAAGCAAAATATATTTTTAGAGTCCAGAACTTGCCCACCCAATCACTTTTGTGTCAGATTTACATTAATTGATTTTTTTATGTGTTGTAATACTATATATTTTTGTTTCCTGTCTTCACTGGTTGAAGTGGTATCTTCTGTAAATAATATTTGTGTTTTAATTTCACTAATAAATAATTAGGTGGATGGGATTTTTCCCATCCTTATGAATGAACTCATTTATTGCCCTGAAAGCCTCTCTTTGATTTTCCTTTTATCTTGAGCTAATGCAAAAGTTAGCAGTATGAACAAAAGAACCATTTTTTCTTTCATTTGTTTTAATAGATTTTTCTATGAGGAGCCAAGGAAAGAAAGGATCCATAGGTTGTGGAATGTTAGAGCTGAAAAGGCCTTCCAAAATCATCTTGTTTGCCTTCCTCAATTTACCAGTGAGGAAATTGTGTTTTTATTCCTAATGAAAATTTGCGTGTGTATGTTGTTTCTCTTTGGAGTTGAAGTTGTTTGCTGAAAAAGAGAATCTATATGCAGTACTGTCCCTTGCTGCCAATTTCACGGTTAATGTATACTACACATGGGAGCTAGAAAAGAAGGGGGATAGATAAGAGTTATAGAGAACTGCAGTTTTGAGACTGAAATTAAAGGCAAAATATTGATATCTTCACATGATTTGAGGAGTTCCATATGCTGATTTTTTTTGTTGTTTGGAGAAAGGACTCATTTCTTAAAATTTTCAGTTTTGAAGTTGAAACATCTGAACTGTAGACTGCAACCTTCTGGATAATTCTAGTAATATCTTAATTGTGTCACTTTCACAGACATTATCTCATTTGCTTCTCAAAACTATACTCTGAAATAGAGCAGATATGATTTCTTTTTGAAAGTAGACGAAAATAGGATTTAGAAAGGTTAGTTTAGGAATTTGCCCAAGGTAACATGACAAGATGAGAGCATGTGCTAAGTCTTCTGACTGCTCTTTCTGCCGAACAAAGCTGCCTTTATGAGAATTGGCACCAGATTGACTTAATGTTTCTGAATTCCAAACTCAGTCCCTGAGTTGTTTATATTGACCTAGAGGTTAGATTCAACAGTTGGTCTTGTTTTTTGGCAGAAGTTGTTGCAGACCTCGTTTTCTGTTAGGCCAGGGTAATTTTGCTTCTCAGATGTGTTCTAACTTTGTAATGGGTTTTCTGTTTATTTTGAAAGCAAATAGAACGAATATATCATAGTACAGTCATTCACATTTCTAACAATTTTGCATCATTTTCTTTGTTTTTTTCCCTCTTTTAGAAGATGCAGATCTTAACTAAATTGCTTAGGCTTCATTTAAAACATTATGGGAGCCCTTAGGCTCTCTTAAGTTGTGGAGATTGGCATTCACATGCCAATCATGAATAAGGATCAAAGTAAAATAGGAAAAGCAGCAGGGGTGTCTCGTTTTTTATTAAGTGGAATTCTGAATTTATAAAGTAAGATTTAAGGTAATTATGTGCATTACAGACTGTGGTATCTTTTTGTACAAGTCTTTATTTACCGCCAGGTTTCTTTAAATCAATAAACCTATTAGGAGTGCCCACCTGATCACATATTGCCCTTTATAGAAAACTACAAATGCCAGGATTTTATTCCAGGCCTGCTGAATCAGAATCTTTGGGTCCTGGGTATATTTTTTTTGTTTCACAAGTAAGATGCTCACTACTGTTTAAAAACCTCCTTCCTGGCCAGGCGCAGTGGCTCACACCTGTAATGTCAGCACTTTGGGAGGCCGAGGCAGACAGATCATGAGGTCAGGAGTTTGAGACCAGCGTGTCCATCATGCTGAAACCCCGTCTCTACGAAAAATACAAAAATTAGCTGGGTGTGGTGGCAGGCACCTATAATCCCGGCTACTTTGGGAGGCTGAGGTAGGAGAATCGCTTGAACCCAGGAGGTGGAGGTTGCAGTGAACCGAGATTGCACCGCTGCACTCCAGCCTGGGTGACAGAGTAAGACTCTGTCTCGGGGAAAACAAAACAAACAAAACAAAACAAAAAAAACAACCTCCTTCCCGTAGGAGATAGTTAAGGAAAACAAATAAACAAAACCCAAACCAGTGCCTAATTTTTTTTGATATTTATTTATTTTAAATAAGTATTTTATTTAAAATAGTTAATGTATTAAAAACTTCTTAGCAACATGCTTTGCAAAGAAATCTTAACACATTCTCTGAAGATTGTTAGGGAAATAAAGTTAGATTTATTTACTGTTTGTTAAAGGAAAATATCACATTTACTCACAGTTGACTCTTAAAACATTTTTTTTTGAGATAAATTTTACATACCATAAAATTAACCCATTTAAAGTGTACAATTTAATGGTTTTATTAGTCACAGGGTTGTACAACCATCACTTCATTCTAACTTTAGGACATTTTTATCATCCCCTAAAGAAACCTTAACCCATTTGCCATCACTTCCCATCTCTACCCCCAACCCTAGGCAACCTCTAGTCTACTTTCTGTCTCTATGGCTTTGTCTAATCTGGACTTTTAAATAAATGGAAGTGTAAGGCATGTGGTGTTTTGTATCTAGCTTCTTTTACTTAGCATAATGTTTTTAAGTTTCATCAATATTGTAGTATGTACCAGTACTTCATTCCTCTTTATGACTGAATAATATTCCATTGTATGGATATACAGGGGTTCTTTCTTATTTGTGGTTTCACATTCTGTGGTTTCAGTTACCCATGGGTCAACTGAGATCTGAAAATATTAAATGGAAAATTCCAGAAATAATTTCTAAGTTTTAAACTTTGTGCTGATCTGAGTGGTGTGATGAAATCTCTCACCTTCCTTGCCCTGTCCTGCCTTACCCAGGAAATGAATCATCCCTTTGTCCAGCATATCCATGCTGCAGATGGCTGGCTACTTAGTTACTTAGTAGCCTTCTGGTTATAAGGTCACAGATCACAAGAAGCGTGAGTGCAATACACTAAGATATTTTGAGTGAGAGAGAGAGCATATTCACATAACTTTTTTTTACAGTATATTGTTATAATTGTTCTATTTTATTATTGGTTGTTAATCTCTTACTGTACCTAATTTATAAATTAAACTATGTTATAGGTATGTATATATAGGAAAAAACACAGCATATATAGGGTCCAGCAGTATCCATGATTTCAGGCATCCACTAGGGGTCTTAGAACATATTTCCTGTGGATGGGGGGAAACTACTGTACTATAGTTTATCCAATAATGAGTTGATGGACACTGGATTGTTTCCACTTTTCGACTGTTGCAAATAATGTTGCTATTATCATTCATGTAGAAGCTTTTGTATGGATGTGTTTTCATTTCTGTTGGGTATATACTCAGGAGGGATTTTTCTGGGTTATATGTTAACTCTGTGTTTAACATTTTGAGAAACTACCAGACTGTTTTTCATAGCAGCTGCACCAGTTTATATTCCCACCAACAATGTGTGGGGGTTCCACTTTCTCCACACCCACACTAACTATTGTTACTATATTTTGAATATAACTATCCTAGTGGGTGTGAAACGATATTTCATCATAGTCAGTTAGCTCTTGAGCTTTTATGAAGAGACCTGCCTAGGTTAACTTTAGCTCAGGATTTTAAGTATTAACCTCTTTGAGGAATTTGGAAATAGAAGCTAAATTCAAACTTACTATAAAACTCAAGTTGTGTCAATTTCACTTCAAATGGTCTCCTCATCATCTGTTCTGCCATTACTTTAATCTAAGCCACCACCATCTTCCATCTGGAATACACCTGACAGGACTTCTGTTTTGTTTCTTGTGCTGTCCAATATATTCTTCGCACAGTTCCTAGAGAGAGCTCTTAAAAATATAAAGTTTATTATGCCATTCCCATTTAAGAAATTCATTTGTTTCCCATTGCACTTATGGTACAATCCCAAATTCTTTCTATAACCTTCGGGATCCTGCGTGATCTCACTGCTGCCCTATCTGGCCAACTTCATTTCAGGACATTCTTCTCCATGTTCATTGAGCTGCAGCCGCATTGGCCTTATTTCAGTTTCTTAAACAGGCTGGGCTCTTTCCAGCTTCAGAGCCTTCAAACATGGCTCTTTCCTCTGCCTGGAGTGTTGTTACACCCACACCTCTGGCTAACTGCTGCTCATCCTTCAGTATTCAGGTTAAGTTCTCTACTTCCACTTCATTCTATTTCAAGTTTCCCATTGTTATCTTTAATTACCTTTTATTTTCCATTACAATGCGTATCATGACATATATTTGTGTGACATATATTTATGTTTATAAACATATATATAAAACATATTTTATAAAAATTTATAATTGTTTAATAATTGTTTTTGCTTGTAGACTCTTCAGTTCCATGGTGTAAGAATCTTGCCTTTTTGTTTTCCTCTGATATCCTCAGAGTCTAACCTGGTCTTTGAGTGGCATATAACAAATAGTTGTTGAATGAATTTATCAGCAACAAATATAAAGTTCTGTGTCTAAGTGGTTTCAAGTAGTTTCTTTAAAGAGATGTACAAAAGGAGCACGTGGGGACGTATACTATTTAGATGCTTAGGGAAGCTTAACTAATCTACTTCTTTAATCTTAGAATAAATGCATTCTTATCAGGAGAATAATGATAGTTCACTTTTATTGATCTTTTACAATGGATGAAGTAATTTTTTGAGCTCATTTGAATATGTTATTCGTTCCTAAAGTAGCCTTTTAGAATAGATATTATTAGAATCTGTTTTACAGATGAGGAAACTGAGGTTTCATGTGAATGTATGTGTATTGTACACTGGGACTCTTGTCATGGGGATGATATACTTTTTCTCTTCAAAGGGGCAGGGTTTTCTTTTCATTGGTTTATTGTAAAAAGTGCGATATGGCAATTTCAATGGTTATTTGCCTTTAATACATTTTAAAATACATTATTTCCATAGATGATAAGAATTGTGGAAAAAGAGACCCTGTGATAGGTGATAGTGATCCATTGTAGTTGTGGAATTGGCTCTCAAGTAACATTAAATAAAATACCTGTGTGTACAGTTAGATTACGTTTACCTGTGCATAGGAATCCCTTCCTTATTTGAGGTGTTGGAGAGGTTAGTCTCTTTGGTTCCTTATGAAGCAGGATGGATTTTTAGAAAGAGTATTAGAAACTAAATACTTTAAAATTGAAATCTCTGCAGTAGGAATCTGTATTTTTCACAAGTTCCCCTATGTGATTGTGAGGCACACTTAATGATGGAGAGCCAGTGATCACAGTTTTCTTTTCATAATGCATATACGGAAGTTCCAGACCGGTAGGAATTACATCAGGGTAAAGCTGGGCCTAGAGGAGGTGGGTGTTTCTTCTTTTGTAAATGCAGTATGTAATAGTATGCCTCTTGTCTCACAGGGTTGTAATGATAATAACTTAGTGCATGTAAAGCAGTGGTAACACTGCCTGGTACAGAGAAAGCACTTAATAAATGTTAGATGTAGCATATCATTGGAGGTGTATATTTGTGTCAAAAAGAAAAGACTTCCTCTGTTATATCAAAAGGACAAAGTTAATCTTTCTTTATTTCTTTTTGTTTTTATTAGATTTGTATTTATCTTATAAAAAATAGATTGGTGGTTATCTGTCTCCACTCACTTGAACATGTTTATTCTCTGCATCCAAAATAGTCCAGGAATGGCTGGACCTGGTGGCTCATGCCTGTAATCCTAACAACTTTGAGAGGCTGAGGCGGGCAGATCGCTTGAGCCCGGGAGTTTGAGACCAGCCTGGACAACATAGCGAAACCTTATCTCTGCAAAGAATACAAAAATTATCCGGGCCTGGTGGCATGTACCTGTAGTCCCAGCTACTTGGGAGGCTGAGATGGGAGAATCACTTGAGCCCAGGAATTCGAGGCTGCAGTGAGCCATGATTGTGCCACTGCACTCCAGCCTTGGCAACAGAGTAAGACCCTGGCTCAAAACAAAAAATTACACATATAATGTATATTCCAAGAATATTGTATTTGTGCAATATTTAAGTAAAGAAATGAATGATTAAACCTGAGTTTTAGTCCTGGCTGTACTGCCAGCCAGATGTGTGACTTTGGCCAATTTTCTTGATTTCTTTGGGTTTCATTTTCCTTACATTAAAATGGAGATGTTTAACTGGGTGATAAACATCTAAGATTTTCTTATCCTCAAAATTTCTGTGGTCCCCGACACTATATTAATACTTTTTTGTAATGGGATAAAAAATGAGTGAGGGTCATAGTTTACTTTTTTCATAAATCAATCCAGTTAGGTATCTTTGCTTAAGCAGCCCTGTTTAATGCCTTCTTTGATCACTTTTATCGTGCCTGGTTTTATTTAGTGAAGCCATTTCTGTGGACTAGTAAATAATTTTGAAGGAAATAGTTTGGTAAAAGGAAAAAAGCAGGGTTTTGTACTCAGAGTGACCTAAATTTGTATCCCTGATCTCTTCTGTATCATTATTTTTCAAACTTCTGTGTAAGAGGACCCTTCAAAGAAAAACAACAAAAACCTTATTAAAGTATTAAACACACACACACACACACACACACACACACACGTAGATATATTGTAAGTGGATAGTCTGATAAACTTTTATAAACTAGACACTCCTGTATAACCAGCACTCCTGGAGGTCTCTTTATTACCTCCTCATAGTAACTGCCTATTCCCACTCCCCCAAAGGTAACCATTACCCTGACTTCTAATGGCATGGATTAATTTTGCTTGTTTTTATACTTTATCTCATTGTAATCATTCCATATGTACTCTTGTATCTGGCTTCTTTTGCTCAGTATGATGTTTGTGAAATTCATCTGTATTTTCTGGGTATAGCTGTAGATTATTCATTTTTATTGGTCTGTGTTATTTCTTTATATTACTGTACCAATTTTTATTTTATTTATATGAAGGCAATCTGGGTTGTATCTAACTTGGGGCTATTATAAATAGTGTTGCTATGAACATTCCAGTACTTGTTTTTTAGTGAACAAATGTATGCACTTCCATTAGCTACATACCTGTGAGTGGAATTACTGCGTTAGGAAGATGATCCCATTCTCCCTTTAAACATCAAAAATATTTAACAGACCTCACTACATGATACTCACATTTTAAATATTAGTTTGAAAAAAATACATGATAGAAATTGGCTATGAATTCAGTTCATCTTAAGTGAATTTGTATTTTGTGATTCACGCAGCACCTACATGATTTTAAATTAGTTACACCTACTTTATGAATATGAGACATTTATTCAGTCTACAGATTACATTTAATGTGCATATACACTTGCATAATTTTTGAAGTAATTAGCCAAGATAGTGGTGTTAGGTTGGGAATTAAGGTACTACTTAAAGCTGTGTACTTTCTCTTAGCTTCTGTTTCTTCATTTACCATGTTTGATCTAGATTTCCACTTAATAAAATGGGAATAGAAATATACTCATTTCAGAAAATTGTTATGAGGGTTTGATTAATTTGTAAAAAGCACTTAGTACAATGTCTGGCATGTAGTGTATAATAAATAATAATTGTTACTCTGTCCTTCCTTTATAATAGTACTTGACTACTCCATAACTGTAGTAAGTCCTGATAAACACATCTTGAAGTTATCCACATATCTCAGCCACCCTTGATTTCAACAGCCTTTTCATAAAGGTGATTTCTAAATCTATCATCTTAGTGCAGTCTTCTTTTTTTTCCCCCTTTTTTCTTCTATAGCCTTCAAATGAGAAGTGCTTTCTTCTTTATTGGACTTGTAACCATTTCAAATTGAACTAATGTTAAACTAAGGTTAACTGTCCACTCCCCCATCAGCTTTTCCTTCTATTCTAATTTTCTAATCCTAATTTCTCTTAAATAGTACCAACTTTCTTTCAGGTACTCAGACTTGGTTCCTAGACTGTCAAGAGTGGAAGGGATCCCATCAGTCATTTAGTTTAGTAGACACATGGATGCTTTTAATCCTTCTACAAATGTTTTTAGTTTCTTTACCATGTGTTGGCACTTTGGACTTGAGAAGACATAGTTTTTGCCCTTAAGCAGCATGTAGTTTAGTTGGAGAGACAGGTAAATCAGTACATTTGTGGTGAGTGCTGTGTGGTTTTATGCACAGATTACTATGGTAGTAACTCCAGTTGCAAATGGATTTAGCTAAGAAAGGACTAAAGGACATTTTAGACAAAGGGAACAGCAGATGTGAAGATTCAGAAGCAGATGTAATACGATGCCTGTAGGGAATAGTAATAATAATAGCTAATGTTTATTGAGTACACACTGGCACATACTGATGTCTGAACCTGAAAAATTTCTAGCATAGCTGGAATGAAAGGTCAAGGTGTATAGTGGGGTGGAGGATGTGGTAGTAAGTAAGACAAGACACCTGGGGCCTGAAATCTAGGTCTTTAGCCTCCTGGTCCAGTATTATGCCATCATTCAAATTTCTTTTTGCAATTTATATCAGTTTCAAATTTTGTGTAATGTTGTGTACTGGTTGAAATGATTAGACCATTGCCCCTAGGCCTCTGACCCTAAAGCCTGGACTCTTTTAACTATATTTGCTAAAGTATATAGTTAGGAGGCATTCTGTAAGCTTTTGGACAAAAATATAAGAGAGGCATTTCAAACCAGGTTGTCCTGATCTTTATTTTTATGGCTCCCCTCTGCCTCCCTGCTCCCTTTCTGAGCTTTCAAGATATTAGGTTGAATAAAGAGATCAGCCTTTATGGTTGTCCTACTTTTCTTCTGCTCCAGATTCTTCTTTATAAATTGGGAGATAAGGAACTTTTATTCATTCAACCTTCATATTCTGTTAAACTGGTTTACTTTAACCAAAATCAAGAATGCCACTATATAATAGTTTATTGTAAGAAAACTAACTTGTAAATAGACTCTTGTCAATCACTTCATTTTATTTTCATGGAGAAGCCTGCTTAAGAAATTCAATTAAGATTAGAGGCCGGGTGTGGTGGCTCACGCCCGTAATCCCAGCACTTCGGGAAGCTGAGGCGGGTGGATCACCTGAGGTCAGGAGTTCGAGACCAGCCTGGCCAACATGGTGAAACCCCGTCTCTACTAAAAATATAAATAATTAGCCGGGCGTGGTGGCAGGCGCCTATAATCCCAGCTACTCGGGAGGCTGAGGCAGGAGAATCGCTTGAACCCAGGAGGCAGAGGTTGCAGTGAGCCAAGATTGCGCCATCACACTCCAGCCTGGAGGACAAGAGCAAGACTTCGTCAAAAAAAAAAAAAAAAAAAAAAAAAGATAGAATTGCTATTTGAGAATTTTTAAAAAACTGAGTGATTTTAAAGATCTTTTCCATTAAGCTTTGATGGAAGTCAGAGTATATATATTTCTAGGCAGGCCAAAATGAATATTCATATAGACTAGATATTATAGTTATTCTTTTGGAGAATACTGGGTATACATCCATCAATACTTATTCTTCAGCTATCATTTTTTTTTGTAGATACCTTTGTTTCCACAAACCTCTTTGTTTTCATTTGTTAGTAATATCAGCTTGCTAATGCCCTTGCTACACATTTCCAATTTCTAAAGTTAAGGCTGGCTTCAACCTGTCAACTTGTAAAAAGACCATAAAAATCACCTGTTGATCAAACTAAGCCAGGTTTATTACATACTCCAGTAAGGGTGAACACTGCCCTAAAGAGTCCTAGAAGTATTTCAGAAAGAAAGTATTGGATATGGATATTTACAGGGTTTTGGGGTCTGGTTTCAAGTAGTTTAAGGAGATTTTACTTGGCCCTGTTCTGAGTTTGTGATAGAATTCTTAGACCAAGTCTTGATAAACAAATATTTGTTTGGTAAGTGAGCATGTTTGCCCAGTTGAGCAATGATTAAGGATCTAATTGAGCAGTCTGTTGTTCAGTTAAATGAATTTTTGAGAAATTCCTAAAGCTAATGATGAAGTTATTTACTGGTTTGCATTCTTACCTTCCTGGGCAAGAATTTCCGAGAACAAATAATAAAGTTCTGTTGATATAGGGGCCTTAGATCTTAGTCCTTATAATTAAGCTGTGTGAATGCAGAAGGTCTCAGTTCTCAATGACATTTATAAAGGCAGACAGATTTTAATCAAAGGTTTACTGTCTCCAGCCCTGGATATTGTACCATTTCTTGACCTTTTTCATCTAATTGTGGATGGTAGATAGTATCATGATTGTGAGTCTTTGTGGCACTTCTTGTACTTCCACTAACATTTAAATACCTCATTTATGTTTTGCTACTTTCCTAAATGCCCCCGAAGCTCTAGATGAACTAGTCTCTTTTTCTCAACATGGCACTTTTGCTTTTCCCTCTTGGTTATTTTCCTTTATCTCATCTTTGCAAAATTTTTATTCTTCATGCAGGCTTTCCTGAGCCTCATCATGTTTATCTTTGAACTAGCTATACCTTTTTTTCTATGAAGTCATTTATTTGGCTAATTTAGCACTTTATTAGATTGTAAGTCCATGGAAGACAGAGACTATGTTTTATTCATCTTATTTTTAATCATCTAATAAATATTTGTTAAACTGAATTACTCTGTTGAATTGAGTTAGGCCAAAACCAATAAATACCCAATAGGTTTGTGAATTATTTTCATATTAGACTGATCTTAAAGACCTTTTATCTTTATCACTATGGTTCTCTGTCTTTCCAAAGGTAAAGTGTACTCTGGAAAATTCTCATTTTAGATTGCAGTTTGGACAGATCATCAAAGTCAAATGTTACTATGTTTTGAAATACAGTCAGCAAAGTTCTCACAGATGGACTTTACTGAAAACAGATGGCGGGAGGGGGGAGATATTTCAAAATGTCTTTGTGCTCATTTCAAAGCATTGACCTCTACAAGTTTAAATATAGTTATTCATAGAAAAACCTGGAGAATTAAGTTTTATGCCTTTATTCTTGGCAGCTTTGGTTTTGTTTAATCTGTCACAATGTCATGTTTCTTGTCATAATTTTGTTGAGGGTGTGGTAAGGAGTATGACAACAGAAGCAGAACATAGCATGTATGTGATCATTGAATATAGATACAATTTATTGTTCAGAGAGGTATCTTTGGGTACTGTGGTTTGGTGGCTGTTGGATGGAAATTAGAAATAGTAATTTCACTCATAATAAAATAGTTATTTGGACTTAATATTGGAAGACAGAGACTATTTTAAATATAGCGTCTAGCATAGTCTTTCCAAGCCATCAGTATGTGACATATGGTATACCCTAGGGAAAGTATTTTTTTATCCTGTTTTAGCCAGTGTTTAACTCTGCCACTGTATTCCTACTTTATCCTCTCTCTAACCCAGGGAACTGCATTTACCACCACCCACACCACGTGGATACCGCATTAGCAACTCCGTTAATACTTGAACACAATAAATAGTTAATTATGGTCTAGTATTTTAATTTATCCTTTGAGAACATATTTGTGAATATTCCTTTATACAAGGGTAGGAATTGGTCATAGTACTTGATAAATCAACAGATTTATTAATACTTTGCCCTTCTGAAGGAAATATTTTTGTTTTTGTTTGTTTCTCTTGTTGCCCAGGCTGGAGTGCAATGGCACGATCTCGGCTCACTGCAACCCCCACCTCCTGGGTTCAAGCGATTCTCCTGTCTCAAGCCTGCTGAGTATCTGGGATTACAGGCGCTCGCCACCTCACCTGGCTGATTCTTGTATTTGTAGTAGAGACAGGGTTTCACCACGTTGGCCAGGCTGGTCTCGACCTCCTGACCTCAGGTGGTGCACCCACGTTGGCCTCCCAAAGTGCTGGGATTACAGATGTGCGACACTGTGCCTGGCCGGAAATAATTCTTTTATAAAGATTCTGAATCTTGCTGATATATTGGGATGGATGGAAATATTTATCTTTACTAAAGTAATTTTTTTTTTTTTTTGAGACAGGGTGTAGCTCTGTTGCCCAGGCTGGAATGCAATGGCAAGATCACAGCTCATTGCAACCTCGACCTCCTGGGGCTCAAGGAGTCCTCCCCCTCAGCCTCTTGAGTAGCTGGGACTGCAGACAGGCACGCAACACCACTCCTGGCTAATTTTTATATTTTTTGTAGAGATGGGGTTTTACCATGTTGCCCAGGCTGGTCTCGAGCTCCTGGGCTCAAGCCATCCTCCTGTCTTGGCCGCTATCAGTAGTCTTATATGTAACCAGTTGCACTTAGCCTGATAATCAGAATTACTGATTGTGAGTAATCTCACTGATTACTTACTGAGTCACATTGATTCGGAGTGCAGTTTCATCATGTTTACTTAATGGTAGTATACATTAGCCATATTGTGTTTTATGTACATATCTGTAGTTTTGAAATGGCTGACAGTAATTTGTATGAGAATAAAGACTCTTTGTTTCTGTTTCTTTGGAGAATCAAATACATGTTGAATATGTGCAAATATCTGAGCTATTTTATATAACATAATTTTATATTTTAAAATCGGTCTGCTATAATCATTTCAAGCTATTGCCCGTTTTCAGGTTTTATATAATTTTAATGGAATTTTGTCATTTTAATTTCGTGTTTAATTAGGCACAGCCCTCATTAACTTATTGTTGAAAGTCTCCTAGAGCATTTATTAATTTAGCCATCATGTAAGTATGTTCCAGAAGCCATGGGGAAGAAGACAGACACTTAAAAATCTAGTTTAGGAAATGATACGCTAAAAATGTAAAATTCTATTAAACGTTAAATAAAACAGTATTAGTCAGTAAAAGAGCTGTAATCAGATATTACTGTCAAATGAGAGGCACAGACTTAAGTGCTAAAGAAGTCAGAAGAAGTAGTCAGAAGAAACAGAAGTCAGAAGAAGCAATTGCTGTGGATTAGATAGGTTATGCAGTCTCTAATGAAAATTGGTTCTTGGTGGGGTAGGGGATGAAAAACTATTAAATACTACTATGGTTTGGAACCCCCCATAGGGCCACAGTACATAGATAGTATATCTGTGTTATTAAAATTCATGGGGATGAGGAAAGCAATCTAAAATGTCCCAGGGCCGGGTGCAGTGGCTCATACCTGTAATCCCAACACACTGGAAGCTGAGGCAGGAGGATTGCTTGAGGCCAGGAGTTCAGGACCAGCCTGAGCAACACAGACCTCGTCTCTACACACACGCATGTGCACACAACAGACACAGTGGTGCATACCTGTAGTGCACGCATGCACACACACGTGCGCACAGTGGTGTACACCTGTAGCCCCAGCTATTCAGGAGGCTTAGGTGGAGGATTGCTTGAGGCCAGGAGGTTGAGGCTGCAGTGAGCCATGATCGCACCACTGTACTCCAGGAGCCTGGGTGACAGAGCAAGACCCTGGGGTCTCAAAGAAAAACGCTGTCTCAAACTAAAAAAAAAAAAAGGTCCCGGGGCTTGTGGGTAGCAGTAATGAAAGGTTGAGGAACACGAGTTTAGGATAGTTAAAGAAGGGTTTTAAATAGGAACTATGAAGGTTAGTCATTGAAGGATAGATGGTAAGTTTTAGGTAAACAAAGATGGAGAGGTTATTTTATTCAAGATGGTTTTCTTGGAGATTATGTGTTTTTATAAAATCAGACTGGGTGTATAACATGTCTCACATGCCGCATCATAGCCTCTAGTTAGTGTCTTATAAACTGAAGAATAGGAAAATTAAAATCTCAGAATTTCCTTTTAAACAAGATCAAATTTAAAGTGTTGTAGTAGATTACCCATTGCCTCTGTGTTCATTCTTACCAAGTAGTTTTTTGATTAGAGGTAGAGGATTTATTCATTTCTTTGTGCAGTCATGTTAGCAGTACTGTTTATCTAAACAGACTCTTGGTTACATACGGAATTATGGTTCTCTTGTGCTGTCTTATTCATTGAGTTAAAGAATTATAGAATTTTTTTAGAGATGTAGAAGACTGTAGAGATTGTTTAAACTCCTCCATTGATACATAGGGAGAAAATGGACCTGCAGTGAAGATCCATTGATGTTAGTGGTGGAGCTGGCCTCACCACTTTGGTCTCCTGACTTGCAGTCTACTGCCCTTCTTCTCACAATATCATTTTATCTAAACCAGTATGAACCTTGGTCTGGAGGCAGAAATTTTAATTTTAGTAATTTATCTCTTTAGACCATACCAGATTGTCACTTCTTTTTCCATTTCTCTAGACAAATCAGTCATTTTCTCCAGAATGTGGAAAGGCAGTGGGTTTTGGAGTTTGACTTTTCCACTTCAGCTTTAACCTTGGACAACTTACTTAACTTCTTTGCCTAATGCTCTTATATGTTAAATGGGAATGAGAATACTTACTTAATAAGGTGGTTGTTAGGATTAAGTTAGATGACCTATATATAAAGCCTTTTCCTCTGTGTTGGATATATTTAAAAAATTTATTAAATGTTTTTCTCCCCTTTCTTTCTCTGCCACTAGAGTACTTACCACATTGTGTATCACAGTTAGTTATTTTATGTGTCCCAGGTGCGAGTCTTGGAGGTTTTCCCCTTAGTAATTTCTCAACTTTATGTAATATTATTATGGGGTCTATGACATAATTTTTAAAAAACAAACCAGTAAAGCCAGGAATTTGCTACTGAAACAGAGATGCTGCTATAGTAGACAGTTAATTCATCTGTCAGAGAAGAATTGAGTACTAGTGTTCATTTTTAATACTAATAATTCTATAATAAACTGACTTACTATATTGTTGATTCTTGTCTAAGGCCTTGTTTTGACCTTAAGAATTTCATTATAATTCCACAAGGGAAATGTATTGATTGTGTCATTTGGCTCCCAGTCTCTGTCCTTGACTGTTTCTGTGATTGCCTTGCAGAGCTCTGAGGAACATGAATACAGTGATGAAGCTCCTCAGGAAGATGAGGGCTTTATGGGCATGTCCCCTCTCTTACAAGCCCATCATGCTATGGAAAAAATGGAAGAATTTGTTTGTAAGGTAAGAGTGCAGTTTCTTGTCATTGTCATGCTATATATTTAGCCCTTCCAAAACAGAAACCTTTAAAGAGAGTGGTAGTACTATAGCCTTTGGTTTGCTTTGGGGAAGATCTGTGGCAAGATGGGGACAGAAGTGGTCTTGGGACTCTAATCCTGTTGAAGACAGAATACATTTGTTGGCTTGTAGTAGCCATGATAAAGCTCTGATAAAACTAGGATATCCAGCTGGGAAACAAACATTTCCTAATGTAGGTTAACAGAGTAAATGTCTTATTGGTGGTTTAGACAAACAGAATGAAACATAGTCAGAAGTGGTTGACGCCTGGAGATATGAAAATGCCCTCCGCAGGTCCCTTAAATCTGTTCTGCTGAGTGACTGCAATGGCAAATGTACTGTTCTTTCTAGGGATTCTGTGAGTAATCAGGCTACTCTTGAGAGAGATTTTCCAGTTTCCATGTACATCTGGTATTTTCAGTTCAGCTGGTATACATTCTGTCTCTTAAGGTTTTTCTTCCAGTCCATTGTCTTGATTCCCTAGGACCTATTATGGGATTCTTTTTTTTTTTTTTTTTTTCTAAAATAGTAATTAGAATTGAGTTTGCCTGCTTAGAGAAAATAGACACACTGGTAAACTTGTAGGTACTTGATCAATCAGATCAATAAGGGCCCTGGCAGGTAGAATCTAATTAATGTAAGTCGATCAGTCTGTGTGTATACGTATGTGTATGTAAATTGATTTATTAAACATTTCTGGAGAACTCTTTATTATTTAGAGAGAAATTTTTGTGACACTTAGCTTTTCATGGCTTTTATGAAACCAAAACTTTTTATGTACATGGTCTTAGATCCAGGAGACTAAATATAGGTTTTCTTACATTCACAATAATGCTGGAAATAATTGGGATCAGTGGACTTAGAATGCTATTACTTTGGACCAGGGTATGAAAAGAGAACATTGTGATCTGAACATAGACATCCTTTCCAAGACTAAGGGTCCAGTGGGTTTTCAGGGGGAGTTTAAACATTTATGGGTCTGTAATAGAAAATTTTAGCCAGTTTGAAAATGAGTGAAGAAACAACTGAACAGAACAATAGATTCATTCTAGTGATCACTGTCTCAGGAGAATTAGCACAAAGGGATACAAAAGATTATTTTGTTTTTAAAATGCAAATTTGGTGTGAAGAAATCTCTCAAAGTTGGCAAATTTAGTATCTGGGCCATTAGGGGATTTTAATATTTAGAGATCAGCGGGGTACGGTAGCTGACTTAACTGCCTTTTTGTCCTCTCCCTTTCTGAACAGAGAACAAAGAATAAAACAAATAAAACTCTAAATTTAACAGCAAATCAGAGAATAAATAGGGCAGGACATTTGTTTGCTACAAACTATGATCTTCTGAAGGAAAAGGAGTGTTGTAAATATCCCTTAGCAGTTTGTTGATGACAGCAGAATGAAGAGGCATCCTGTTACACAGTGTTGTCTGGTGTGGCTCAACCCTGCCATGGCAGTGCAACTGACCACACTTGAAAACCAGCCGTGTCTAGTGGCACAGGGATTCTATTTCTTGGACTGGAAGCAAGTAAACAGAGACAGTTTAATATGAAATGTGCTGTGGATAATTTAGTCTTTAGAGTTTCCACGTTTGATCTTGGTCACTCTTTTTTCCCCTAGACTTCAGTGTTTGCTATTTACCAGCATAACCAGGTCCATGTGGGAATAGGATGTATGCTATGGGGAGTTTATTTGTTTTTGAAATTTATTTATTGTTGAGTCTCGCTCTGTCGCTAGGCTGGAGTGCAGTGGCACGATCTTGGCTCACTGCAACCTCCAACTCCCGGGTTCAAGTGATTCTCCTGCCTCAGCCTCCCAAGTAGCTGGGATTACAGGCATGTGCCACCATGCCCGGCTAATTTTTGTATTTTTAGTAGAGATGGGGTTTCACCATGTTGGCCAGGATGGTCTCCATCTCCTGACCTCGTGATCTGCCCGCCTCGGCCTCCCATAGTGCTGGGATTACAGGCATGTGCCACCATGCCCGGCTAATTTTTGTATTTTTAGTAGAGATGGGGTTTCACCATGTTGGCCAGGATGGTCTCCATCTCCTGACCTCGTGATCTGCCCGCCTCGGCCTCCCATAGTGCTGGGATTACAGGCGTGAGCCACTGCGTCCAGCTGTTTTTTTAAGAAATGTTTTTGTGCATTTTATGGTCTAATATATCCACATACCCAGTGGATTATTACTAAGATATTTGAAGGTAGGCAGTGTCTTTGTCAAGCTTATAAATAAATATGTCTTTGGCTAAGCCGTGATCTTATTTTTTTATTCTAGGGGGTAAAAGAGGATACCTATTTGTGTTGGAATTTGGCTGACTGTATATGACTCCAGGTTGAGAATGAGGGTGCAGTGTCTGTTGAATGTGTCACTAATTGCAGTGTAATTAAGAAAGTATAGCTCCTTGTCTCAGTATTTAGACCACTAGAACATTTGTTTAGAAATACCAGGGAAAATCACTCTGAAATTATATGCATATATAACCAATAAGAAACTCACATATTCTTTTTGAATGTAAAAAAGGAACATATGACTCTTTTGTCTGTGTGGGGTAGCAGAGTAGCAGTTTGGATACAGCAGAGCTGTGTGCACATTGTGAATTGCCTTGAAGATGTAAGGGTTGATTTCTGTCTTCCTCTCCCTCTCAGAAAATAAAATTCCCCCAAAGTAAGGTAATAGCAACATTCTGTAAGGTTAATCTCAACAATAGTGGTCTTTTCCCAAATTCAAATTTGATGCAAAAAATTCAGTATCTTGGTCTCTCTCTGACACTAAAAGAAGCAGACTGCAGAGGTTGACAGACTTCCAGCAGTTCCAACAGAAGGGATACTGGATCCCTGATCCCCTTTCTCTTTCTCTCCATAAAGTCCTGTGGAAGATCTCATACAGCTACTTTTGTAAGTGGTAGTACTATTAGCAGCAGATGTTAAAAATATAGATTAGTCTTTTGGCATTATTTTATTTTATTGTATGTTAGAAGCAAGCATAGAATGGCCACATTAGCACCAGTAACCACAGACCCCACGTTTTGAGTTGGAAAGTGAGGGAGGAGAGGTTTTGTATGGCTGGGGGCAGGAAGAGTAGGGAAGAGGCAGGGGGCTAGTTTGGTTAGAGTGTTAAGAGGGACACATCTGTTCTTAAATTGTTAGTCCTCACTTCCTTTGGATGTGGAGATGTTACACAGAGGATTAGTTCTTTTACAAATATCTGTAAGGAAGTAAGAGAGCAGAGAACAAGAAACAGGTTGTGGAGCAAAAGGAATGGGCACAGTAGCTGGTGAGTAAGTGGCAGTCTTTCCATAGAGTAGAGAGAGAGCCAAGTTTCCATGGCTTACCCATATTGTCACAAGACCCTGTAGTGGGTAGGGTGGAGGTCATTGTCTGAAGGTGAATCTTGCTGATTTGCAGCCTGGATTCTTGCTTTATAGGGTAATAGACTGGAAGAACTGCTGAGCCCACATTAGCTGGAAGATAAACCATGTGCCTGCCATTTTTCCTTACATCTTTCTGTCTAGCAGAAGCAAGTTAGTCAAGATTAAGTGATCCTTGTGGTGTGAGCTCTCGGGGCTATGAGACATTAAAAGAAGCAGAGTGCAGAGGTTGACAGACTTCCTACAGAGGGGATATCGGATTCCTGATCCCTTTTCCTCTAGAATCTGATGCGGGAGGGACCATGAGGAAACGGGAGGAAAGGGCTCTGAGGGACTGAAAGGGTGGTTAGGGCTGAGCTTCTTTACCATCTCTCTGCAGCATGAGAAGGAAGATGGATTAGTCACTAACTGTCTGACAGGAGATAGCCCCTGGGGATAGTCATGTACTGGCTTTGAGTAGATGCCAGGGATTACTAACTAATTCATGAAATGCTTTGTGTCATTTTGTTTGATCTTCATGATTTCCCTATGAAGTAACTGAAGCGCTATTTTACAAATGAAGGAGCTGCAGGTTGGAGGTTTTTTAATTAATTAAATCTCATATAGCTAGTTAATGCCAGGGGTCCACAATTTTCTGACTCCTGTGCTCTTTCTTTTCTGCCTCATCATATTTGCATAGTGGGAAGAGAAGAAAGAGTAAGATGGAGGGAGAGATTTTAGCAAAAGGCACAAAAGTATGATTCTATGTAATTCTGTTTTTACCAATAGGAATATTAAATATAAAAATGTTCATATTAACACCACAGGGATTTATCAGAGGTAAAGTCTGTTATATAGGTAGGATGAAGGAGGTCAGTATGAGTGAGACTTTGGAACCTTCATCCCACCATTAGCCAGGTTGAAACAAAGTTTGAAACCACTCTTTTAGGGCATTTCCTATAAATTTGTTTACTCTTTCCTTTTCCTAAGGCCCCCACTTAAAAGTATATTTTTTCTTTCTTTTTTTTTTTTTTTTTTTTTGAGGCAGAGTTTTGCTCTTGTTGCCCAGGCTGGAGTGCAATGGCGTCATCTCAGCTCACCACAACCTCCGCCTCCCGGGTTCAAGCAATTCTCCTGCCTCAGCCTCCCGAGTAGGTGGGATTACAGGCATGTGCCACCACACCCGGCTAATTTTTTGTATTTTTAGTAGAGATGGGGTTCGAGCTCCTGACCTCAGGTGATCCACCCACCTTGGCCTCCCAGAGTGCTGGGATTAAAGCCTTAGCCACCATGCCCGGCAAAAATATATTTTTCATCAGTCTTTAAAGAACTCAGAATATAAGACATTATACATTTTGAGATGTTTGCCTTTTTAAAAATGAATTGTTTTTCCCATTATAAAACAGTGTGATAAGACACAGTTGTTAGGGGTCAGTGTTGGTAAATTGACAACTAAAATCACAAAGATGTTTGATAATACCTCTCTGCCAGGTATGGGAAGGTCGGTGGCGAGTGATCCCTCATGATGTACTACCAGACTGGCTCAAGGATAATGACTTCCTCTTGCATGGACACCGGCCTCCTATGCCTTCTTTCCGGGCCTGTTTTAAGAGCATTTTCAGAATACACACAGAAACAGGCAACATTTGGACACATCTCTTAGGTATGTAATGTCAGTGATGTAATGAGCTGGTGATTCACTTTCTTCCTTTTTATTTTCATGTATTTGAGGGTAAGCACAGAACTTCAGAAATGTATTTGGATTTGCCATTTTGTTTTCTGAATTTCTAATGATGAATTTTCTGACTGGTTTACTCGTAGTTTATCCTGGTTTGCACTATGATTTTGTTATAACTTAAGTTATATTTCTTTCTACTAGATTTTCAGATCTTGTCCTCAAACCAGGCCAAGTAAAAGTTGCTATACAAAATGTGGTTTCATATTGTAGTGACCACTGAGAAGAAAGTATTATTTAATAGAAGTAATCTGATCTTTTAAAATGCATTACTTATATGCACTGCTAATTTTCAGTTTGGCCTGAAGTAGAATATGGACTGTAATTTTTTCTCCATAATGATTGTATATTAAAGAAAGAATACTGTAGAGGAAAGAATAGTCTTTCCAACAAATGGTGCTGGGATAACTGAGCCATATGTAAAAGAATGATCCCGAACTCACATATGCAAAAGTGAACCCAAAATGGATCAAAGACCCAAACATAAGAGCAAAAACTATAAAATCCTTAGGAGAAAACATATATAAATCCTTGTAAGTTTGGATTAGGTGACTGTTTCTGAGAATTGCCACCAAAGAAAAAATAGATAAATTGGACTTCATCAAAATTAAAAACGTTGGTATATCAAAGTGCATTATCAAGAAAGTGAAAAGACAACCCATAGAGAAGAGAATATTTACAAATCAGCTAGTTGGTAAGGATCTAATAAATAACTCCTACAACTCAACAATAAAGACAACCGATTTTAAAAATGGGTAAAACATCTGAATAGATGTTCTTCCAGAGAAGATCTAAAATGGCCAATAAGCACATGAAAAGATGTTTGTCTTCGTTAGGCATTTAGGAAAACGCAAATCAAATGCTTTGAGAAATGCAGTGAGAAATCTCAACACTTCACACCCACTAAGATGGCTATAATCAAGAAAATGAAAAATAACAAGTCTTGGCAAGGATGTGGGGAAATTGGAACTTTCATACGTTGCCAGTAGGAATGTGAAATGGGGCAGTCCCCATGGAAAAGTCTGGCAGTTCCTCAAAAAGTTACATAGAGTTACCAGAAATCAACTCCTAGTATATTACCCAAGATGACTGAAAACATGTTCACATAAAAACATGAACACAGAAGTTTGCAGCAACATTATTCATAATAGCTAAAAAGTAGAAGCAACCCAGATGTCTATCGACTGGTAATGGAGAAACAAAATATGGTGTATTCATACACTGGAGTATTATTTAGCTGCAAAAAGGGATGAAGCACTGATACATGCCACAGCATGGGTGAGCCTTGAAAACATTTGCTAAGTGAAAGAAGCCAGACACAGAAGGTCACATGTCGTTTGATTCTACATGCATGAAATGTCCAGAACAGGAAAATCCATAAAGACAGTAGATTAGTGGTTGTTTAGGGCTGTAAGGAGTGGGGAATGGGGGATGACAGCAGATACAGTACTTCTGTTTGGGGTGATGAAAATATTTTGGAATTAGTTAGTGGTGATGGTTGTACAACCTTGTGAATATACTAGTTTCTGGCCTTACTCCATTTGATTTGCATTTCTTATCACACATTTGATTTCCATGGTGCCTCTAAGTTCCTGCCTGCTAGTATAGTGAGAGGAGAGTAGAGGGTCAAATCAAGTTTGTTGCTGACTTCTAATTCAAGGGTAATTTTTAATTAAAATGATAAAACAATTACTTAGCAAACGTTGAAGTTGAAATTTCTGTGCCTGCCTTGTGTTAGGTGGCCCCTCCCTAAGCAATAGGAACATGGCATCTTTCTGTGTAGAACAGTGTAAGAATTGGTTAGGAAATGGCCTGAGTAGGCATTTTGTCCTTAACTCTTGAATCTCCTGAACCAGCTGATGAGGGCCAGAGAAACAGCATGACACTCCCTGACAGCTATTGGTAGAGGAAAGCTGTATTTCTTGGCAGGGTTTAGGGGTATTGGAATTCATTGTAAAAACAAAAGCAAAAGCACAATGGACCTTTGAAAGCTGGACTATGAGGTATGTGCCAAAAACTGTATAAATGAAACTATTCTACATCTAGAGGTAGAAGTGGCTTCATTATATCTTCTAAGAAGTAGCAGCAGTGTCTGATTTCTTTTTAGATTATGCCCTTAGATAAGTTTTTATATTCTGTATATTCAGTTTATGAAGCTGAAGTATTTCTGATACCAACAATGTTGGAAGTAAACCACAATTTTGGATAGGCTTCAGTTATTTGGAAGATTTTTCTCATTGAACTTTTGATTCAGATATTGTTGTAATGCAGAAGGATTGAAAACAGAATCAGTTATAATACTGTCTCTTCTAAAGGGTGATATTTTATCTATTTTCTGTGCTCTTTTTCCTAGGTTGTGTATTCTTCCTGTGCCTGGGGATCTTTTATATGTTTCGCCCAAATATCTCCTTTGTGGCCCCTCTGCAAGAGAAGGTGGTCTTTGGATTATTTTTCTTAGGAGCCATTCTCTGCCTTTCTTTTTCATGGCTCTTCCACACAGTCTACTGCCACTCAGAGGGGGTCTCTCGGCTCTTCTCTAAGTAAGTATCTGTAAAGTCCGTATTTTGGCCAATGATTTAGAGGTAGTGCGTTAGGGAAAAACATTCAGCAGAGTTGGCAGAATTCTTAATATCATCTCATGCAAACTTTTTTTTTTTTAAAAATTAAAGAGCAACCCAGTTTGGCTCTTAGGTGTCGTTGATGGCTTATGTCATGAGGGATTAATTGGAACCTGTAGTGGCCAGTAGTTTTTAAATTACTGCATTAAATGGATTTTTTTTTTCTGTCATAGACTGGATTACTCTGGTATTGCTCTTCTGATTATGGGAAGTTTTGTTCCTTGGCTTTATTATTCTTTCTACTGTAATCCACAACCTTGCTTCATCTACTTGATTGTCATCTGTGTGCTGGGCATTGCAGCCATTATAGTCTCCCAGTGGGACATGTTTGCCACCCCTCAGTATCGGGGAGTAAGAGCAGGTAAGAGCACGGGGAGGTTCTACATTCGACATTCATTTATTCACTAGTTAAATTCACTATTTATTAAAGTTCTACCATTTGCCAAACATTATGCTGTGTATTTGTGATGCCAAGATGAAGAAATCATAGTTCCTATTGTTGGGGGTTTTTTTATGTAGTAGTCGTAGTAGTTGTTGTTGTTAGTAGTGTTTATTAATTGTCTTAAAGCATTAGGGTTGAGGGGTCATGGTGAGTATGAGGTGATATAATTTGGGACTGTTACTTACTTGAATTTATGGCTAAACACCATCCAGAAAGCGGTAGTCTATAACTTTTGTAAACAATGATTTCTCTTACTCATTGTGGAGTGTACTTTTTGTAGTGATTCTTTTTTTGTTGTCATTTTCTGTTTTGTTTTATATTTTTATTTTATAATGGATAATCTGCTTAAGGCTTCACCCCCATGCTGATTATGTTTTGTTAAAGTGGGCACCATATCTCCCTTCTGATGTAGGGATAAAGGGGCTTTTTATATTTAGGATAATGCCTGTTTAGCTGGAGATCATAGAGAAAGCCACAAGCCCCTCAGTGCCTTGGCTGAGTCTTCTTGTAGGACATGGAATTAGCAGAGATGTTCTTGTCTCCTACTCAGTGTCAAGCTCAGTGCCCACTGAGAATGAACAAGGAGTGTTTTTCCTTTCGTCCTTAAACCCCCAAAACCATTTAGTATTAAAATCTAAACCCTGGATCATCCGGGGGTACCTGGAAGGTTAGACACAGAAGTAACCTCATGTCAGTGACCACTGTTAAAACACTCTGCCGTCCTCCTTTTTGTGTTCATATGAGCAAATGAGCATTGGTCAGGGTCAGCTTTCAACAGTACTTGAGTAGTACAGTGGTGTTAAGCCTGCTTGAGCACATGAGATAAGAATGTCTTTGCTGAGTACAGCTGAGCATTCTGTTATTTACATACATCAGAAGAACCAAATTCCTGAGCCTTTGACTTAGAGAATGATAGGCAGAAACCATTAGCAGCCTTTGCTTAGCATGTAGAGGAAAAGAAAAAGTGAATAGTGCAAAAGTCTAGCAAATCTTTCCTTAGAGGAGCAGAGGTAGGAAATAGTTTTTCTTTAGGTCTGCTTGGTTCTTACCTGTTGTGAGAGCAGCATTGCCATTTTCCTCTTCTCTTTTAGATGTCCATTTTATTTGTGAGTATGCATCCCATAGCTGTGCTTACATATATTGCTGTATACCAGCAGTTTATTTGGTAATGTCCAAAGCAAGTAATAGGTTCTTTATCTGTTGAGAAAGCTTACCAAATGACAGCTTGTTTTGCAAGGGTCATTGTTAACTCTGTGTCAAAATGTAGGAGCAGTTACTGGCAGAGGCAGGGAGCTCCTGTGTTGCTTTGGCTGATACACGGGTTTCAAAGTGGATTTAGATCAGTGGACTTCACATTTTTTTTTCCATCATGACATTTTCTATTACAGTCCTGAACACGTGTATCTATACATAAGTTCATGTATATATAAATTACAAAACTTTAACAAAATAGTATTTAATCCTCCACGTATGTTACAGTCTGATATTTTAAATTTTATTCTAGTTCATTTAAAAAAATGCTGGTTGAGACTCATTTAATTGATCTTAGAACTTAGGTCATATCCAGAAGTTTAAAAAAACATTAGATGCTTCTGGAGGCAGTAAGGCAGTAGGGCTGTGGCTGAGTGATTTGCTAGACTTTTGTACTTGATTGCTATTTAGGGGTCTGGGAGCTTATAGTATTCTCTCCCATCCCCCACCCCCATTAGGTCATTTGTTAAAGGCATTTAACAATTTTTAAGTGCCCAGTTATAGGTTATAGATTTAGATTAAATTTTTTCTTCTTTTTTCTTTTCTTTTCTTTTTCTTTCTTTCTTTCTTTTTTTTTTTTTTTTTTTTTTTTTTGAGATGGAGTCTTGCTTTGTAGCCCAGGCTGGAGTGCAGTGGTGCCATCTTGGCTCCTGACCTCAAGTGATCTGCCTGCCTCGGCCTCCCAAAGTGCTGGGATTACAGGTGTGAGCTGAGCCACTGCGCCCAGCCTTAGATTCCTATTAAAAATAGGTGATGCCAGGTGATGTGATCATTCATCGCCTCTCCACCCCAACAACGCCTGCTGCTTCAAAGAGAAGATGGGATACGTAAAATTGCTTGTATTGTAACCTGTGTCTGTAGAAGGACAGGCTAGGACAGTTTAAATAAACTCCTGGAGCTGTCCTTTCCGAAAACATTTAGCAACATTAATTCAAAACCCTTGAAGACTGCTGACTTACTAAGCTAAGCCTCTCTTAGTGAGGCTCATTGCTTTTTTTTTTTTTTTTTGAGACGGAGTTTCACTCCTGTTGCCCAAGCTGGGGTGCAATGGCGTGATCTCGGCTCACTGCAGCCTCTGCCCCCGGCTTCAGGTGATTCTCCTGCCTCAGCCTCCCGAGTAGCTGGGATTACAGGAGTGCGCTACCACGCCTGGCTACTTTTTGGATGTTTAGTAGAAATGGGGTTTCACCCTGTTAGCCAGGCTGGTCCCAAAGTGCTGGGATTACAGGTGTGAGCCACTGCACCCGGCTGGCTCCTTGCATTTGTAAATCTTTAGAACATAGCTGTGTTGTCTTGTGTGACAGTGTCCCAGAGTTTGAAGAACCTTCTTTTTCCTTTAAAACTGGAAGCTAATTTTATATGCTACTTTGAAATATTCAGTTTACAGAGTTAATGGTGCTGTGCTGTAATACTGACTTCTGGCTCTTTGTTTCTCTTCTGCATTACTTTACTCTCTTCTTGTGACTCCTAGGAGTGTTTTTGGGCCTAGGCCTGAGTGGAATCATTCCTACCTTGCACTATGTCATCTCGGAGGGGTTCCTTAAGGCCGCCACCATAGGGCAGATAGGCTGGTTGATGCTGATGGCCAGCCTCTACATCACAGGAGCTGCCCTGTATGCTGCCCGGATCCCCGAACGCTTTTTCCCTGGCAAATGTGACATCTGGGTAAGTATGTCGGGGTGACTGAGTGTGTAGGTATCTGCTCATGAGTTATTGGCATCCTGCAGAGTGATGCAATAGAAAAAGTTTTAGACACAAAGTCAGGAGAGTTGTATCCTGGTCCTAACTCCCTATTGAGCTTTCTCTGGACAATAAGTACAATAATAACTAACATTTAGTGAGCACTTCCTTGGTGCTCAGCATGGTACAGAGTGCTTTGCACGGATTACCTCATTACATACATTAGCCCTATGTGGTATGATAACTCTTGTTAATGTCTTCATTTTACAAAGCAGGAGACTAAGGCTTAGGGAGGTGAGGCCACTTGTCCAAGCCATGTGGCTATTTAAGTGGTAGAACAGGAATTTGAATTAGGCTAGTTTTAATATCAGAATCTGTGCTCTTTTTGACAATGGCAAGTCATTTTGCCATTCTTTGTCTCAGTTTCCTTATTTATGAAATGAGGATGATAGACCAGATTTTCACCAGAGCCCTTTTTAGGACCAGATTTCTATCAGGGTCTTTTTTTATACCGAAATTTAGTGATTTGTAATGGGAGACTGAGTGTATGTATGTCTGGTGGAAGAAGAGGGATTGTGAAGAAGAGGGAACTGGATTGAACTGGATTGTGGTCATTGGTAAGAGAGGAGGAAAGAGAAGAGGGAAAAGAAAATATAAGGACTGATATAGATAGAAAAACTTATAACCAAAGAGGGCCTGAAATATTTTCAACAAGACAACATTGGAAATACGCTTAATGTGAAATCTGACCTTTGTAATTCTGTTCCTCAGCCTATTGCTGATTATTATAGACTAACCTGATGATCTCATCTCTTTAAAGTTTAGTTTAGCTATCTGTAAAATGAAGATGATCTTGAACTTAAGCAATCTTTCTAGCTTCAAATTAGCTAATTTATCTTTCTGATTCATCATCATCATTTTAACATTGGTATGGAGGGGTTTTTGCCCTTTATCCCCTTTCTTTGGGGGAAATTAATCCCCTTTGGTTTCCTAGGAAACATCTCTTGGGATGTGACTTGATTTCTTCTAGTTTTTGCTTCTAAAATCAGTGTTTTTCTCTTGATAAATACTGCTTTGCCACTGTACTTTTTCATTTTGAGATTATAATGACAGAATAGTGTAATTTTTGAAGTGCAGCGAGCAATTGATTACCCTTCTTGAGATGTGGAATAGCATTCAACAGAACAGGTAAAATCAGAAATAATGTCACTTGCTTGTAGACCAGCTTCTGACTTGAGAAGTAAAAGGGCCTGTTTGCTTAGTTTTTGACACATTATGTAGTTCATGAAATTTGAGAATCGTAGCACTGAAGGAAACTCTGGGGACCATATGTTGTGACATTCCACACACCATCCTGGAAGCCTCTTTAGTTTTTCTAACAGAGAGCAACATTTAAATGACCATAGCTCTAGTCCTCTTGTCCATGACAAAATGTCCATCAGCAGTGAGTAGGAAAAGGACTGTATGTGTAATCATAGCCCATGGCTAGGTGTCAAGGGATCCTTGGGACCTTTGTGGCCTGTTAGCAAGAGAGTCTGTGTGTCATTTGCCACTTTAGCAAGAGAGTCTGTGTGTCATTTGCCACTGGTTTCAGTGTTAAGTTTGTAGATTTTTATGTGTAGAGCTTAGTGGCAGCACCTTGGTTTCTTTGGGAACAGCTGGCTTTCAGCTCAGCAGAATGTGTTACACCTAATGGATGTTCCAGGATCTGTGGACGCCTTGAATTTGAGCTCTGTCACATCCATTCCCTGCCTTCTGCTCAGCATAAACCAGGATTAAACGATCCTAAGAATCTTTAGCAGTCTTAATAATGTATGGGTTTCTCTACCCCCTTCTCTTCTTTTTTCCCCTCCAGTTTCACTCTCATCAGCTGTTTCATATCTTTGTGGTTGCTGGAGCTTTTGTTCACTTCCATGGTGTCTCAAACCTCCAGGAGTTTCGTTTCATGATCGGCGGGGGCTGCAGTGAAGAGGATGCACTGTGATACCTACCAGTCTCCAGGGACTATGACCCTAAACCAGGGCCTGCGGCACTTGCGGGCCTCCCTGCTGGCTACTGATGCCAGTACCAGAGGAGCCCCAAAACTTTGACAGCCTCGTGGGCTTTGTGACGGCCCAGTGGCTCTGCGTGGTACATGACTGAGAAGAGAAAAACAAAAATAAATCATACCTCAAAGGATGGAGTGCATCAATTGGGAGAAAAGGAGACATAGCCCAAACCCTGGCTTATTCTTGGGATCTACTGATTGCGGGCTCTGCAAGACCCTTGGCAAACTGGCTTCTGATCCATATCATATTTATTTGTAGAAGATGGCGAAACAGTTTAGCTGGTGGTTCTTTCTTCTCCCTTTCTCTCTCTCTATGACAATAATACAAACCAATTTAAGTGAACATTTATATCCGATAAGGGGTGGGAGTGTGATTTTAAATGCTCTTTTGGGAGAACAAAGAAATTAATGTAAATAAGATTTCTAACTGTTTAAATAAGACTTTATATAAATGTTTAAAACATAGGGGTAAGGGAGGGAGGGAGAATTTTTGTATAGAATGAAACATGCAAGTACCACACACTGTTTGAATTTTGCACAAAAAGTGACTGTAGGATCAGGTGATAGCCCCGGAATGTACAGTGTCTTGGTGCACCAAGATGCCTTCTAAAGGCTGACATACCTTGGACCCTAATGGGGCAGAGAGTATAGCCCTAGCCCAGTGGTGACATGACCACTCCCTTTGGGAGGCCTGAGGTAGAGGGGAGTGGTATGTGTTTTCTCAGTGGAAGCAGCACATGAGTGGGTGACAGGATGTTAGATAAAGGCTCTAGTTAGGGTGTCATTGTCATTTGAGAGACTGACACACTCCTAGCAGCTGGTAAAGGGGTGCTGGAGGCCATGGAGGAGCTCTAGAAACATTAGCATGGGCTGATCTGATTACTTCCTGGCATCCCGCTCACTTTTATGGGAAGTCTTATTAGAGGGATGGGACAGTTTTCCATATCCTTGCTGTGGAGCTCTGGAACACTCTCTAAATTTCCCTCTATTAAAAATCACTGCCCTAACTACACTTCCTCCTTGAGGGAATAGAAATGGACCTTTCTCTGACATAGTTCTTGGCATGGGAGCCAGCCACAAATGAGATTCTGACGTGTCCAGGTTTCTCCTGAGCTCATCTACATAGATTGGTAGACCCTTCCTTTGGATTAGGAAAGATGAGTTTTACCTCTGGTACACTGTCTTGGTAAGCCTGGATGTGACAGACACCTCGGCTCTCCTTGAATAAGAAAGCCAGCAGAACTCTTAAAGCCAGTTGTAGTACGGAGTTGTCAGCACTCACTGAACCTCACTTTACAGGGATAAGAGTGGTGTGGCATTTTAAATACAATGGTATGTTATTGCCAGGGAGTGAGGTACAAGACGATGGCTCATGTCACAGGCCTACCTGATACGGTGTCAGAGAAAGTGGTGGGGAAAGGATCTGGTTCATGGAATTCTGATCTTGGCCCATAGGTGAACCACCAAAATAGTGCTCGAGTCTTAGGTTACTGTCATCAAAGACTTGGGATGACTCCATTATATCCTGGGGTTGTGGGTATTAGAACTAAATATGGAGGTCCTGAGCATGGGGACTGGCGTCCTCAGTAGGTGTTTGGGAATATGGGAAGGGTCTCCTATTTATTCAATAGAGTTTTCTCAGTTATTTTCCTCCCTTGCCCTTGCAATCTCCAGCAAAAGGTGGGATCTAGGAAGAAAGAATCCAGTGTAGAAGTTGAGAAGAACTTGAACGTTTTGGTTCTGGATAAGGTCACTGTCCTAGGTGCTAGGTGGACCGAGCAAAAGACTCAGTGGATGAACTGGTGCAGTGCCTGACAGAATAAAGAACAGTATTAATCCCTTTGAGAAAGCATAGTCCAGCAGGACAGTGGCCATTTGGACAGAAGCCCACTTAGTTTCTTGGGAGCAACAGCACGTATCAGAAGCCAGACTTGCTCTTCGGTCATGCACTTTGGGATACAGCGTATAGGTGCAGCCCTGTCACAACACCAACAGAAGTAGCAGCCTCTGGGTGCAGTCACCCACACCCCAAAGCTGGAAGGATCTGGTTCAACATAGCACAAACCCTTAGGAAAAATGAAATTAACATCACTGATGTGTAATCCAGTAAAATCTCCCTTTTTCGGGTGTGTATGTGGGCATGTGCCCATTTCTATGTGTGTGTCTACGTGCAGCTCACTACCAACAGCCTCATGTGCACTTGACCTGACAGTGCTCGCTGAGAACTCTCACCAGGTTGGCGCCTGAATGCCTTACTCTCAGCAGTCAGAGGCTTGCTTGCTCTGTGCAGATTTTTAATTTTCTTTTTTGGCCCTAGGCTGGTTGGGACCTCTACAGCTTCATTCTTTCACCATTAAATAGTGGCCTTTTTCAGTATTTTCCCTCTTCCCCTTTATAAATTATGCTAAAGCCACAAAGCACATTTTTGGGGATCATAGAAGGTTGGGGTTCCAGAAAGGCATCTGTGTGATGGTTCCATTGATGTGGGATTTCCCTACTTGCTGTATTCTCAGTTTCTAATAAAAAGAACCAAATGAAATATGACCTGTCGTGTGTTTTTTTATTGCCGTTCAGCTTACCTCCCCTTGGCTTTTGGCACTTCTCTGAAGCTCTAATTTAGACACTGTGATTTAAGAAATTTTTGGAAACTTCCCCTTCGGGATGCAGAAATCAAAGTGCTTATGCCCAACTCCTGTTTCCTAACTCAAGCTTTCCTCGTAAGTTGCACCAGGTTTAGAATGGAGGGGAGAGCAGCTCTAAGGGGCAGTTCTTATTTATTATTGAAGTTTATAAAAATAGTCTCTAATGCCAAGGGCAATAGGCTCTACCATAAAGCCTGGGTGTGTAGTAGGCTGTACCATCTAGGTTTGTGTAAGTGCATTCTATGATGTTTGCGTGACAACGAAATCAACTAATTATGAAATCACTTAATGATACATTTCTCAGAATGTATCTCTTTTGTTAAGTGAAACATTACAAAATTTATTTTTTTGGGCACGGTGGCTCACTCCTGTAATCCCAGCACTTTGGGAGGCCAAGGCGGGCGGATCACGAGGCCATCTCCTACAGGCAGTGCACATTGACTAAGTTCATTCCTTGCTTTTGCTGTTGTTTGCTATTATAAATAGGATTTTGTCTTCAATTATATCTTCTAAAAGTTCTTTTGATTGGTGAAAGCTACTGATTGCTGAATATTGGTTTTTTACCCCGACCATTTGCTGTTTTCTCCTCCTAATCATAATTTTTTCTTAGTTGGTTTCCAGTAATAAAGTCATGTTGTCTGAGAAAAAAAAAAATAGTCTCTAATGTAACACTTGATGCCAAGGGATGTGTTAGAGAACTGTCGATGTCATATGATCATAATCACAACCCTCTGAGCCATTCAGGAGTATTTTCACTCTCATTTTATAGATGGGGAAACTGAAGCTTAGGAAGTTTAAGAATGACTCTAGTGCCAGCACTGTATTGGAGAAAAGAGTGAAGAGAAAATTTAAGAAAACCTTTCTGTATTTGTTATTCTGATTAAACAGTGTCATATACATTGACTTAAAGGTTTTGGGGTTCATTAACCTAGTCCCTTCTATATAAGAAGAGGATCTGGTTCGAGTTGGTGTTTGAAATAAAAAAAAAAAAAACGGAATTCCAACCCTTTTGCCTTAGGTAAATTTAGTTTTTGGAAGGGCATTTCCAGTATCAGGATAATATGTTCATTCTGAATTCTCATTTTTAAGTATAGATTTAACTTTAGAGTGTCCCATACCTTACCTGGGCATAGACATTGGATCATTCCCTGCTTTTGACAAACAGTATTAGCTGAAGCCTACTAATAACCCACTTGTCTTTTCCTCGTCTCTTCCCAAAAGGCATCTGAGCCGGGCATGGTGGCTGACGCCTGTAATGCCAGCACTTTGGAAGGCCGAGGTGGGCGGATCACAAGGTCAGGAGTTCGAGACCACCTTGGCCAAAATGGTGAAACCCCGTCTCTACTATAAATACAAAAAATTAGCTGGGTGTGGTGGAGGCACCTGTAATCCAGCTACTTGGGAGGCTGAGGCAGGAGACTCGCTTGAACCTGGGAGGTGGAGGTTGCAGTGAGCTGAGACCATACCACTGCACTCCAGCCTGGGTGACAGAGCGAGACTCCATCTCCCAAAAAAAAAAAAAGTGTCTGTATGGTTCCTGATACCCAGGTGATGTTATGTGGTTGTAGAGGAAGTAGATAAGGACAAGTTTGGATTCTGACTGTACAGCGTGCTAGGCTCTGGGTGCCTAGAGAACCCTCTGGGCAATGTTACTTTAAAATCATCCCAGAAACAACATCTTCTTGAATATTTGGCTTCAATTGTAGTGTTTCATTTTGTCTTCCCCTCAGAGGGCATGAACCATTTGCTAGCCAGCACTGCTCCCTACCCACCACCAACACCCTATCTAATGTACAAATCTTTTCTGCCTTCAGCTGTTTGACTTGGTGAAACAAGGGCAGCCTGTCTCACTCATGTAGAGGCTGCTTATGATGGCATGGGGCAGGAAGGAAGCGTCACGTGCGATGGCCTCTTGTCACCGCCATCCTACTGTCCCACCGTCCCTACCCTGCTACACTACCTGGAAATGAAAAGGGTAGCTTCAGATCTCAGTTGTGCCATTTGCCATGTAGCATGGGCAAGTGGCCGTTTGCTTGTCTAGCCTCGGTGTTCTGTTAAAATGAGGCCAACGATACATCCTCTAGAGCCCACGCTGAGATGCTGTGGTTTCTATAGATAATTTCCTCAAACTTCCCATAGTGATTGGCTGGGTTTTCTGCCAAACCCTCGCTCCAATTCCGTCCTTTTGTGGACTTCATTTACTTTTCTGGCCTTATGATATGCCCACTTTCTTGCCTCCCCGCCGCCCCCGAACCACAACTTCACTGAGCTTAATGAAGTGGTTGAAGCATTTTCCCTGAAAGCTCTTCTATTAAAATACACAACATTATTATGTGGATTTAGTAGTTCACATATCCTTGGTACTGAGGAAGGAAGATCTGACAGCATCCTTAAGTTCCTGGTCCTCCAAAGGTGGTGTACAACATAAGATTTCAAAATTCTGCATTCTAATTTATCAAATGACTTAGGTTCCAAGTTCATGCGTCCGAGAGCAGGTGATGGGCTTTAGAGTGAGCCAGGCTGCCACCTGCTGTCCTTTAGTGGTTCTGCTAAAAGTAGAAGAGGAATCGTTCTGACCTTCAAAGGCAAAGCTTATGAGAATATTTTGTTCTCCAAGGTAGAGAAGGTTAGTTTATCAGAAATGGTTTTTCCTTCCAATGGTCTTGAAAGGGATTCCCCTCGGCCATGCAGAGATATGGGGCCCAGAGGAAGCAGACAAAACCAGGCCAGAAGCTGCTCCAGCTTCCTAAGCTTGGCTTTTTAAGAGTTGATAAATTTGCCTGAAAGTGCTCTACCTGTTTGGGTGGGGATGATAACCCTTCCAAAAGATAACACTGGGTTATGGTCCTACAGAGACTGCTGTTTGGTGTCTGTGAGTTGGTAGTTGGGGTCAAATGCAGTTGGAGGTCAGAATGTGCCTTAATGCCAAAGAATGAACGGCAGGTGGGCGGCCACGGCCTTGGCAGGAAGTGGCAGGGCGAGAGTTAGTGCTCACCCTGCTGTGTGCCGCACAGGTGGTGCCTCGTGACACATGGTTGGGACACTCAGTGATGGCAGCCCAGGGGCTAGAAAGGGCTCCTTGCTGCTTTCTTAACCCTGCTGGGCCTGTTGAACACCTTATTGTTCCTGGCATCTAAATTGTAATTTCTTTGTCCCCACCTCCATGAAACAAGGTAATGTAATGATCGCAGTTAGCATGTATTTATTTAGCGTTTAGTATATGCCAGGCAGTTTCAAGCATGTTACGTGAATACATCACATTCAATCTTCATACACTCTTCCGGTAATTTGGAGGCAATTTTCAACTCTGCTGCAGTTTCTATAACATGGGACTAATGATAGTACCCACTTTCAGGGGGCTGTTGTGAGGATGGAATGAGCTGAAACATGTTATTTGGTACATGTAAACCTTAGCTGTTCTAGCATTATTCTGCCACTTAAGCTGTCTTCGAGCTGCAGTGTCTTCTGCTGTAAGGGGGCATTAATACTGCCCTCACAGGGTTGTTGCAAGACATGACGGTAAGAGTGACATTCTGTAACCGATAATGTAAGTGTGTTTTACAGAGTTGGCATTTGGCCTACTCTAGAGGCAAGTTAGGGCTATTTGCTGGTAGGAAACTTGAACAGCTTTGAACTTGAACTTTGAAGTGTGGAGGCTGAGGGTGATGGAGGAGCGGGGGGAAGCGCCCCAAAAGCCCTGCATGCTGTCCATACCCATCACTGGGGTTTGTTAAATGGAAAGATTTGAGGCCGGCCTCTCCCACATTTCTCCATGGCTTTGCCCTTAATGTTGCTCTCACTGTGGAGACTGTTGTCTCCTGGGATCCAGGTCTTGGGGTTTGGTCGGGGGAGGAAGCTGCGGGGCCTTGGGACCCTGGGGGAGATGTGTGTGCGCTGGGGGTGAGTTCCCAGATAGAGCTTCCCTCCCAGTGGACCCTGCTTAGCAAGTTGGAATGTTCCCACAAGTTCCAACCCTAAGGATTTCACTCCAGGGACAGAGTCAAGTAGATTCTTTTGTAAATCATTGGCCAGAAAAGAGCACAACCACTGCTCTTTTTCACTATTTTACAGCTATTTTTGCCGTCCCCTGAATGTACATCAATTTCCATGCAGCAATTGGATGTCTCAGCCTATTGGCTTTTCATAGATGCAAACTTTCCTTTAGGGCTTTGTAAAGAAGTTTTGGGAAGTTCTTCAATAGCAGCAGTTTGGGGACATCACGTGTAGCCCTGTCGATATTTCCTGAATGGATTTCATTCCTTTCTCAGTCTTGACCATTCCCTTACCCAACCCCCACCCCAACACAGTCAAAACCTTTTCGAGCAGCAGCTAGGAAGGTGAGTGGCCTCCCACCATGAGCCTCACTTTGGGGAATCTATGCTTTAGTTGGGGCATATTCTTGCCTTAGCCTCATCTCTGCATTTGGCCTCATTCTGCTGCTGCTTCTCAGTACCCAGAAGTCCTTGGGTTCTACCAGAGACCACTCCGACAGAAAGGGTCAGAAACAACTGACCCTTTCTTGGCTGGGTCTGGACTCTGGAGTACAGGAAGAACTAAATTATTTTGTCTTGGTCCAAGCTGAGCTCACGCTGGCTTCCCGAAGAGGAGACAGGAAGGTTAGGTCAGAAGTATGCTCATGTTGAGACCTAGGGCAGATGGTACCGGGCACCATGAAGCATCTTGAAAGTGGTGCCAGGTGATTGGTTTCCTGTTCCATCCAGCATTCTCCGGAGCCAGGGGCCACCAGCCCAGGATTGAGAGGAGCGTTGGCCTGGGGGCGACCCAACTGCAGTTAGCTGCATCCCATGTCAGTGCTGACTTTTTGGGATGGCTCTGGAAGGATCACCTTGCCAAAACACAGGTCAGGCTGGGTGGTGTCACCGCAGGAGTTGGGGCAGTAGCCCCCAGGCACACACAGGCAGCAGGAGTAGGGGCGGCGAGGCTGAGGTGTCCGAGGCGCCGCCGCAGTCCTGGGCATTCTCCTGCGAACGCAGAGCAGAGGTGACAGCGCGGCGCTCAGAGGAGGACCCTCAAAAAGGGAGGGGCTTCCACCACTAATTTGGGCCAAAATCCTGGGGAAAGGGGAGTTTTGGAAAGCCGGGGAAGCACTGCTACCTCTCTTAGGCCCCTACCTTTTGGGGGAAAAGCAAAGGCTGGCCCCTCAGCCTGGGAGGGGGGCACCGGCCTTCTCTGCTTGCCCTCAGGCTTGGAGTGGCTGCGAGGTCATCCTCTCAGAATGTCCTCAACTCTGGGAGCATCTCTGATGGGGGTTTCTGGTCCCAGCAGACCAGACTGTATGAAGCACCCGGCTCAGGGCCTGACACCTGGGTCTGGGTTCTGGATCCGTACCAGCCACTATGACTATTATCCACGTGACGGCCCCCTCACATTGCTCGATCATTCGGAACTAAGTGTAGCGGGAATGAGGACAAGATGGGAAAACTGCATTCTAATTCACCTAGGGCCCAAGCCCTAGGAAGCGTGGCTCTTCGTTAAAGCACCTTGGGATCCTGGTTGACTTCGTATTTTAATGACACAGGGGCTCTGCTGTGCTTTCACACCAGCACTTCAACAAATGTGAAGGGTTTTTCCCACCCCACTCTCTGGACACCAACTGGGTGTCTGTCCTGAAACTCAATTCAAGTCTGACACTATTGAGAGTTAGCATTAGAGCTCGCAAGTTACAGGGCTCGGTCCCACAAGGTGGCCGTCACTTCAGATGCCAATCGCAAGCCCCAGGTCTCCTGTCCTTCTGACAGACTGGCTGTAAATCTAGGGTTCCCATGAGCCTGTCTCAGGCTCCGTGAGTTGTTAGCGTGGCTCACTCAACTCAGGAAGGTGCTTCCCTCACCATGACCCGTTTATTATAAAGGACGCAGGTCAGGCGGCTGAGTGGAAGAGACACGTAGGCCAAGGCACGGGGTACGCAGAGCTCCCACACCCTTTCACCAATTCGGACACTCTCCAAACACAGTGGCTCGGGGATTTTATGGAGGCCTCATTATGATCATTGATTAAATCTTTGGCCACTGGTGATCAACTCAGTCTCCAGCCCCCTTCCTTTCCCAGAAGCCAGGGGCTTGGAGCCAAAAGTCCCAACCCTCTAATCCTAACTTGGTGTTTCCTGTGGCCAGCTCTCATCCTGTCTAGGGCCCCCAGCCACCAGTCATCTAATTAGCATACAAAGATACCTCTATCATTCCAAGGGTCTTAGAGGCACCTGTGAAGGAACCAGGGACTAAGACCAAACACTATAACAAAAGATGCACCTATCACCCTAATCAGGAAATAACAAGCGTTTTAGGAGCTTGCCAGGAATCAGGACAAAGACTAAATAAAGATCTGTTTCTTATTATATCACAGTGTCACAGGGCATAAACGCGAATGTTTCCCCCGAGAAGCACAGGCACAGGTGTGTTCATTGGCATCCCTATATGCTCCTGTCTGCAGGGGCACAGACCCAGGCACAGAGGGTTTGGGGATGAAAATCCAGCCCACCCTCGATCCGCCTCAACCCGCACCTCTGGATGGAAGGCGTGGCAGGAGTCTGGTCGCCGGCGGAGCTTCTGGGAGCGCATCCGGTCACATTTGACAGAGGCATTATGTGCAGAAGCCACTGTTAAGGTCAATATCTCAGGACCGGAGCCCATTCTGCAGACTGGAAAAAGGTCTGGAAGAACCTGCTCTGGTGCCACCAGTTGCCCTGCAAGCAGCTTTAGGGTCAGGAGGCAGCACCGGGGCCCAGGGAAGGGTTAGAGAACAAATAACGGAGCCCTGTGGAGGACACGGGCGGTGAAGGAGGCTGGCCCCGCTGCTCAAAATCTGAGCCCTACAGACACCTCCTACAGCCCCCGCCCCCACCGCACACATCCCCGAGCATTGCAGGATATATTTGACTTCTGTCGCCTCCTGCAGCACTGGTGGGAAGATGCTGCAGTCACAGGTGGGGTCTGTCACCAGGAGGAGGAGGTTACTGTTGGGAATCTGCTGCACCACAAATACCCTGCAGCAAAGAAAGGGAGTCGAGGATGGCTCCGTGGCGACCACGAGAAGGGCTTCTAGGGAAGGAACTTCTGGAGACTTTAGTGTGGAGTTAGGGTGGCAGGGAAGCCCGGAACCATGAGGCAGGGCGGGTCGGGGCAGCTAAGGGAACGGGCCTGGCAGATGGCTCAGTCCTACTGGCTTTGCTCACAAGCCTTTGCTGCTGCATTTCCTTTCCTAGCAGACTGGAGACAGTGAGGAAGTCCAAACTGGGCCGCTTTGGAGAGTGCAGAGTTGCTATTAATATATGCAGGGACGACAGGCGTAAATCAAGACCGTCCGGAGCAAATGGGCGGGCGAGGCAACACTTGCTCTGGGTGAGGGTGGCGGGGGCAGGCCCGGGCGAAGCGGCAGCGCTGGAGCTTGGCCACCAGGTGGCGCAGTGGCCCCGCGCTCGGCGAGGCCGCCCTGCGAGGAGTGGCGCGGAGTGGGGCGGAGCCCGCCCGCCAGGCCCACGGCCTTCCCAGCAGTCCCAGCGGCCGCCTACCGAGCGCCTCCCCTGGGATGGGCGGTCTCACACACCCAACGTGCACACCACAGCCGTGTATACTCTCAGCCTTCACGGCTCTGTATGAGGCTGGTGTTGTGCCCATTTTGCAGATGAGAGAATGGAGACTAGAGGAGGCGAAGTCACTTGCCCACGGTCATAAGCGGGGGAGCGCAGAGCCAGTTTTCAATTCAGGAGTGTCTACTCTGAAGCCCTCGCTTCACTCCGGAGCCCGCTGGCTCTATCCTCGCACCGAGCCTTTGCGACAAGTGCACAGGGAACGCTAACCCCAGCCCTCAACGCTGCACAGAACCCGGGGTGAAACCCGCGCAGCACGACGCGCAGGGAGTGGGGGAGAAGGGAGCCCCGATGCCAGCGCCGCAGGTGCCGCACTGTTAAATGGTGTGCCACGGGCCCGGGGGTCTAGGGACCGCCTGGCGAGCGGCACGTCTGGCTGAGGCGACCCTCGAGGAGGCCGCCGCATTCCCAGCGTGGGGGTCCTCCCGGGCTTGGGTGCGGGGGGTCAGCAGGAGAGACCCTTCCGCGCGGCCTCCCTGCCTCCCCGGGGCCAGGGCGGGTTATAACTAGCGGCTTCCACACAGCAGGAAGCCTGACAGAGGCTGCCCGCGGGGCTCCCAGCGACCCGAGGACATCGCACACTTCCGGCCTTCTCTTCTCACACTCCCTCTGCCTTCCAAGTTCTCCCCACGCAGCTCAGGCGCGGGCACTGGCACCGCCCTGGGCACCGCCTGAGCAGGGCTGGGGGAGACCCGCCGAAGGGCCCACTCGCCCAGAGACGCCGTGGGGTCACGGCTGCGGCCTCGGCGGGGTGGGCTCGACACACAGGGTCAGGCCTCGGGACCACCTCTCCCCATCCCGGCTGTCCCGGTCCCCAGCCGTCCTGCCCGCCTCAGACCGTCCGCCTCCTGCGTGTCTCCTCCACTGAGGACGGCGGGGGAAGACCCCGGGAGCGTGGGCTCTGCACTTAGACGCATCCCCTCCTCCCGGCTGTGGAGCCGTTTCCCGGGGGTTCCGGGGCCCTGCCCGCACTTCCGCCTTGCCGAGGGCGGGAGGAGTGTGGCGGGACGGGCGGCGCCGCCCTGCGGTCTTACTTCTGGCAGGGCCCGCACTCCACGATCCCGTTGGCCTCCCGGATGGCCGGCTGGTACACGAACACGGGGTACTCCGTGTCGCAGGGCTGCAGCGGGTCCTGCTTCTTGTGTTTGTGGGCTGCGGGCGGAGAAAGGACATCACGCCACCGAAGGGGCCTCTGGCCTGCGGTGACCTCGCCTCGGCACTCCCAGGGCCAGAGTTCACCCCAGTGCATTTGCAGAGGGTCCCTCCTCAGGCAGTTCTCAGGACACGCGTGGGAGGAGCCGGGCGGGGGGTGAGGGGAGGGAAGACACCCGGAGTCTCTGGAGAGGGTGGCTTGGCACGGGGAGCGCCGCAGGGGCCCTGAGCCTCGGTGGAGGGAAAGCGCTTCCTCTGGGGAGCCTGGCCCTCACTGAGCTGGGGGCAGTGCACCATCTCCAGGGCCCCTTCCAGCACTCAGATCCCGGGGGAGGGTCTGAGCGGGGAGCAGAGGCAGTAGGGGCACCAAGGGGTGGCTTGGGGGTACTTAGGCCCACCACCCCTCCCTTCACTGTGGACAGACGCAGTGCAGTTCCTGGGCAATCCTGCCCTGCTCTCCCGCACAGCCAGGCCCACACTCCACCCATTGAGCCTGAGCGCCTGCGGTGGGGGCAGCCGGGCAGGTGGGCTCCAGGCCTGGGGCTGCGGAAGCCCAGAAGCCACAGCCACCCGGTGCGGGACTCCTCGGGGGCTGCGCGATTTGCCTTAGCTCCCTGGGACAAGGACAGTGGACTCAACCAAAGGTGGAGGCGAGTGCCTCAGCCCCGCTCTGCAGGACCCGAGTCCGTTCCCTCCCGGAGCCTCCTGAGGTGGGCACATGGCAGAGCAGGGCCCTGCCACACAGGCTGTCTGCATGGCCCTTCTGTTCTCAGGGCCTGGCTGTGGCCCCCAGGGATAGACCTAGAGGCAGGGAGCACAGGTGTGAGCTACCTTCCCAGGCTCATGCAGAGTCCTACAGGAGAGCATGGGTCTCCCCAGCTTCCAAATCCAGAAGCTCCCAGCCAGAGCTGGAAACCCAGAGGGGACACTAGCTGGCGTGCAGAAAACTCTCACCGAGAGGAGCAAGCCCACAGCGGCCAGGGCTGTGAGTTTTGTCCCCAGGGCTGGGCACAGAAGCCTGCCTGACAATGGCAGGGTTGAGTGGCGTCCCCAGGGTCACGCAGTGGAAGGGGCTGCAGCACCTACGCCCCGGCCTGGGACTCCAAGTCCAGTGCGCCTTCACTGGGGACACTGACATCTGTGTAGGCCAGACCAGGGGGAGGAGCTCCAGGGGACAGGTACCCCAGAGAAGAGAAATTCTGAGCAGGCAGATTGAGGGGGATCATCTTCAACTTTTGCAAGATGCAGCTGCTGACAGAGACAGAGGGGACAGTGTCCTGTCACTGACACCTAGTGACTGTGAACACCCCAGAGCAGCCCCACCCGATCGCGGATGTGAGTCCAGAAGGAGTCTGGAGACACAGCCCGAACTGCCCTGAGCCCAGGGGCAGAGGAAGCCCCAAGCCAAGGCCAGCAGAAGAGAACGAAGAGCAAGCCAGAGAGAGGACCACAGTGGAGATGAAGAGATGGGATAAGCTGGGGACAGCCCAGGTGGTGGGAAGTTCTGGAACCCCATGGCAAAGGTTCTAGGAACACGGAGGAACTGAGCAGAGCCCGCTGAGGCAAGATGGCCTCCTGCAGTCATGGAGGGCCCAGGCGCCCGGGCAGTGAGTGCTTTGAAAGGCCAGGCTCATTGCCGCCCTGCACGTGTGGCCACAGCCACCGGGCTTTGTGTTGGGGCCTCTCATGGTTGCTGCCTCTGGGGGACTCTGTCCTCAGACACAGGGTCCCGCAGGGGAATCATCCTGAGAGCTTCCTGGGGCCCCTGGAACCCGGAGTCCCGCTGAGGGCTGGGGTGCCGCTGTTTGCTTCTCCAAGGGGTGGGCTGGAGGTTGCTCACTCATACTGGCTCATGGCCACCCGGCCACACCACCGGCTTCCTCTTGGAATCTTACGTGTTCTCACCCAAGGGGAGGCTGGAGTTTCTCATTTTCCCTGGGGCCTGACCGTCCTCATGTGGGATGAGAACTGGGCTAGACTCCCCAGTCCCCCAACCCCCAGGAATGGTACTTTAAACCAGGAGAGCTCAGCCCTGCTTGGGGTCATTCCTGGGACAGGTCATGGAGGGTGGGTTCTTTGTAGCTCCTGCTGCGTCCCCAACCCACCGCCAGCAGGGATGGCCTCAGCTGGGCTACTTACAGTGATGGAAGACACTTTTGGCTGGCCGGAACATAAGCCCAGCACAGGGTGGACACGGCACAGGAAAACATGGTGGCACATGAGGGCAGGATGTCATGGGGTGGTGATGATGGCACATGGAGTGGCGGTGTCCCAAGATGATGTCACACACAGAGCCAGGAGTGAGGGATGTGATGAGAGAAGGCCACGCAGGGTGAGATGTGAACAACGATGCTTCAGGGTCACCTATCCCCACTGTCACCCACCCCACAGGGAATGGTCTCACGTTAGTGGACCAAAATGCCACTGCTCTTCAGCACATGGCCCTGCAGCTCCGTGCACTCACCCTCGGCCCCTCTGTCGTACCAGGAGCCCCAGACACTCCACTCCAGCAGGAACCTGTCAGACACAGGACTGAATCTCGGAGACCTCTGAGCCCTCCCGACTTGGGTTCCCAAGGAGCTGGAGTATCCCTGACAGCCCCCGGCCCATCCCCTCTCCTCCAGGACACCCTCTTCCCTGCTTGAGGGCTCTGGTTGAGCAATGAGGTCCCTCCCAGGGGCAGCATGCAGGGAAGAGGTGGCGTCCATGCCCAGGGATTGTGCCCTCCTTCCCCGGGGTCTGGTAGCAAGTGGGTTGTCCTGGAGACCTTGCAGCCTCCTGCTCAAGGACACCCTCCTAAGCCACCCTCGCATGCAGCCCTCCACCAGCCCCGTGTCTACCCCCACTCACAGCACCAGCTCCTGCAGCAGCCACCTGGTCGCCGTCAAGAAGGCAGAAATTGGCTGGGAAGGAGAGAGTGCACACCGCTCGCACCTAGGTCCAAGGGTGAGGGTGCCCCCCCCCCACCACCAGCACCACCCTCAGAGAGACCAGAGAGTGGGCTGCCCTGCCACTGGGAGCAGGGGCAGCAGAGCACAGGCCAGCAGCCCAGCACCCCCCATCCCCCCACCTCCCACCTGCCCTGCAGAGCTGAGCTAGCTGGGAAATGCCTATTGCAGGTCAGACATCTCGGGTGGGGTTGGACATGCCCCTCCAGGAGACGAGTCAAGCCCTCATCCTGGTGCTGCACTGCTGAGGATCCCTGGTGATCAAGCGGCAGTGTCAGGGGCTGAGGCTGGGGCAGGCTGCTCTCTCTGTCTCCGCCAGAGGCACTGTTGTGTCACAACTACCAGAGCAGTCCCTCTGAAGCCCCAAAGCCAGACCCAGAGGCCTGCCTGGGAGTGGGACTGAGAGCAGTGGCTCTGAGCAGAAGATGGAGATGGTCAAGGTAGGGCCCTGGGGCCAGACACCCAAGGTGGGTGAGAACAGGGACCAGTGACCTCATTCCAGGACAGGGCAGAGGACTGGCTGGCTGGCTGGCAGAGGGAAGGGCTGGGTGACACTCACGCTGACCAGGGGCTGGGCTGCACTGTGGTGGTGACTCGAGGGTTTGCACATGGCCTGATAGTCATACATAGTCACTCTGAAAATCAGAAGCGGGCTGTGATGAGTCCAAAGCCACCCCCACCCCCTGCCCCTGCCTCAGGAGGCTTTACTAGCAGAGCATCCGTTTACCGCAATTCCCAAGGGCGCCTGAGCTAGGACAGCAGATCAGAATACAGCTCATGCTGAAAATTACATTTCTGCACTTGGAATGGTTTAAAGACAATGAAGAGCAAATGGCTTTTGCCCTCGGAGTTGGACGGTTTTCCCTCTAGGGTCTGAGCTGCGGAGCCCCTCCCAGGGATGCCCACATGCCCTTACGCCCTCCCCACATCATGCTGACGCCCTGGCTCCATAAAGGTTGCTTTTGCAGCTCTTTGGGGGCACCCACTGTGGGTTTTGGAGGTCAGGATCCTGAGATCCGCCAGGACCACTTAGCGTCAGCTCTCGGTTTGCTGTGTCTATTTGGACTGGGGAGGAGTGTGCCCCACTTACTGGCTGAACACCCCCATGCTGAGCAGCTGGGTCAGGACAGCACCATCCACCTCCCCCAGAAATCTTCCCGTCTGTGAGAGAGGGACAGCAGAGAGAGAGGGAGGGAGAGAGATGGAGCAGGATGGAGCCTTCCGAGTCCAGCACTATTTATTCAGCTCAGGTCGAGGCTTTTGGTGCCAGTTGGGCTTTCCCTCTGACTGCCTCTCAGCATAATCCAGCTGAACCCTTCCACCCACGCCCCTGTCCGGTCCTGGCTCCCTCCTCACCGTCCAGCCTGGTGCTTCCTCAACTGGAAGGAGTCACCCGCTAGCTGACTATGAGACCAACGTAGAGGCTGCAATGTGATTTTTTTAATGGTACAGAATTCCTTGGAACAATTCTGTGTGAATCACTTGCAGCAAGGTTAAAGAATGTTTTATGAAACTGGATTTGTTTTATATGCTGTGTGTGTGTGTGTGTGTGTGTGTGTGTGTGTGTGTGTGTGTGTTGGGTCAGATATAAAACACGTTTCTGCAGGTCAAGGTCAGAAGCAGCGCCTGTCTCATGCACGCTGGTGTCCTCATCTTCCCAGTGTGAGAGGGCTGCTGTGGCTTTTGCTGTCCCTCCATCACCTCCCACAATCAGTGTGCCCTGTGGATCGGTCATTTGTCCCCTCCATGACAATGACCTAACCGGATCCCTTGCCCTGTCTCCATTGCCCACCTGCCCTCCTAACTGACCTCTCCTCTTGTCCCTGTGGCACTGCCAGAGTCATCTTACTCAAATGCAACATGGATGGGTCACTCTTGCCTTCATTTCCAAAAAATAAAACAGGACCCTCCCTCCTGCCCCCGGCTCCCCTTTTGTTGTCCATCAGCCAGCACTTTGTGGCTTCTGTGCCCTGTGCCAAGCAGCGGCCCCCTAGCTGGCTGAGAATGGCCTCAGGCCCTCCACTCTGCCACCTCTCATGGCCTCTGTACCTGCCTTGGCCTCTTGAGTCTGCCATTTCCCAGCATGTCAGGGTGGCAGAGCTTGGGCTTTGGTGTTGGATTTCGACTTTAATGTAGGCTGTCTTTAAAAATTGGGGATAGCGTGTGTCCGGCGTGTGGCTCCCAGTAAATACTTGAAAAATGGCAGCCATCGTTAGGAGGAGAGGTCCGGGGTCCGGCTTGGCTGTTCTCCCTGCCGATTACCCTTCCTCTGTCCTCATGCCAAGGAACTTCTTTCCTCACCCTCGCTGGGAAGTCTTTCTATTCTAACTTTCCCAGCCAGAACAAGGCCTTCCTCTGCACACCGGCAGCCTGTGGAGTCCTAGTCTCACTCTGCCTGATAAGATATTTGGTTGAAAACTGTATGAGAACAGGACCATGTCTTACTCATCTCTGAATTCCCCAAAGTGTCTTGGTACCTGGACATACTCAGTCAGTGTGGAATGTTGATAGGGAAGGGAGGTGGGAACCAAGCTGATGGCCACGTCAGGTTCTTCATGGAGAGCTTTCTAGCTGCCAGGGCCCAAAATGATGACATGTGTGATAACTACCAATAAAAAGAAATGCAAGGCTGGTACAGGAGCTGAGGCACATGGGCCTGGCCAATCTCAAGGAAAGCCAGGCATTGTCTGGGTGCCCACCTGGGGCCTGCCCTGGGCAGCCAAGTAGACTCCAGCAAGCCTTCTGAAGGGAACAGAGATGTATTCCAGACAAGGGCTAGGCAGAACGCACAACTCCTGAACACCCAATGAACAACCAGAGAAGTTCTCTCTCAAATAAGAGATGATGGTGCAGCTTCAGGACAATAACCCCAGAACTGTTATGCCCATGGTTCATAATGCTGTGACTTATAATCAGCCAATATGGGGCCACAGGTCCCCAGATGCGCCCACACCAGGAATCTGGGATGGAGTCAGGAAGTATTACTTTCCAAATTGGACTTAAATAACAAAACATAGTCCTTACATCCTACAGTATTTCCTGTGTAAGTGGAAATGGCTGACTTATAAAATTAAAACGTAAGGATGCAACCCACTAAAAATGCATGGCAAATTGTAATCTAAAAATGGAGGGTCAATTACAAAAGTAAGCAGCAGGAAAACAGATTCAGACAAAGGTGCTCACACTTGTCTGTCTACACTCTGCTAGTTCTTTACCTGGAATGGCCTGACCACCAAAAACTATTTCATAATACCTTTTATTCATAAGGCACTCACCAGGTGAGTCTGATGCAAAGATGAATGAAATGGACACGAATCAAGAGCTTCAGACTAGTTTGCATGGACAGGCAGGGAACACACAAACTCTCAGACATGGCTGGCTGAAAACCGGCACCTCCTACGGTGGTGGAAAGGAGTGGCAACCTAAAGCCCTGGCAGGCTGCATGAAAGAAGGCAGTGGACATGGCAGCGGGACAGCAGGGAGGGTCAAGGGCATTCCAGGGACACAACAGCACATGGGAATGTGAAAGACATTGAAATCCTGCCTGTTCTTCACGGCGCAGCCCTGAAGCTCTCCCTGGTGCCTCCAGCTGGAGTAAACTCTCTCAGCTGGGGCTCGCTTTTTGCTATTCTAGTTACTGTGTGTGTGTGTGTGTGTGTGTGTGTGTGTGTGTGTGTGTGTCCCCTCCGTCACCCCCTCACCTGACAGCAGGATTCTAGGGGACAGAAATCCACTTCTGTCCCACAGCACCACACCATGTCCTGTTCACAGTTATTATTCCATGCATATTTGCTGAAGGAATGTGTGAGGGAATGAATGACCCGAGTCTTCTGCTCCCTGGGAAAGTGCAGCGGGGTGCAGACAAGGCTTCTGACGAGGCTGGTCTTAATTCCTACAAACCTGTCCCATTCTCCTTCCTAATTCTAGGCTTATTCACCAACAACCCTGTGGTTTAGACCCTGGATTCTGAGAAGAGAGGTCCCTGAGAGCAAGGATGTGTATCCTGGACACTAGAAAAATGTATCCCCCTCCATAAATTACTAGCTTGATTTTTCTAGGATTTGTCACTCTGGCAGAAAATATCCATTCTCCCCGTCTTCTTTAGTTAGGCAGCCTGACTTTAATTATGGCAGCCATGTGCTCAGCGAAAAGACTACATTTCCCAGTAGCCCTTGCGGCAGGGACTGGCCAATGGAATGTGAGCAGAGCCGCTGGGAGGGACTTCCGGGAAGCGGGCCCAAGGCCTCCTGCCTCTTCCCCATCCTCGCTCTTGCGCTCTGGGAAGTGGACTCGAAGGCAGGAGCCCCTCCAGCTATGCTGGGATCGTGCGGATGGGGACAGGCTGGGCCCAGGCTGCCTTCATCCATTCTTTTATGAGAGAATAAACCTTTAGTTGTTTAAGCCACTTCTCTTCTGGCAGCAGAACACAATTCCTGGCTGATAGTTTCTTTTGAACTTTGTCAGGGCAAATCCCCGACTCAAATACAGTCCCTGAACCTGCAAAGCGAAGGTCCAAACGTCGACGTGGGATGCCTTGTCGATTTAGGAGCCCCAGACCGCCCGTGGAGTGGCACCCAAAGCATAGCACGATGCAGGGGCCTGACCACCCCAGCCCCCCTTTCATGGGGGACAATTCACAAATAAGCAGTGGCCCGTGGGCTGCCTGAACTCTGGGGCTGGGTCAAAAGAGTCGAGGACCCCCCCTGCCTGGCCTTCGAGTCTGGAGGGAGGCCAGGAGGAGGAGGTCCTGTGAGCACCACCCAGAAGCCTGCGGGGGAAGCAGATGGGGGCAGAGGCAGGCGACCAAGTGATGAGAGGTTGGGTAGTCCCTCCCAGGCCTGGACTAATTTGCAGGGCTGTGGGAGGCTGTGCCCAGAGAGAAGGGGTGCTCTTGACTCTGATGACAGATGGAGTAAATGTCCCATGGCCTCCTTACCTGGGGACAGCCTCCGTTTCTTCTCTAAAGATGGGAGCTCATCCTCCTAAGGGGTGTGGACACTCAAGTCCCTGTGTCTGGCTCGGGTCGGGATCAGTTTCCTTTTGTCTGCTCCTGGCTTGTGCAGCCTCACCTGCCCCTCCGTCCTCCAGGCTGCAGTCTCTTAAGGAGTGTTTTGGACACTCAGGGGTGCCTGGGAGGTACGTGGAGGAGCGGGGTGGGGGTGGGGCAGCACTGCACTCCCCAGAAAGCCACCTGAAGAGCCTGCCTCTGACCACGACAGGATTAATTCTATTCCTGGAGGGCCCAGTGGAGCAGGGCCATTTGGGACGCCAGGAAGGTAGAAGGAGCACCGCTGCCAGGGCATGTGGTGTCCCGGAAGATGGCCAAGGCAGGCTGCCCAGAGTGGAAAGGATGGCAACACGTGCCAGGCTGGGATAGTGACTTGAAGATGAGGAGCCTGGGCTGGGCGGGCCGCAGGCGGCAGGGAAGGTGAGAGGGATTCAGAGAAACAGGAGCCGAGGCCCAGAAAGGCATGCCTGATGCCCCCTGACGACAGAGAGGGATGCCCTGCTCTGAGGGCCTGCCTGGTCCGGCTCACTGGGCTGGGGTGTGGAGGGAGCAGGGTGCTGTGCTCTGAGAGATCCAGGTCCCTCAGGGAAAGGTGCTGGGATGGGGCCTCGGATTTTCTAGGCTGCAGTTGCTGCCCCTTGAAGATCCACTTTGAAGCTTCCATGGGTGGGTGCCGCCCAGAAGCAAATGACAGGAATCGGAGTCCCCAGATTCAGGGTGACAGATCCACTATAAATATTACAAAGCTCCACAAAGCCACTGTCATTGCCTGTCCCCAGCTGTCTGCTTCTCTTTCTAGGCCCCACATCGAGGGTTGCAATCTTGTCATCCATAACTCTTATAAGAATGAGCCCTGGCCTGGAAGAGAGGCCAAATGTCTAATCAGCAGGCCTGGAACACCGCCGGTGCCAAGAAAGAGCCAAGCAGCCACTCCCTGGGGCTGGCTGCAGATGAGGCCCTTGTGGTTTCCCCACTCACTGACTACGGGGAGGAGGGTGTGCAAGGACTTTGTCTGGGAAGAATCTTTGCATCTGTAGCTCAACAGGCTTCTCTCTCCAGGCCCCTGGGTAAGCCCTAGCAGGGACAAGGAGTCGCTGGAAGCCTTTGACATATTTGCCTAGTCAGGAAAGTGACAGCAGCCAGCTAAAGTGCATTGAGATCCACAGCAGCCAGGAGGCCTGGGGAGGGTTCTCAACCCACCATGCACCCAGTCACCTGGAGGGCCCCTTTGAGCAGACTGCCAGACCCCAACCCCAGAGTGCTTGAGTCCCTAGGTCTGGGGTGGGACCCTGGCAAATCTGCATCTCTAACAAGCTCCCAGATGCTGGGGCTTCTGTCCTTCAGCCACACTGGAGGCCTAGAGATAAGCAGGGAGGAGCAGTGAGGAATGAATGAGTTAGGGGAGGCCAGGCCCTGTGGCCCTCGATGGCACTTGTGTGTTTGGGGAAGAGGGGCAGGTTTGGGTCGGTTGGTGGGAGTTGGTGGTGGGCAGACTCTAAAGTGGTTCACAATGATCCCGGCCTCCTGGGAGTCCTGCCCTTGTGTAAGCCCCTCCTCTTGAGTATAGGTTGGACATAGTAACTTGTTTCTAGCAAGCAGAATATGGTAAAAGTGATGGGGTGTCGCTTCTGACATCAGGTTTCAAAAGACTGTGACTTCCACCTTGGTTTGCTCGGTCTGATGAAGGAACTTTGAGCTGTGAGCTGCACTGTGAACTTTGCTGTGAGCTGCCCTGTGATGGGAGAGGAGGCCTCCGCCTCACAGCCCTGGAGGACCTCAATGCTGCCAACGTGTGACCAGATGCAGATCCTTCTCCAGTCAAGCCTGGACATGACATGACAGCAGCCCTGGGGACCTTGATGCTGTGGCCTGTGCAAGACCCTGAGCCAGCCGCACCCAGATCCCTCACCCACAGAAACTGCCAGATTTTAAGTCTTCTGCTTGTAAGCCACTCTTTTTGCCATAGTTTGTGTGCAGCAATAGATAACTGCTCTAGAGTTGTTAAATGAGTAAGTTTTTTTAAAAACAGCAAAAACAGATGGACGGACAGAGGGTCGGACAGCTGAACAAATGGCATTAGCCCCAGACTCTCCGCCGCCCTGTCTTCCACTCATCTCCCAGTCTAGCGCCTGCTGCCTCCAGCCCTCACTCTCAGGCCAGTTCAGTTCTCCACACGGTTACCCAGTGTCTGCTGTGTGCCAGGCACCACACCAGGCAGGGTCTCTGGCCTAGTGCCCTCCCATAACCCGACACAGTTCAGGCTGCATGGTCAGAGCTGTCCAGAGTGAGGAAGGAGGAACTGGGCCCTGATCACAGTGGGGGAGCAAGGGTGAGCCAAGCACGGCGGGAGCGGGGGCCCCAGCAGGAGCCTCTAGAAGGTCAGTTCGTTTCTGCCCTGCTTCATTTCATGGAGGGTTTGGGATGGCATATAAAACTACACACGGGGTAAAAAGGTAATAGAATCATTGAGAAAATGGGGGTGAATGAGTTAAGTCAACAAATACATTATAAAATATAAATCTCTGAGTAATTGATTGCTACCACATCTAATCCAAACTTGTTCTCAGTGATTTTACAATCTGTGAAGACATGTGAGCAAATGTGGTCTGGACAGAATAGGACCAAAGTGGCCCAGTGGGTTATGAGAGGGTCCCTCGAGGGACCCTGGAGGGACCCTGGAGAGGCCACGTGCTCTCCAGCTTCTCTCAAGGCTGGGGTGGTTTCCCTCCAGGGCCGCCTCCCCGCACGGTTGTCCCGCTGCCTCTGGAGCAGGGGCTGGAAACTACAGCCCGTAGGCCAAGCCTGGCTCACTGTTGATTCATGTGAGCCCTTGATCTAAGACTGGCTTTTCCATTTTCAAGTGGTTGGGGAAAAAAAGTCAAAAGATTGATAACATCTCATGACACGTGAAATTTATATGAAATTCACATTTCAGTATTCAAAGGTTTTACTGGAGCAACGCCACCTGCATTTGCTCACAGATCGCCCATGGCTGCTTTCTTGCTACAACAGCAGGGCTGAGTCTCATGAAGCTCAAAACCAACATGTGCATCCGCCCCTTTAGGAAACGCTCGCCTACCCCTGCTCTTGAGCTTGCTCTCAGGCTTGGCCATCCTCTCCCTCTGTCCTGCCACCTCCCATCCCAGTGTCCAGGATGCAAGCTCTCTCTGGGATGCCTTAGCCCATGCTCCGGCCCTTGAAAGCCAACACCACGGGAGGCCTGGGGACACGGTCAGTCTCAGTCACCCAGGGCGAGAGGGGTCGGAGCACGAATGAGGGGGCATCAGTGATCCCAGAGCCTCACACCAACCACTGGTTTCAACTCTTATCATCACTGGTTTTCTCCCAGAACAACGGAAAAATACAAAGGTCCGGTGCTCTGTCTGGGGAGGAGTGAAATGACGAAAATGGGGCATGAAAGGGAGAAGGGGGAGGGTACCAGAGGCAGGCGCCCAGGTGACCGTGATGCTCAATTAGCTGTGTGTCCTGCAAAGCCCCGCCCACACTCCCACCAACAGGAAGTTGAACGAAACCATCTTTGGCTTCTCTACTCTTGTGGCTGAGAACTGCTGCTCGTTAAGTGGGTCATTTAAACACTACCCCAAGGAGTTAGATTTCATGACCCACTGGTGCCCCTTTGTCCTCACTTGCCCTCTTTCCCAAGTCTCCTTCCGACATCCCTGCTCCAGTTCCTGCCCTGTTCCGACGACTTCTTTGGATCCGAAGCCGCATCCCGGTCAGGCCAGACCACAGCCCTACCATGCGTGGAGGTGGCCTTGGCCACGACCTCTGCATCAGCCTCCACATCCCAGGAACTTAGAGCCCTCAGCTGGGGCTGGCTTAGACACTGTGTAGTCCAGCCCCCGGCGAGACACAGCTAATGGAAGTCGCTTGCCCACATCACGTTTCTAATTAGTAGCAAAGCTCACACAGAACCAAATACTATGCCCCTTTCCCCGAGGCTCAGGCAGGAGGCGGTTCTGATGCTTCTGCCTTGCTTCAAGGAAATACATCTGGTGAATATATCTGGATTTGCTTCAGGTTTGAATGGGCTTCTTTCTCAGTTTGATTCCTGGCTAAAGGAATAATCCATTTTGAGGCCCCTTTTGGAGCCCAGCAAGTATAAAAATATTATTGTACTTTCTCTTTTTCCTTTCTGAGCACATGCTGGGTTCAGGGAGATACCCACAGCCAGCGGGGGCGGGGGGAGGATTAGGATGTGCAAGCCAGGCATTCAGGCGAGAAAGCATCGCGTCCATCCCCCATTTCTTCTCTGACACACCGAAGGCCGGGCGTGGTGGGTGAGAGTATAATTTTCCATAAGGTCCAGACAGGACAAGAACATGAAGTGGGGAAGCCATGTCTTCTGGGCCCCACAATGGTAGAAAGGCAGGCGGGGGTTGGGGAATGATCTGATAAGTGAGTGTGCTTGGATCCTTGTGGGGAGGCCCCGAGTGAGGCTGGGCCAGTGTGGCCAGGCAGGGCCCTGAGATGGGGTCACTGAGTGGCTCCTACCAGGCACGGGAGGAGGCCAGGCTAGTGACAGATAAAATGAAGAAGTAATATTTTCTCTGACTCCCTGAGTTGAAAAGTGCTCCAAATTCTGCCTTCTTGCTCTGTTGACTTTGGTGTCAGAACACCATGTTCTTCAGACCTTTCACCTGAATTGGCCCCGAACAGGGTTCCCTCCTGGGGCCGTGGGGCTCTCTTTAGCTGGAGTGGCTGCCCAATGTCTCCAGTCCTCCTGCCGCCCTCTCCCCCTCATTCTATATCCCCAGTGACTCACCTCTCGGGACCTCTTGGAGATCAGAATGAACCCGTTGTTGTCGATGACGAAGCAGTCCAGATCCTGGGAGGAAACCCAGAAGGGAGGTTATGCCAGGGCCCTCACCCACCCCGGTCCTCCAGCCTGTCCCCCAGCTCTGGAAGGCAGCGTGGGAGCTTCACTGCAGGGAAGGAGGGCATTTGGGAGAGGGAAGCTGGCCTGCCAGGAGGACCGGGCGGAGGGCCATGGCTCCCTCCTCCACCTTCCTCACACGGGCAGAACTTACACTGTCCTCGCAGCTCTGTGTGCACGGCCCATCCACAGTGCTGCACTGGAAGGAAGAGGAGAGACTGAATGTGGACACTGCATGTGTAGTAGAAATGGCACGTGTAAGTGGGAATGCTGTGTGTGTGGTACGTCTGCAGTGTGTGTGCATGTGTGCATGGGGTGTGTATCTGCACATGGAGGGCACCTGTGTGGGGTGTGGGTGTGGGATGTGTGTGTCGTATGTGGAGAGCACGTGTGTGAGGTGTGTGCATGTGTGTGTCTATGTGTGGGGTGTCTGTACGTGGAGGGCACATGCGTGTGGTGTGTGTTAGCATTGTGTGCGTGGTATGCATGTGGTATGTGGCCTGCGGGTGCTGCATTCGGCAGGCCCTGGGTGGTGGAAGGGCCCAGGTAGCCCTTCTAGAGGTGCAGGCTCTGCAGCCCCCAGGCCTCGTTGCTGGTGTGGGGAGGGGACTTTGTGGGCTCTGTGGGGCTCCTGCACTGGCTGTCTGGTTGAGGCGGTGGGTGACCGCAGCCCCCTGCCCTCCATCCCTCTCGATTCACTCTTGGGCTCCCTGCCCTTGCCCAGAGTCAGGCGGCAGCAGCAAGTGATGGGGGCCGAGGGGCTCGGCGTTGCAGGAGATTGAGGCTGAGGGAGCTTGAGGGAGATGAAGGGGGCAGCTCAGAAGCCCAGAGGGACCTGAGGGCTCTGGGGAAGCAGAGGGGAAAGGAGCCAGTAGAACGGACAGGACGAGGCCAGGCAGAGCTGGGAATTCTCAGCCAGAAGCCGCTGTCGTCTCTGGCATCTCTTGCCAGCCATCAGGGCCTGGACCCCGGACCTTGGACGGTGGATCGAGGTGGCTCTCCCTTTTCAGCGGGGAGGCATGCCAGTGGCTTTGGAGTGGCGAGAAGGGGTGACTCTGGGTCGTGCCCTCAGCACTGGGCTGGCAGGGGCTGGGGACCAGCGCTGAGGCCCGGCCTGCAGGCTGGGGAGCTGAGGGGCTGAGAAGTGTAGGGGCCGGGAGGGCATCCTGAGAGCCTCAAGGCAGTGGAGCATCCAAGGGGAGGGAGAGGGGGTCTCACACCCAGGGGAGCGTGGTGAGTCCCCAGCCCCGACCTGGCCCGACATCACACCTACCTGCCGCGTTGCCGCCCAGAATTTGCGCTGGAGGAATTCCAGCTTCATTTGGACGCCCGCGGCTACAGGGCAGAAAGAGAGAGGGCAAGGCCAGGGAAGAGACGGGGAGAGAAAAAAATAGAGTCAAGTTAAAGAGAGGAGGTGCTTCCGCAGGAACTGAGGAGAGAGACCGCAGCGGATGGGAGGACTGAGTCAGAGGGCAGAGTGCAAACTGGGGTTTCTGGGGAGTGGGAGGGGTGGGGGAAGAACAGAGACGGCAGCCTCTCTCGTTCCCACTGGAAGAAGAGCGACAGAAAATGCCCAGCAGTGATGAGGCTCCCATTCCAGAAAACAACGAGGGCAGATTCATCCTAGATCTCTGGGAACTCAAGGCCGGTGGATGGGACAGCTCAGTCTCCCCTTTCCCATAGATGGGAATATAGAGGCCAGAGAGACCCACCCTTTTGACCAAATCACGTGACCAAGAGTGGCACCCTGGAATTCAGGGCCGTTGCCCTAGCAACTCATGGGCTCCTTGGATCTTAACCTGGTGTAACCATTCCTTTCATACCCTCTGTCTGCTCAGGATCTTCCCTGCTTTATAAGGAGGCTCTTTTCCAGCTCAAAGCCAGGTTCGGGTTTGCCCAGGGCTGCAGGTGGGTTCCAGGAAACTACAGGCACCACCAGCTGGCAAATAGTTCTCTTTTGATGACTGTGCTTACAAGGGCCACCCCTGACTTTCTGGTTCCCAAATAGGCTTGGAGAACCCAAGCAGGTGCTCACATATCCAGAGAAATCTGGGACAAAGAGCTCCAGGAAAACTTGGGGCCAATGAATAGAAAGAAGAGGCAGGTTATATTGAAAAGAAGAAGAATTTCAAAACTAGGCCAGCTTCCTAGTGTCTGGTATAATAATATCAAAACTGCGCTGGGCGCTTAGAACGTGTCCAGCACCTCACATGCATGAGTGTATTGAATCCCACAGCAGGCCAGTCCTATTATTATTCTGACTTTCCAAGCTGAAGAAATGGAGACTTTTCAGAGTCACATGGCTTGCCCAAGTCACCAGCTTGTTAATCACAGAAGCAGGACTGCAGCCTGGGCCTGTCTCTCCCTGAAGCTGCCTCCTCTCTGGACCTGGACTGAGTCCTGGTGATCGGGAAGGAGCGGCGGGCACAGGCAAGCCGCTGTCTGCTCAGGCTCGGGTTTCCTCATCTGTGAAACGGGAACGGATGTGGCTTCTTAACCATTACGCTGTGTCCGTCACAGTCATTCTCACTTCTCGAGTACCCAGTTGGTGGGAGTTCCAGTATGGCACAGAGATACAGGATTGTGTTTTTGTTTTTTCACTCTGGAATGATCTTAGAGAAATTTGATGGGAAAAATGAGAGCAGGGAAGGGTCAAAGGCCAGAGGTCCAGCCCTGCATTTTCCAGGGTTGTGATCTTTGCGTTTCGTCTCCTCAGCTGCAAGATGAGTCACGGTTCTACTTCCCCTGGAAGGGCAGAAGTTGCATAAGATTGTTGAGGCTCAAGCGAGATAATGTGTGAGGCTGTTACTCCAGACTAGAGCCTTGATTTTTAAACTTCAGCGTGCATCAGAATCGCCTGGAAGGTTTGTTAGAACCCCGCCCCCAGAGTTTCTCCTTCAGGGGGTCCAGGGTGGGCCTGAGAGTTTCTGAAGTGTTCCCAGGGGTTGCCGATGCTGCTAGTCCAGGCACTATATTTAGGGAACCCCCGTCCTAAAGCCTCACCAATTGAATCTCCTAAGATGATGAAGATGGCCTACATCTGTGCTGTCCTAAACGGTAGCCAACAGCCACACGTGGCTACTGAGAACTCGGAGTGTGGCTAGCACGCCTGAGGACCCGAATTTAAAAAACAGTTAATTTTAATTAACTTAAATTTAAATAGCCACGTATGGTTGGTGGCCAGCGTTTTGGACAGTGTTGTTCTAGAGCTCATCTGAGTTTGCAGATGAAGAAACCGAGGCTTTGAGAGGTACCTCCCCTCCCTTGGAGTCTCATGGCAATCCTGGGGTGGTGCTCCGGCTGGCTGGCCTTCTTGAACAGGTCCTGTGATATGGGAACATTTGAGTGCTTTGGGGGTGTCTTTGTTGCTTTGAGTTCCAGGTAGCTGAAAGGAGTGGGCTGGAAGGGGACGGGGAGACCCATTTGCTGGCTCATGACAAAGATGAGAGCTGCAGACACAGCGCACAGCGGCAGGTGAGGTGTGCTCAGGGCCTAGCATGGCTGTGCTCCTCCTCCCGCTCATGTGCCCCTCTAAGGTTGCGGGGACCCCTCGGTCTCTTCTCCTTCTTTTCCCTTATAAGACCACCCTAGACATTCATTTTAGACAGATTTCTTTCACCTGTAGGAAAAGGCTAAATGAAAGAGGATCATCAGAGCGAATCACGCTACTGCTCAGAATGACCAGCTCTTCGGGATTGAAGAAAGCTTCCTTCATCCTGTCCTTGGCCTCCGTGGTCAAAGAGGTCTCACATTATTCCTAGAATGAGACTCTGCCTTTCCATTTGATGGCTCAGTGTCAAGTCGCATAGAATCATGAGATTTCTGAGCTGGAAGGAATTCTACGATTCTAACATGGGGAGTCTGGAGAGGGTGGGGGTGTAGGTGTTGAGGCTCCTTGGGCAGAAATGGGGGGAGCAGGGCACAGAGCATATTTTCCCCCACTTGGTTCCATTCCAGGCTCCTCCAAGCCAAGCTGTGTGTCTTGCCCCGGGTGTCCTTTGCGAAATTTAGGGCATTGCAACCGCCTATTGGCATGTCATCTGCCCTTGGGTCACAGAGCGCTAATGAGTGCGTTTTACAATCCTCTTGTAAGACAAAAAAGTTCTGCAAGTCCCCACTCGACCCAAGAAGTCCAGCTGGCTTCAGCTCTCACTTTGAACTTAGCGTGTTCTCCCCCAGACCTGACCCTCCTTGAGACTTCTCCATTTCAGGACACATTTTCTATCTGATTGCTATCACTTTCCCTCCTCCCATCCAACGTCTGCACACCTCAGTTCCAAAACTTTATAAATCTGTCCGCTTCCCTCCATCTCCACCGTTACCACCCTTGGCCAAGCCAACATTGCTCTCACTTGGATTAATGCAAGCACCCCCGAACTGGCCCCCGCCTTGCATCCTGCCTCTCTCTGATCCATTCTCCACATAGAGTGGATCTTTCTGAAGATCAAATCACACCACTCCCTGGCTTAAAACCCTCTAATGTCGTCCCATTGCTCTTTTTTGTTTGTTTTGTGTTTTTGAGACAGAGTCTCACTCTGTCACCCAGGCTGGAGTGCAGTGGCACAATCTCAGCTCATTGCAACCTCCACCTCCCAGATTCAAGTGATTCTCCTGCCTCGGCCTCCCTAGTAGCTAGGATTACAGGCGCGTGTGATACCATGCATGGCTAATTTTTGTATTTCTAGTAGAGATGGGGTTTCGCCATGCTGGCCAGGCTGGTCTCAAACTCTTGACCTCAAGTGATCCACCTGCCTCAGCCTCCCAAAGTGCTGGGACTACAGGCGTGAGTCATTATGCCTGGTCCCCATTGATCTTAAAATCTAAACTTGCAAGATGGCCACAGGAACTGGCTCTGCTGATTTCTCTGATTTCATCCAGAAACACTTCACCTCTCAAACATGTTAAGCTCATTCTCACCCCAGGGCATTTGTACCAGCTGTTCTCTCCTCCTGGAATGCCCTTCCCCTAGAACTTTACATGGCTGGCTCCTTCCCATCGTCAGGTCTCAGCCCAATATCATCTCCTAGAGTGGCTGTCCCTGGCCTCCCGAGATAAAGCCAGCCAGGGGGACCTCCCTCACTTTCACTCTCTACCTTATTACTTTTTAAATTTTCTAAGTGACATGATTTGTTCATCTATTTGATTTCTCATTTATTGTCTGTCTGGGGCTAATAGCAGGCAGGGGATTGAGTTTTGATCCCCAGCACCTAGAATCGTACCTATCACAGTGTGACTCCATAAATTTTTCTTGAGCTACGTAAGCAAATTCAATTTGAGCCAGCCACTTGACGGGGAAGCCGAATTCTACCAGGTCTCACTGTCCCTTCCCTCCCAGCTTCAGGGGCCTTGCTGACCTCCTTCCTCTCCATTTTGCTGTGCCCTCTCACTGTCCCTGAACTTGAGATCCTGGAGGTTTAGCTGTGCTCTGGGTCCCTTGAAGACTTCGGAGGCAATCCACTAAGAAATGGGGATTTAAGTGAGACATGAAGAAGAACTTCCTTATGGCAAGAACTATAAGATGTTGAAGACAAGACACAGTATTGGGAGTAAAGGCGGTGAGGCACGGAAATATATTTACCAGTGAGTCAACGGTGTTCTGCCGTGCCCAACCGCTTGCATCCCCTGGCTTGCATCATATTGAATCCTTCTGTCAACTGCAGTCCCACAACCCAAGTTGTGCTTTTCCACTCCAGACACCCAGGGAACCGAGTCTTCTCCCCCAGGATCCCTGCTCTGCTCGTTCAGGTGAGTGGTTACTTGCGGGGAGGACTGCCCTTCCTCCCATCATCTCCTGCTAGCCAGCTGTGTGCAGGAGACAACACCTTATGATATTATGTTTGCAGACAAGCTCACACCTTTCGGTGAAGAGAAATTCAGGCAAAGGGCCCGAGGGAATGCAAAGCACTCGGCTTTTCCTGTTGCTTTCCTGGGAGTTATCAGGAAAGCTTCCCTCATGCCTGTGCATGGTGGGCCCCTGTTTTAGACCCTGACCTTCGTCCCCAGGAGGGCCTGTCATGACCTGAAAGAGGAGGACAAATCTCAGACCCCTTCCTGCCCCAGCGGGCCTCCTGCCCCAGCTGACCTGGGTCCCTTCCCTCCCTCCTGTCCTCCCTCTCTGGGCTGTCCCTTGCCTTCCCTCTCTGCCCTGCCTCTCCACATTGATCTCGTGCCTTCCTCCCAAGCAGCTTTCCTGTAAGATCGCAGCTCAGCTCCGCTGGCAGACAACCTAACAAAGAGCCTCAATAAGGCCAGACCCGCAGGCGGCTTATCAAGATGTACGTCTTTGCTGTGCACACAGACTGTCACCTCGGTGCTGCTGTGTCATCACAGAAGGCAAAACCAAACAACTGTGCATGCACACACACATACATGCACACACATGGACACACACATATATGCACACACGGACACACATGCATGCACACACACTTGCACACACATACCCATGCACGCACACATGGACACACAGGCATACGCACACACTTGCACACACATGCATATACACGTGCACCATGCACATGCACACATACGTACACACACATGCACATACATAGCATGCACATGAACATATGAGTTTGCACACTGTTGAGTGCTGTGGTCCCAGGAGTCAGAAGCTCCAGCTTTGCCCTCCTAGCCCTTTATCTGCTTCTCTTTCCTCCTCCTCTGTCTTGAGAACCTAACCAGGAGACTGCGTGTTGCACGGGATAGGGACTGTGGGGCATGAGAGGGATCATCTTTTGTAACACAAGCTGAGGACCCGACAGGTGCACAGCGAATACTTAGGTCACAGAAGGCCAGTGCCAGAAGGGAGACCAGAGATCTCAACCCATCTCCTCATTCTGCAGGGCAGGAATCCCAGCCAGCACAAGGCCCAGGGCTGCTGAGTGAACTCACTAGCTAGCTAGTCACTGAGCAACAGAGTCTGGAGTCTGGGTCCCCTGATGCCCAGTCTTGAGCTCTTTCATGTCCTCCATTCCTCACTCAGTTGACACGAAGGCACTGGGGCCTGAAGGACACGGAACAGGTGAGGCCAGTCCCCCTGCTTGAACAGCTCTGTGTAGGAAAGGAGATGACTCCCTCTCCCCTCTCCCCTCTCCCCACGGTCTCCCTCTCCCTCTCTTTCCCCGGTCTCCCTCTGATGCCGAGCCGAAGCTGGACTGTACTGCTGCCATCTCGGCTCACTGCAACCTCCCTGCCTGATTCTCCTGCCTCAGCCTGCCAAGTGCCTGCGATTGCAGGCGTGCGCCGCCACGCCTGACTGGTTTTCATATTTTTTTGGTGGAGACGGGGTTTCGCTGTGTTGGCCGGGCTGGTCTCCAGCTCCTAACCGCGAGTGATCCGCCAGCCTCGGCCTCCCGAGGTGCCGGGATTGCAGACGGAGTCTGGTTCACTCAGTGCTCAATGGTGCCCAGGCTGGAGTGCAGTGGCGTGATCTCGGCTCGCTACAACCTCCACCTCCCAGCCGCCTGCCTTGGCCTCCCAAAGTGCCGAGATTGCAGCCTCTGCCCGGCCACCACCCCGTCTGGGAAGTGAGGAGCGTCTCCGCCTGGCCGCCCATCGTCTGGGATGTGAGGAGCCTCTCTGTCTGGCTGCCCAGTCTGGGAAGTGAGGAGCGCCTCTGCCCGGCCGCCATCCCATCTAGGAAGTGAGGAGCGTCTCTGCCCGGCCGCCCATCGTCTGAGATGTGGGGAGCGCCTCTGCCCCACCGCCCCGTCTGGGATGTGAGGAGCGTCTCTTCCCGGCCGCGACCCCGTCTGGGAAGTGAGGAGCCCCTCCGCCCGGCAGCCGCCCCGTCTGAGAAGTGAGGAGCGTCTCCGCCCGGCCGCCCCTACTGGGAAGTGAGGAGCCCCTCTGCCCGGCCACCACCCAGTCTGGGAGGTGTGCCCAACAGCTCATTGAGAACGGGCCAGGATGACAATGGTGGCTTTGTGGAATAGAAAGGCGGGAAAGGTGGGGAAAAGATTGAGAAATCGGATGGTTGCCGTGTCTGTGTAGAAAGAAGTAGACATGGGAGACTTTTCATTTTGTTCTGCACTAAGAAAAATTCCTCTGTCTTGGGATCCTGTTGATCTGTGACCTTACTCCCAACCCTGTGCTCACTGAAACATGTGCTGTGTCCACTCAGGGTTAAATGGATTAAGGGCGGTGCAAGATGTGCTTTGTTAAACAGATGCTTGAAGGCAGCATGCTCGTTAAAAGTCATCACCACTCCCTAATCTCAAGTACCCAGGGACACAAACACTGCGGAAGGCCGCAGGGTCCTCTGCCTAGGAAAACCAGAGACCTTTGTTCACTTGTTTATCTGCTGACCTTCCCTCCACTATTGTCCTATGACCCTGCCAAATCCCCCTCTGCGAGAAACACCCAAGAATGATCAATAAAAAATAAATAAATAAATTAAAAAAAAAAAAAAAGAGTCATCACCACTCCCTAATCTCAAGTACCCAGGGACACAAACACTGCGGAAGGCGGCAGGGCCCTCTGCCTAGGAAAACCAGAGACCTTTGTTCACATGTTTATCTGCTGACCTTCCCTCCACTATTGTCCTATGACCCTGCCAAATCCCCCTCTCCGAGAAACACCCAAGAATGATCAATAAATACTAAAAAAATTAAAAAAAAAAAAAAAAGGAAAGGAGATGAAGCAGACCACAGAAAGCTCCTGCACAACATGAGGGTGGCCCAAAGAGAATGCCAGAGATCGGAGGAGGAGCAGGGCCAGTCCTGTGGTGTTCCGGGGAAACGTCACCTTGCAGGGGGCGTTTAAGGAAGGGGGAAGCCACCCATGGGCAGGAGAGCATTTCAGGCCCAGGGAAGAACACGCTTTCATGGAGATGGAGAAGCAGGAAGTATGTTTATGGGGAGGTGGGAGCCTCTTTTGCTTGACAGTGGGATGTGTGGGAGGCACCAGCATGAGAGGTCAGAGGCGGGACTCCCCAGAGGTAAAAGACACTGCAGCTCAAGCCTTGTGCTGCCCGGGGACCCGGCAGAACGGACAGAAGGGAGTGAGCAGGAGCATCCTTCTAGGGGCATCCTGAGTCCAGGGGGTTCTTCTACACCCACCCCAGTCCTGGCTGTGAACCCCTCCAGCAAAGCAGGCAAAATGGAAGAGGGACATAGGACACGGTGATATATCGCTAGCACGGTGCTTCATCTGTCTACAGGCAGTGGACGCAAAGGAAGGGGGATTTAGGGTTCGTGCTCCAGGCTGGTGGGGCCCTGGCTCCCCTCTAGCTTGGTCCCTGACTCACTTGGCCTTCAGATCAGCCACTTCCCATCTCTTAGGATATCAATTTTTCTGACTTGCTTTGTCCTGATTGGTTAAGAAAGAGGCCTCCAAGTTCTTGAATGACAGTCTCTTCCCTTCGCATGCCTGACCCATCACAGATAAGAGCAAGGAGCCCTGAGAAGCCAAGCTCGTCCCTGGCACTGAGAACGGTCTGCAGGCTGCTGCTGCAGGCTGCCCTGTGCCCAAACTCCCAGCCTGCCAACTCTGGCATTCTGCTTCCCTAAGTAGTCCTGGCGTCGGGTGGTCAGACCCTGAGGCTCAGTGACCTCTGCATGACCATGTGATCCCTGGCTTTGTGGGGGCTCAGGGCCCTTTCCTGTAGGGTCATCTGGCACATGGACATGCCTGTGTACCCTTCTTTCGTATGACCGAGAGAAGGGTTCGGTTTTTCCTTCTCTCAGGCAGGATGGGAGACTCTGCCTCGCATGTCTCTAAAACAGGAGAAAGACCAGCTTCCCAGGGGGGCCTCCATCGGAACAGAAGTCAGCCGCTTGCTCTGTGTCTGCGCCTGTCCCTCTTTCCCCAGATGGAGGGGAAGAGAGGAGAGAGGCACAGAAGACAGGTGCAGCCGGGGGGGTGAGGGAGAGCCTGGAGGCGCAGGATGGAAGATGGAGGTGGTGGTGAAACCGCTTTCCTCCTCCCTGTGGTCGGCAGCGATTCATCCACAGGCGCCTTTTTCCACTGAAATGTGAGCGTGGCCAGGGTGAGCGCTGCCCTCGCGGCCGGCCGTGGTGCCTCTGGTGTGCGCCTGTGTGTGCTGCTGCCGCTGTCATCACAGATGCACCCCAGCTGTCACTCCCCGCTCCACTCTGGCTCGCTGCTCGCGCACACGCGTGCGCTCTCCTCCCTCGCCCCTTTCTTCCCTCTCTCCTCTCTCTCTCTCCCTCCATCCCTCTCTTTCCTTCTCAGTTTGTGACTGACCCAGCAGCCCCGTCCCCCGTCTGCCACAAGCAGTCCACCTCCTGGTGCTGTGTGCTGCGTGCCAGCCGCTGCTCCCGCTGAGTGGAGACTCTGGCACCAGTGCCCACTGCGCTCTGCCTGCCGGTGGTGTCTGGATTTCTATAGGAATCCCAGGAGGGTCTTACTGGAGGGTTGAGAGCCACCTGATTGAAGGCGTTTGCAGTCAGAGTAAAGACGGGTGAGTACCGAGTGGCTGGTAGGAAGGAATGGAGGGTTGGTGGGGACAGGGGGTGGTCGGGGCATGGGAAGTGGGCACCGGCCATCTCTGCCCTGCAGGAATAGCTGCAGTTGCTTCCTACCTGCAGGCAATTGCTGGGGCCGAAGAAGCTGCTCGGGCTCAGGCACCTGAGCATCCCAAAGGTGCACGACACTGGGAACTCTGAGCCCACAGTGCTGGGGACAAGAGCTGTGGATTCTGCTGGGAAGTGGGGAGGAGGGCAGCGCTGGCGCCAGATGACAGTCCCGGGTGGCATAGAAACCGGTCCCTGCAGCATGGGAGAAGCAGCCAAGAGCCTTGTGCTGTCGTTGTGCCCGGCTCTGCACAGACAGCCCCAAGAAACTCGGGGGTCATGGGAAGCGGTTGGGATGGCAGTCAGGTGCTGGGGACAGGGCCAGGTCAGAGGAAGGCTTGGGGTGGAGGGTGGCAGGGAGGAGGTCCTGGATGTCAGAGGCATGGGCACAGACCCAGGTCCTGGGCCTCCCTATAGCTTGCCTGCAGGTGGCTGTCCTTGGACAAGGGTGTGGAGGAACCCTCCCCCAGATGAGCATGGGCCCACTCAGCTGTGCATGAAGCCTCCCTGGTGAGGGTGAGGCTGGGAGTGGGCAGGAGAGAGAAGTATCGCAGCCCTTCCCTGCTAGCCCAAGGGCAAGACAGGAGAACCAGGCCCGCGAGAACCTGCTGGGGTGTCCCGCAGCTGTGCACCCAGCCGTCCATCTGCAAATGGGTCAGGGAGCCTTAGTGGGGGCTGGACACTGAGCTTGGGTGGGGGGTACACAGCGGGGCCAGGCCTGCCTGGCTTCTTGACCCACACAGGGGGCATGGACACCCTGAGTAGAGCGGGACAGTTGCTCTCAATCCCCCAGACCCATTTGGACAGTGCTGGAGAGAGGAGCAGCCTGACCAGGAGTCGGAAGTTCACATTCCTGCACCTCCCTGCAGGTCTGGGGCTGGGTTCCAGTTGGCGGCCCTGTCTCTCCCCCACCCCCAAGCTGTCCACATTTCTGGGGGGTGTTGGCACCCGGCTGTCAGGGCTACTTGGGCAGTGTCTCTTTGTGACTCAGATGACACCCCTGCAGCTTAGATAACTGCCTCAGGTGGGGGCGGGGAGGGAGCCGAGCACGTGGAGCTGAGGCGGGGGAAGTCCAGCTGGTAGGGAAACCCGACAGCAGCTTCCGAGCTGCCAAGAAGAGCCCAGCTTTTCCCACCCCCACCTCCCCACCGGCAGAAAGAAAGTCTCAGCACTGCCAAAAGAGGGAGACCAGGAAAGCCAGGCCCGCGGGGAGGGGTAAGGAGAGAGGCTGCTTAAGCAGCCGATCTGGTGTCTTTGGGGTTTGACAGAAGCTTGTCTGGGCCCACGAGGAGCAAACTCTGCTCCCGTTTCCCAGGCACCAGAGCCCAGGGGCCGCCTCTGGGCTGCTATGGCCTCAGTGGGCAGTGTAGGAAGGAGGAGGGGATGGCATGTATGTGATGGTTGGGGGTGTCTGGGAGTTCTGGGGGTGGGCAGAGGAGAAAGGAGCCAGCATAGAGGCTGTCTGCCCCTCTGGTCTTCCTCCTTTTTCCCCCAGCCAAGCCTCCTGTGCCCTGCCTGGGAATACCACCCTGAGCCCAGCCCCAGGGACACCACCCTGAGCCCGGCCCCAGGGCCCAGTGGACACCTTAGCCTCCTTCATGTCAGGGACCAGCTCCCATGAGGGGCCACTCAGGAGGCTTCTCTGTTCTGCTTCCCAGAGGGTCTGTTTGAGATTGAGAATATTTGACAAGGAAACGGGGGTGCAGGAGGCTGGGGGTGAGGATGGGGCATGTGTTTTAAAATGAACCAGGAGGGTATATGGCTGTTCCAAGTACAAATATAGAGATTTTTAAAACCTGGTTCCTTGCTGCCTGGGCAGTGTGTGTGATGGGGGTGATGGGCAGCTGTCCTAGAGGGCCTGGGTGCCCAGACAGGCAGCGGTAGGCGGAGCCCAGCCTAGACGGCTGTGGCAGCCTCCCCTGCGTCCTGGCCACATGGAATCTCGGGCCGTCTTTGGCCCGGGGCTCTGGCTGGCCACTCTCCGGGCTCCCTCTCAGCCTTCCTGGGGTTGGTGGAAGGGCACGGCCCCTGCAGGCCCAGGGTGTGGGCCCAGTCGTGGCTCTGCTTCTCTCTGGCCTTCTGCAGAGTGAAGGGGGCGGCAGAGTAGGCTGCAAATGCCCCCTTTACCCCTGAGTTCTGTGACTCTTCCATGCTGAGGGGTATGGACTCTTGACCAAGGGGAGATGCCAGGGGAGTGGGCACACCCTAGGGCTAGTGTGATGGCCCAGGAGTCAGGAATTCAGAGGTGGAGGCCCGATGGGCATTATCTGGCTGTGTGTCTTGGATGCTTGATGTGGAGGGATAGACATGCGCAGAAGCCTGAGAGGAAGGGTGCGGACACCAGGTCTGTGGTGAGTGTGCTGGAGGTTTCTAGCTAGAGTCTGAGACTGATTAATTAACCTCCATCTGAGGAGAAATGGAAGGGGCAGGTGCATGGAGCGGTCCAGGCTCCTGCCGTCCCAACCTAGCTCTCTGCAGTGAGTGAGTGCGTGCGGCTGTTCCGTGCTCTGAGGGGGCCGAGTGGGGTGCTAGCAGGGAGGCAGCTCCCACTCCCAGTCTCCTGGGGTGGCTACAGCCCACTCAGCTCCGCATGTGGAACCCCCTGCTCCTACTGGGGCCTCCTGCTCCCCCATGGCCTCCCCAGCCTTGGCTCCCCCAGAACAGAGCTCCGGCCTACTCCCCTCACCTCAGCACACAACCCCCAGCCAGAAAGGTTTCTAGAAAGCCCCCCACCTTCCGTAAGATCTTGGCCTCCCAGGACTTCAAGAAGAGAGGCTGGGAAGAGGAGAACCTGTCTTGCTTGCATCTCAGTCCAGCAAGTCACAAAGCCTGTTCCTTCATCAGGGCAATGGGGACAAAAACAGCTGCCTTCTCAGCTCCAGCGGGAGTGGATCAGGCAATGCCGTGGACACTGCAGAGGACCATTCAGAGGAAAGGCGGCATCTTCCTTTCCTACCTCTGCCTTTCCTGTACAAGTAACCCCCACGTGTAAGCAGACAGACAACTGAGTTAGGAGCCAGAGAGCTCGGGCTCAGAGCCATATGATTCCATTTGCCTAACTTTAGGTGAGTTATTTCATTTCTGGTGCCTCAGTTTCCCCCATCTGCAAAATGATAGTAACAAGAACACTAACCTCAGAGAGTTGTTACAAGGATTCAGAAAACTACACAGGTTTGTGACTGTGGTAATTTTTTTCTCCCCAGGTCCCAGTTAGCTTCTCAGTGGGTCCTGGAGGCTCAGGGACAGGCCAGCATGGTCTCCTCGGTGGCCGTTTGCCCTGCTGAGAGGTGCCCGGCCTAGTCGTATCAAACTCAAATATGCATGAAAATCCCCTGGGGATCTTGTTAAAATGCGGATTCTGACTCAGTCATTCTGGATGGGCCCTGAGACTACCTTCCTACAAGGCTCCCAAGCTAGACCAATGCCGCTGGTCCATGGACCACACTTTGAGTTGCAATGGTCTACACTCAAAGCCCCATGTTTCTGGCCCTCCAGAGTTCCTCATTTGACTGCTTTGAGCTCTTCAGCCCCATTCTCCAATCCTGGCTCTCTCTGGAAGGGAGGCCAGGGACTCCGTGGAGGCCTGGCCCCTTATCTTTGGCCTCCCTGTCTCTAGGACTGGGTTAGGAGCAGGCCCAGCATCCAGAGTGGATGAGGCCATGGGACTTGCAGACAGGAGATCTCGCTGTCCCCCATGCTGCACCCTGGGTAGGGACTTCCCTCCCAGACTGTGAATTCATTTCAGCAGCTGTCAGTGCCTGCTGCGGCAGCTGCTCTCCAAGCTTCCCAATGTAGGTCACCCCCTTTCCTTAAGGAGGCTCCACTCTTCTGGGGGTGGGAAGGGTCCTTTGGATGGAGGCGTGTTGGTAGGCAGAGGCTAAGGAACTAGGGAGTGCTGGCTGCAGCCCCACCTCTCTCTAGGAGTCCCTCTGTGGTGCCACACACATATGACTGGTGTTCCCTGCAAGCTGCGCTATTTTTCCTGCTCTTGGGAAGGCCCTGGTGTCCAGGAGGAAGCCCAAGGGACCCAGGGAGGCAGGATTAGCTGCTAAGAGAGCACAGGGCATATCCGCATGAACCTGGGGGCCTTGTTTTCATCACATTTCTCTAAACAATACCAGGATCAACAGTGTCCTGCCACCTTGCAAGACAACACCTGTGGGTCTGCATTGTGGGGACTTGCCGGACTTGTGCAGGTGACATCCCATTCGAGGCTGAAGATGGGACCTCCAGACCTGCACAAGAGGCCGCCTTCACCAGCCTGTTTGCTGGTTAACTCCTGGGCTCACAGTGTGGGAGACACTGAGGGATGGGAGAGGGTGAGGTGGGATGCAAAAGAGGAGCCTATCCAGGGGAGGCAGAAGCCTTAGGTGGAAACTGGCCTGAGCTTGGGTGGGAGGGCTTCTCCACTACCTATCTGCCTGCGGCAAGCCAGAAGGAGTGGGAGCAGACACCTGGATGGGGAATCCGGCCTCAACATGGGCCCTGGGCAGAGGAGGTGTCTTATGGGTTAGGGACTGCTCTGCAGGGGTTCTCTCTAGACCTTAGTTCCAGGCTGGAGGCGGCTTACACATCTGTCTGTTGGGGGCATTTGGGAACTTAGAGGCATCTCACTCAGCTGCCTGAGTGTTGGCATTTGAGAAGTGCTGGAGTGCTGCCAGCCAGGTGCGTGTGTGCATGTGTGCAAGCATGTGGGCACATGTATGTTAGCACATACCTAGCTGCACAGCTCTCTGTGGGTGTGTGTTTGCATCACGTGCTGTGTACAGAGCTCCAAGCACAGGTCTGGGAGGCCTGTGTGTGTGCCCTGCTCTGTGCACACGTAAGTATCTCCCTGAAAGGGCCACTGCTGGGTGACAGTCGCCAGGGAGTGATGAGCAGCCTGCAGCCTGGCTCTGAAACCTGCAATCCAGTCCCGGACTTACCATGTGACCTTGGACAAGTGATCAACATCTCTGCCTTGGGTGGCCGTGGACTGTGAGCTCTTGATATGGACATTCTTGACTGAGTAAGAGAGATTGTGCTGAAGGTCAGGGCTCGAGGGACAGAGAGCGTGCACGCTGCTGTTTGAAGGCAGGCCTGCGAGGGCCGTAGGTGTGGGGCAGAAATACATAGACTCCACAGGCCCGGGGTGCTCAGGAATGAGAAACAACCTCACAGGGGAGGTTGGTGGGATCGGGAAAGAAAGCCGTCACAATAGACCTGCTGCTGACACCCCTCTCCTCTGGAGGGAGGAACTGCTGCTCCCTCACGCCTGTACTGGGCTCAAGTCCGAGCTAGGAGCAGGAGCCTCTGCCTGAATTTCCATGGTGATGGGCACTGGGTGTGTCAACTCTCTTCCCTTCACTAGATTGATCCTCATAGAAACTCCACCAAGCAGGTATTGCGGTCACCATTTCTAGACAGAAAGAAGCTGAGGCCCAGAGGCTTTAAGCAGTTTGTTTAAAGAACGGACCAGAGATTTGAACCCAGAGCCCCCCCCCCCCCCCCGCCAACTGGCACCAGGAGCCCACTGGAGCCTGGCCTTGAGACAGTGGTTAGAGAACCATGACAGCACCACGCTCAGGGGCTCCTCCACCCCTCATGCCAGGGACGTGGGTCCTCCTGAAGGCTGCATGGGCACCTGGGCTGCCTGCAATCCCACATCTGTGCCCAGTCTTGTGACCCCTCTGCCAACGCCTGCGGGGCCTTCGGCAGACTGGCACCCTCGCTGCGTGGGGGAAGGGGAGGAAAGACAGCCGAGAGGGCGGCACTCCGCTCCTCAGCAGGCTGCCCTTGCCGGGGGCAGAGCCGACTGTCCTGTTCTAACTGAGCACTGCTGTGGCCGCCTGAGGAGCACCCAAGGAGGGAGGGGCCGAGGGGACCAGAGGGGAGAAGATGGGGGCAACAGGGTTTGCAGCAGGACCCTAATGCCCGAGGGGAAACCTGCACAGACAGGCCAAGATTCTGGGCTCAGCACTGAAGCTTCTCGGCAGCTCCATCCACCTCTGGGCCTGTCTTTTTCACTCTGATATTGTCTCCTGGGCTCCCAGAATTCCATAGGCCCATGGGGGCAGGGAGAGGGAGGCTGCAACCAGGAATTACCCAGGGACAAATCTGGCAACCAAGGAAGGTCAGAGGCTGGGAGCCGCCTGGAGCAGTGGGCTGACGCAGGGAGCCCGTGGAGGGCGAAGGAGAGGGGTGCGGGCATCCTCCCTCCCTCCCTGCCCATCCCCGCCCTTGCCAGCTGCAGCAGGTAAACACATGCCAGTCCCCTGTCCCCCTCTCTGATGGGCTGGCAGCCTGGGCCTCCCATCTGGAAGGAAGTGGAGACCCCAGCACACAGCCTGTGTCCCAGTTGGGAGACACTGGGGGGGGCAGACCCTAGAAAGGGTAAGTGCCCCCTTGTCCCCCGCGAAGGAAGCCTGCTCCTGCGCCCTGGCTGCCTCAGCGCCCCTACTCTGCGTTCTCACCTCTCCTTGTGTCCCTGTCTCTTCCTAGCAGCTGCCGCAGCATGAACCCCTGAGCTGATGAGTCTTATTATAGCCCGGCTGGCGGAAGACAGAGTGCTGCTATTCACCTCTGCGTGGGCGTCGGTGGTGCAGGGGGAAGCAGCAGGCCATCCAGCGGCTCACACCCTACGCGGCTGCAGCTGCCAAGGGCCTGGCCCCTGCCTCCCTCGGGCCATGGTGAGCTGTGGCGGGGCTAGAGGAACCGGGACCCAGGTGAGGGGAGCCTCCAGGGACAGGTGACAGTTGTGGCCTGTGACCTCACTCTGCTCACCTCGGAGAGATGACCTCAGTTTCTCCACCCATAACTCAAGGAATGCCCAGATGGGAGACCAGGTTGCCATGAAAACATCTGAGTGATCAACATACTCGGGAGGCAACAAGAAGGCAGATGAGGCTGGGTAGGCCCATGGGTGCACCCCCAGCTTTGCGGCACTGTGCCCGACCCTCGGGCTCCTGGAAAGCCGAAGCCTGCCCCGCCCCCATCCCAGGGGCTTGAAGGCTTCCTGGCTCCTCTTCTTCCCCCACCCAGGGAATCATAACTGAGAGGAACAGGAGAGGGCATGAGGAGTGTAAAGAGACACCCGGGCCCTCTCCCTAACCCCTGGGCTGGAACGGGGCTCCCGCGCCTGCCTGTGCTCAGTGCTCCTCCCTCCCTCAGGACTGACAGGCGGCGCACCCAGGGGCTCCTCTCTCCCCAGAGCGACAGGGCCCGGAGAGCCGTGGGCCTCACCATGCTGGCGCCGGGCAGCAGCCCTGGGCAGAGGGGCAGGCTCGCCCTGCAGTGGAGGCAAGTCTCCTGTGAGTACACCCCTGGCCTCGGAGGGGGGTGCGGGTTGGGTGGGGGTGCCGAGGTGACTGTAGGTAGCGCCATATGGGACCTTAGCCACACTCAGGCTGCAGGGAGGCCTACGCCAGATCTTCCTGGGGTACCCGAGGCTATGTTCTGGGAAGCCAGGGTCACGCCCACGGTGACAGCATCCCTGCCAGTCAGAGTCACCGCTGAGTGCTGAGTGGTTAGACCTGGAGCTGGAGGCCACGACAGTTGTTCTACCTCCCCCAGGTAAGTCTCTGTGAGCTTGCTGGGGTCCCCAACAGGAGAAGAGCTCTGCTGGAATGCAGGCCTGCTGAGTCTTAAACAGCCTCACTGGTGCCTGAGCTTGTCGGCCTGTGTCACAGACTGCGGCGAGCCCTTTTGCTCCCGTGGGGAACTGCCCCCTTGGCTGGCCTCGGCCAGGAGCTGGGTCAGCTTGGAGATGTCTCTTATGCTCCTTATGCCTCCGCTTTCCCAACTCTCGGTAGAGGACCTAGTGGGCTCGTGGGATGCGGCGCTGGAAGAGACTTTGGGGAGTGGGTCCAACCCCTCCTGCATATAGGCAGACTGAGCCGTCCATTTACCAAAAAGGGGAGGAAGCGTGAATGAAGGCAACACTTGGCAGCTGTCAGGGTGAAAGGAGCCCTGAGAATTCTCTTTATATGTGGCAAAGGGACCAGGTCAGCAAGGGCTGGTCTGCCCAAGGCTACACGGTGGCAGGGAGGAAACGGTCCCGCGGGACGGCATTCCGCCTGACTTCCCGCTCTGATCCAGCACCCAACACGGGCAGCCTGAATTATTCACCATGTGAGAGAGGCTGGCCCCTGAGTGACTCAGATCTCCTTTCAGCCTCATTCTAGAATCACTCAACACCTCGCAATACGGGCTTATGTTTTCTTGTCACTGGAGCTTTTATGCCACCTTGATCTCCAGGGAGGTGGGGGGCGCAGGGAGTCGCTCTTCCGCAGCGGCTCTCTTAGCCTGCTGTCAGGCCCTTCTCTGGGAGGGGCGAGCGGCTTCTGGTGATGCAGATCCTTTTGAGAGGGAGCTGAATGCGTTGGATTTTATTTCCTGGGGAAAGTCAAGTCTGAAGAATGCTGATTTTCAAATGGCTTGGGGTGGTGGTATGGGGCTGGCTGATCTGGTAGCAGACGGGCTCAGAGGGGTGAGAGGGTGAGCGGAGACATGAGGTAACCCAAGATGGCCAGAAAAAGGGTCTCCGGTGGCTTCCATGGCTGTACCTGTGCTCACTTCTCGCCAAGAACAGTGAGGCTTGCTGTTAGGCTGCAGGGAGGCCTGGGCCAGATCTAGCCACGTGTCAGCTCTCAGCTGTCATCGATCCTCCAGGCAGGGAAGGGGAGAGTCTCATCCTGTTCCTTCAAGCTCCACCCTTTGGGACAGCAGACACCCAGACCCCTACTGGACAAGACTCAAGGCTGTTCAGACCCAGCTCACAGCCCATCGGCCCACCCCGACCTGGGACAGCCAGGTCCCAGGTCCCATGTCAGGGTGGGCCGATGGGCTGTGAGCTGGGTCTGAACTTCTCCATCAGTTCTCTGGCTGGGGTCTTTTCTCTAGGCTGGGTGGAACTGACCTCGGCTGGGCTGACCTGGTGGGGCTGAACTATTTTGAATTCTTCCCAGTTCTCTTTCACGATGAGCAGGCTTCTCTGCTACTCAGGAGGACACTTAGGGGTTTTTGAGGCCACTATTGGAAAGGGCTGCTGCATAATGGAAGGCACTGCTCTGATGTGATTGTTCCCTGAGGGTTACTTCTCCCAGCCCTACAGACAGGACCCCATGCTCGCTACGCAGAAGGGTCTTGGGCAAAAGATGGGACCAGGAAACGAATTCTATTCATCGGGCCATTGTGCAGGAATGCTGCCCTGTAGCCCCTAGGAACAGAAGCCCAGGCTGAGAGCCTAGATGGCTTTAGGGTGGGGGTTAAAGTGGAATGTGTCCTGGGCCCCATGACTTGTCAATGTTGAAGTGGGTTTGTACATCTTAGCCTGTCACTCCCACAGTGGGACCCTAGGTGCACAGCCTGGGCTCTAAATCCTCATGCCAAACTGCTGGCGTCATCATGGGTGTGGGATTGATGGAAACATAACAGCACTTGGGACGCCGTGAAGGACAGGGCTAGGAGTGCTGTTTTGTGCTCTCGCCTTTCCATACACAGCTCCAGAGTTGGGGTGGGCCACAGAGGGGAGGGAGCCAGCAGCCTGGCCATTTTCCCTGGGAAACAAACTCTGTCCCAGCAGTGACACTGGGAGAGGGCATGGGAGCAGGTTTCTCTGACAACCTTATCTCCTTTCTTGTGTCAACATCCATGGTGTCAGTGGGACCCAAACTCCCCGGGAGATGACTGTGGGAGGCCCTGTGAGCTTCCTATCACTGCACCAGCATGGCTTGTCTCTGGGCTCTGGCTGAGTCTGCAGGGTCATTCTCCACTCAAGTGATTCCTCTGCCAGATGTGTGGCAAGGCAGGGCGCCCTGCAGACACTGTGTGATGTCCATTAATATGGAAGTGGCTTTGGATTTGTTAATTATGCTTTTATGTGGTTAATAAACGTTTATGCATTGATTGTGGCTTGTGCCAAAGGAGATAAAGCCAAGAGCCTGTTATGAGCTAGAAAGGAGGGAAGAGAAGCAGGAGGTGGTGACCCGTCCTATTGCTTTCTTTCCCCCGTCTGTCCCTCCCACCAAGGGATCACCTGCTGGATCGCCCTGTATGCTGTGGAGGCCCTCCCCACCTGCCCTTTCTCCTGCAAGTGTGACAGCCGCAGCCTGGAGGTGGACTGCAGTGGCCTTGGCCTCACCACGGTGCCCCCAGACGTGCCCGCAGCCACCCGAACCCTCTTGCTCTTGAACAATAAGCTGAGTGCCCTGCCAAGCTGGGCTTTCGCCAACCTCTCCAGCCTGCAGCGGTTGGACCTGTCCAACAACTTCCTGGACCGGCTGCCCCGCTCCATTTTCGGGGACCTGACGAATCTGACTGAGCTTCAGCTGCGCAATAACAGCATCAGGACCCTGGACAGGGACCTGCTGCGGCACTCGCCGCTGCTCCGCCACCTGGACCTGTCCATCAACGGCCTGGCCCAGTTGCCCCCTGGTCTTTTCGACGGGCTCCTGGCTCTGCGCTCCCTCTCGCTTCGCTCCAACCGTCTGCAGAATCTGGACCGGCTGACATTTGAACCCCTAGCAAACCTGCAGCTGCTGCAGGTCGGGGATAACCCCTGGGAGTGTGACTGTAACCTGCGTGAGTTCAAACACTGGATGGAGTGGTTCTCCTACCGAGGTGAGCGCAGCCGGCCCTGCTGGGGCCCGAGGGATTGGGACGATCACCTCTGGCCCCACACTTTCCTCCTGGTGGCTGGGTGCTGACTCAGAGAGCAGGCCAGGGGAAAGAAGGGGGCGACCCTGCCTCTGTGCCAGCTCGGCTAGAAAAGTCACAAGCCTCCCCTCACATGAGCCATCACCCTTCCTGCCAATGGGAGAGAGGCTGGTGCTGCTCCCTCCACCCCCACCCTCCCCTCCCTGCTCTGCATCCCCTCCCCCAGCCAGCTCCCCACTTTCTCCTAGGACTCACTGAACTGGATCTCCCTTTCTTAGGTTACATAAGGGCAGTAAAGACACCTGGGCTTTGTATCCCGCCAAGTTTGCCTGTGGGCTTCCCCAGTGTGGTAGAAGGAGGGAGAAAAACAGCTCTTCTGAAGAATACAGCCATCTCTTAAACATCTCCCCTTACATGAGAGGGGAATAGAATGAATCCTCAGTAAAACCAAATCTTCCTTTTGGTGACAGTGCCAACTTCCTCTCCCAAGTTTTATTATCCAAACTTTAAGAAGAAGTCAAATGGGTTAGGCTTTACTTTCTTCCCTTCCCATTTTCTTTAATATGGGAAAGTGCTGTAATGACCTATGACATGATCACATGACATGGGAGAGGAGGGTGCGCAAGATGGTGGTGAGGAGGGCCAGGTCTGCGTCTGAATTTCGGCTCTGCCACCTGCCAGCTGTGTGATCTTGAGAAAGCTGGTTACCCTTTCGCTGTGGCAGGGCCTGGTCTGTAAAGTGGGAAGGAAACAATATCTATTTCGTAGGGTCATTATGAGAATTAAATGTGGCAATGCACGGAACGTGGCTTGAGAGGTGCCCAGCACAAAGTGAGTCCTCAATAAAACGTCCATTTATCCGTTCACTTCCTGGTAATAATCAAATACTAAGTGGACTTGAAACACCATTTGGCACGAAGAAGATGCTCAATGAATGTTTGCTGGGCTAAGGAATCAACATTTAAGTGGTGAAAATAATGCCAATGCTTTTTGTTAAAGTCTTACTACTTTCATTTAATCTCCAGCCACAATTTCAATTATTTCCATGAAATTCTCCTGTGTTAGTTAATTAAAAATGTTTTACAAACTATAAAGTGCCACAAAATGTTAGTCACTATGATCATTTCCCCCATTTTCATGAGCGGGGAAATAATGATTACTACTTATATAGTTTCCAGTTTACCAATGTCTTTTCATGTACATGATTTTAAACCTTACAGCAGCTAATTGAGATAGACCTTCTTATTTTACAGCTAAGAAAACTAAAACTCATAAGTAATTAAATAAATTAAATAATTTTCACAAGATGACACAGCCAGGATTCAACCGTGGGTCTTCCCAGCAGGGAAATGAGGCTGCATCCCTGTCAGCACCCAGCTTTGCATCCCCAGGCAGCACTGATACGTGTTCCTGGGATGTGAGGTTTGCTGCAGGCCACCGAGGTGTCAGCCGCACAGGGGAACTAGGCCGGGTGTCTTCAGACCCTCCTCTCCTGTGGTCGCCGGGAACTGAATTCCCAGCACAAAAATGCATGCCATGAGAATGTGCAGTTTTCAGACTTTTTCAATAGCGGAGTTGCTTTCAACATTGCATTTCTTAAAAACAAAATCCTGGAATATTTCCATCGGCATCCCAGGGAAAGATTGATGCCTATTGTATGAGGAGACTTGCGGCAGATGGGCTGCAGAGGGAGCTGCCAGTGACGGAGTGGCTGCAGCCCGCATCTTTTCGGCAGGGGGTCTAGTGCCTGCATCCAGATTTCACTGGAAGCTGAAAGAGGGCCAGAATCCAACTTTCACTTCCTAGGGGAGGTCTAGACAGATTATTGTCCTCAACCACCTTCTCTCTCACCCCAGCCCTGTCCTGCATCTGTGTCTCCCTCTGTCCAAGCCAGCCTCCACCATCATCATGAAGACATCCTGGCGAGCCCGTGCGCCCAGGTACCCACACCTCCTCATCAACACCAGCCTCCTCTCCTTGGCCTCGTGTGCCTCCAGGATTCCCCCTCCAGATGCCTTTGTACTTACAGGGCTGTGGTTGGGGCACCGATGGGGCCATTGGATTGCTCCTAAGGAGGAGAAGGAGAACATTCCTGCCCAACTCTTTTCCTCTTTACGCCAGGAAGGGAGCTGCCCATTCTTAGGCAACCAAAAGGTCTTGCGTGGAGGGGCAGCGGCAGGGGCAGTGGGTTTTGACTGCTGTCCTTTGAGTGAGAGGTAAGAACCCTAGAAGGATAAGATGCTGTGTTGAGAACGGTATCCTGGGCTCACAGACAGGTGATGAGCAGGCAGATTCGGGGGCAGAGAGTGTGGCAGGGACGCTCAGCTCTCTAATGACAGCCCTTTCCTGGGAACCTCCCCATGTTAGCACTGCCTTACTCTGTGGGTCCGTTTGGCCTGGGAGAGGACAGGCCGGATGGAAGTGGCTGCGTGCTTCTCTATAAAATGGGAATAAAGACAATATCCATTTCACATGGCTTCTGCGAGGATGAAATGGCACGATATACGTAACTCACTGTGGACTTGGCTCAATCAATGCTGTTTTCCCTCCTCCGCTTCCTCTTCTATAGATGGTGATTCCAGGATTGACTACATTGCTGATAAAAACTACCTTCTGGGGCTTCCGTTTTGGGGAGCTGGGGATGGGGAGAGGGAGTGCAAGTTCTAGATGCCTGGTCAGCCCCTCTTTTTCTCTTCTGCATGTAGGGGGACGCTTGGACCAGCTTGCCTGCACCCTGCCCAAGGAGCTGAGGGGGAAGGACATGCGGATGGTCCCCATGGAGATGTTCAACTACTGCTCCCAGCTGGAGGACGAGAATAGCTCAGCTGGGCTGGATATTCCTGGGCCACCCTGCACCAAGGCCAGTCCAGAGCCTGCTAAGCCCAAGCCCGGGGCTGAGCCGGAGCCGGAGCCCAGCACAGCCTGCCCACAGAAGCAGAGGCACCGGCCGGCGAGCGTGAGGCGAGCCATGGGCACGGTGATCATTGCAGGGGTCGTGTGCGGCGTCGTCTGCATCATGATGGTGGTGGCCGCTGCCTATGGCTGCATCTACGCCTCCCTCATGGCCAAGTACCACCGGGAGCTCAAAAAGCGCCAGCCCCTGATGGGGGACCCCGAGGGCGAGCACGAGGACCAGAAGCAGATCTCTTCTGTGGCCTGAGCGCCCATCCCCACCCGGCCAGGTAGGAAGGGCGGGGAGAGCACACGGCATTGCTCAGCCACAGCTCCCACCTTGACCCGGCGCTGGCCACTGCCTCCCCGAGTCCACCCTCCTCCCCGCCCTCCAGCAGACAAGCCACACCGGGTTCTCTCCCTGCACTTTCGAGGCTCCCTGAAAGCCACCGTGCTGGGGGCTCCTGCTGATGCTCCTGTCTGGGCCAGTAAATCTTTGGAACATGTGGGGGATCTCCCTAAGCTCTGGCCACAGCAAAGCAAGGAGGTGTGTGCAAGAGGAGGCTTCCGGACTGGGCATTCCCCTGTCGCCCTTCCTGCCCTGGGGTGGCCATAGCTGGTGACTCTTCCTACCTTGCTGGTCCCACCTCACCTGCATTGAGGGGACGGGGAGGGAGGGATCTGAGGGATGAAGGTAGATTTCTGAGACTCTCTCCTAAGCCAGAAAGACGTTCTTAACACCCCTGCAGTGTGAAAGCTGGTCCAGCTCTACAACTGTTGGTACCAATGTGCAAACACACCAGCCCTGCCATCTGGACCCAGCACTCAGAAACACCATACACCCCTGGCCGACGCCATCATGCCCCTGGATCTGCTATAGGCCACACTGACCACATGCTCCTGGATTCGCTAATTCACTCACACACCCATTGCATCACCAGTGCGGTCACATGGATTGAAAGAATTAATACACACACACACACACACACACTCACACGGTCACACGGAGACCGAGGCTATGAGCGCTCGAACAGCAGAGACATGCTCTTCCCCAGGGGTCTCCCTGAGACCACAGAGCCTCTCGCGTGCTCACTGCAATCTTCTCAAGTCAACAGCAGGAAGGAACTCAACCAGTAACACCAGGATCCTTTGAGATCCTCTAAAGTGGGCCAAAGTGGTGCCCCTGGAGGAGCCCTCCTGTCACCATGGTAACCCTCTCACACCTCTCCTGCTGGGCTTTCCCGGGATACCACCCAGGGGCCTGGAGCGGCTGCATGTGTGCATGGCGGCCTCCTGAGGACCCAGCCACACACCACTGGTGTTGCCTCGGTCCTGCCCACGCATCTCACAGCACCAGGCCCTGTGGGGCCCCCACTGATTCCTCCACAGCCTGCAGCCTGGCACCGTGACTCTGTGCCTCTCGCCCTCCATCTTCAGTACTCCTGGCCTGTGACTTCAGGGCTGGGACTTGGTGGTGCTTTGCCATTGGTGGCACCCTCTGGGGAAAGCAGGTGGCAGGCAGAGAACACGGTGGCTCCCCTGAGGCTCATTGCCTGCCAGCTTATTGCAGACAGAGCCCAGGAGCAGGAGCGGGTGGCCACGTGCTGCCCAGAGGCTCCCAGGATGGGGCCTCTGTTCCCGGGCTTTGTCTGCTCAGTGTGGCTCCCTAGAGCACCCAGCCGGGGCCAAACCAGAGAGTGGGTGGGGAGCCTGTCTGGGACAGAGCCACCTGCTGCCAAGGCAGTGCAAGTTTTCCAGGTTACCTGTCCCCCTCCCTAGCTCTGCCCCTCCTCAGAGTGTGAAGATGGTGGGTACCTAGGTGTCATGCTCACAGGCTCAGGAGGCATCAGGCTCGTCCCTGGCTCTGGGATGGAATCTCGATGGGGGCTCAGGAAGAGGCCAGCAAGAACCCTGAAGCCAAGGGTCTGAGCAGAGGGAGTTGGCAGGCCTAGCTCCTGTGCCCCACTCCGACCCTCCCTGCTCATGCGGCAGTGGGTGGGTGAGGTGGGCTGGGGGCCTGGAGGAGTGCCTTTGAGGAGGTCAGTCCTGGCAGGTGGACAGAGGACGCCTGGCATGGGCTGCTTACTGGGACCCCAGGCGGCCCTGGCCATGGCCACAGTCTTCCTTCTTTTGGCGTGTGGGCTGGTACCAGATCTGGGGATTTTCTAAAGGGACTGGGGGGAGGGGAGGGCATTGTCAATGGTGGTATCTTTAGCCTGAGACAGAAGATTTTTAAAGGCAAAATTATATTTCTGGTTTGTTGTTTCAGAAGACCAATAAAGACTGTATTTTCCTATGTACTTCCTGGTTTCATTGGGTGGGAAGGGGACCTGGGTGCCAGGAGAGTTGCTTCCTGCCCCCCACCTCCCCAGGAGGCTGGACAAAGCACCGGTGGCCATGATCCTGATGCGTAGAGCTCTGATGACAGACGGTGCCTCCCACCCAGGGCCAGGGCTGGGGCACCGCTGGGAGAGGGCGGAGGCCGAGTCCTGGATCAGAGCCAGGCCCTGTGGCTGGGGGCAGTGAGCTCATGGCCTGGCAGATCCAGGATGGTACATCCACCCTGGCCTGACAGGCAGGTTCCTGAGCCTCAGGGCAGCTTCTCTGGGCGACACCGAGGTTGTGGTGCGAAGGTGAGCTGGGGAGCCCGCCATGGCCCGTGCCCTGTGGGTGCTGCTCATCCACCCAAGCTTGACATGAATCGGCCCTGGCAGCCAGGACAGATGGGCTCGTGTGGCGAGAAGGCACTGTTTGCCCAGAGGATGCTGCCGCACGGTGGGAGGGGAGGGCAGTTGGAGGGGCCTCGGCTGACTGGGTTCTTTCAGCCTCACTGGATGCTGGCGGGGCTGCTGGCCAGGAGGAGGAGCCTGTTCAGGGCTTACTCAGGCGACGGCAAACCATGCTCTGGGCCTGCAGGGTGAAGCCTCCACGGGGCTCAGCAGGTGGGCCCCGGAATTACGGACTGGAGGGCTGGGGAGTGAGGCACTGAGTAGAGGGGATGAGGAAGAGCATGAGACTCTGGGGTTATAAGCATGCTGCAAGCCCCACTGAAGAGCGAGCTCAACGCCCGGCCCGAGAACCCCCTCCTCAGCTATATGGTTCATTAGTCTTCAGAGGCCAAGGCGGAATTTTCTCCTTCCTAGGATCTTCCTTTGGATAACAACCCAGCGAGCCAGGAGCAAACCCTAGAGGGAAGTGAACCATCAGGGTCCCCCGGGAGTTCAGCTCCATTCCATGGCAGAGCTGGGGTGTCCGCCTTCCCCAGGTGGTGATAAGTGTAGGGATGTTGCTCTCCTATAGCCCTAATAATTATAGCAGGGCCCAAGACAAGTCTTCCCGAGCCCCACTGCAGAAGCAAGAACGGGGCCCCTCTCAGGCCTGGCACAGGTCTCTGTCATGCTTATGTGTGTAATTCAAATGTCATGGTTCCCAGATAGAAGCCCTCAAAGGTCTGAAGGCTGGGCCTGTACTGAGGCTGACCTCTCAGGAGGGGAGAACTCTTGCAGCCCTGGCCGGCAGGAAGGGCCTCTGTGCAGGGGCTTGTGTACATTACAAGTCATGCTGGAAGAATGCCCGTCTGCTGGACAATCACTTGCCCGTTACAGCCCCATCCTGGAGCTTGACCTCATTCCTCGCCTAGGGCCTGGAGGACATGGAGAATTGAAAACAGATCCTGATCCAAAAGTTAGATCTCTGGAAATTTTGCAGTAGCTGTCTATAAACCACCTGCTTAGGGATGAACGCGATCTCTACTGGTCCGCTGCCCTCTGTGTGAGCCGGTGGTGTTATACACGGCAGTGACGCGCAGCCCGCCACTGCCCCCGTGGCTGGGCTGAGTGCCCGTCTCCTACCTTCCCCTCGAGCTCGGTGCGCAATCGTCACCATACAGCCCCCACCACAGACACCACACTCAGCAGGCCTGGCGCTCACACGCTTACAGTGCCAGCCGTTTCCAGGGACAGCAAATGAACCACCTACCCCTCCTTCAGCTACAGGCTCCAGCTGGCCCCAGGATCAGGGAGGCTGAGCCACAGGCCAGGGAGAGGAAGTGGCAGAAGGAGACCAAAAGAAAAATCATAATTGAAGTATCAGGTCTCCAGCACCCCATTCTTTTCCTCTGACATTCATGCACCCCAGAGTGTAAGAGCGATTGTCTGCAGTGAGTTAAACTGGAGGCACTGGGACACTGTTTCTATGGCAACCCCTCTCGGCTCTAATTCAGCTCTGAGTTAAAAATGCTATCAAATAATTGGAGAGTGCAGGAAAGCACAGCCAGCAGCCTGACCCCCTGTCCCATCCTTCCTAGACCTTCAGGTGTACAGGAGCTGAGAAGGCCCCCATCACGTGGGAGCAGCACAGGCGCAGGCTTGGCTGGGAGCACAGAACAGTCTGTAGGGAGACGATTTCGGAGTCAAAGTTTGGCCTGGAAATTGGGTCTGGGTTTAGTGTGCCCTGGGCCCAGGGAAGCACGGCAGCCAGGCGGGCACAAATCCCTTCCAAGTGCTGCAGGTGGCTGCATCGCACACGACCAGTGACACCGGGCTTCTACCCGGGCAATTTGGCAATGTCAGACGGAGCCATTCTCCCCCCGTCGCTTATCCCAGAGTGGCACACAGCCCAGGACCCCAACTCAGGATGGCCCTGGTGCCCTCTCTGAGGCAGGAAGACAGAGCCCAGCCGGCTCCTTTGCATTCCCTTTGCCCTGACCCTGTCTGCTCCGTCCCCATCCTGCTGCGAGAGTCCTCACCTGGCCAGGGCCTCGGTTACAAGGCAGGTGCCTGCCAGCTGCGTTCACGGAGCCAGGATGGCTGAGCTCGAATGCCTGTTGGATCGCGCAACTTTTCAGAACACAGCTGGGTCCCAGGTACTGAAGCTAAAACAAGGGTAAGGAGCGCTTCATCGCAGGGACCTGATCGTTCTCAGACAGCTAGGCAGAGACACCAAGGACTCTGCAGGCACGAAGAAACTGAAAGTCAGGAGAAGCTTGTGAGGGTCACAGTTGCTCTCATCATGTAAGCCATGGCAAACCGCAGCACAGGGCAGTGAACCTGGGTTCCAACGAGAGGCGGTCTGCGTTCAAATCCCAGCCTCATTCATTATTAGCTGTGGGGCTTTGGGCAAGTAAGTTTTCTGTGTCTCAGTCCCCTCAGCTGTAAAGTAGAGCCAGAACCATCGCCTTCACTGGGTCACCCCAAGGACCACATGGGAGGCAGTCCACAGTGCCCGGCACACGCTGAACACACACACTGAGCTCATGCCTCAGGGGTTCGAGTCACAGTCCCACTTCCCTCTTATACGAGACCCCAAGGCAATAGGAGACGGAGCAGGTAAGGGAATGGCACAGGAATCAGCATCCACTGTTTGCTCTATAAAGAGGCAGGGCATCTTGGTGGTTAGTAACACCTTTTGGGGGAAAAGACAGGTCTGGACTGAATTATGGCATCCGATCCCCGCTAGTTGGGTTGCTTTGAGCCAAACGTTCTGAGCCTATGGTCCTCATTTATAAAATAGGCACTGACAGTAATACCTACACTCTAAAATATTTGTAAAGGTTAAATCAGTTAATACTGCAAAAGAGCTTTCGCAAGCTTTAATGTTTAGGCAAATCAGTAGGCATCTCAGTAAAGCGCACTCTGGTTGAACAGGTATGGGCTGGAACCTGAGACTATGTGTTTCTAACAGAGGCCCACGCAATTTCAGCGCTGCTGGTCTTCAGGTCATCTTTTCAACAGCAAAGTTTTCAAGAAGTTACCACACTGTAAATACTCGGTAAATATTAGCTTTATGATGATGACGATGATTGATAAAAGACCTAGAATAAAAGAGCTCTGCCCGCCAGCCTTTCTTTCAGCTACAGAATGCCTCAGTAATGCTCTATTAACCCGCCAGCCTTCCTTTCAGCTACAGAATGCCTCAGTAATGCTCTATTAACCCGCAGGAAGTGTTTCTCAAGAGAAGCTTGCATACGGTAAATATATTATGTGGAAGAGGGGGGTGGGTGGGGGGCGGCGGGGGGCTGGGCTGCAGTCTCTGTTCCGTGTGGCCGTGCAGATCTCCTAGCCTCTCTGGGCTTCATTTTGCTCACTTCGTGAATACTTTCACATCCAAAGTTTTATGGTTTTACAAATGAAATGGCTTAGGAAGAGTGCACTTCCACCCATCCCACATTCCACCGGCAGGACTGTGGCCCTGGCCACATGTGCAGGGCCTTCTGCTGTGATCTATGCCTTGCTCTTTACACTGTCCCCAGCTTCCTGGCCTCAACACCACAAGGGCCGTTCCTACCTGCAGCAATGGCTGTCCTCTTGTCCACGGTCACCGCCACAGCTGTGCTTGCCGTCACCACCATGGGTTCACCCGCACTTTCTGGGGAAACAGAGACAACCCAGTCATGGGGAAGAGCTGTGGTTGGGGCAGGTGGAGCGCTACCACTTTCTTGGAATAGGAGATGGGAATAAAAGCAGGCGAAGGCATCCTTGGAAGAATTGAGGCGAGGGTGGGGACAGGGGTTGTGTTTGGAGAAGTTGCTGCTGTGATGGTGACCCCAACACGGGTCTTGGACAGACACACACATGGCCTCTGGCCGCCAGCACAGTGCAGGGCTGCAGTGGCCCCACGACACTGGGGTTTCTGCGTGTTTGTCGGCTGCGGCATGCATTTTGCCCACAACACCTGTGTTGTATCCAGTGATCCCTTCCAACGGCAGGAAGGACAGGCTGCATTTCAGCACTGGGTGGTGGGTGATCCTGGATTGCTCTCTGTGAGTCTGCGTGAGTCAGGGAGGACGCCGACAGTCAGTCCCAATCAGGAAGCCAGATGCCACAGCCGAGCCACCATGCGGCCCTGGGCAGCGAGATGACGGACCCTCCACTGCACAACCGCTCTCCGGGTCTTTCACTTGCTTCTCAGCTGTTGCTCCACTTCTGGGACTCTGCAGCAACTCAGGGCAAGTCCTGAGGCTCCTGAAGGCCACAGGGCTTGCCTCGCATTGCTCTCTCCACTTCTTCTGGAACAATCAGGCCACCATAGGTGCACAGTTTAGAGGGCAGTTTCAGCTCCACATTGAAACAGAGCTTTCTGGTTCTGACTGGGGCTGGCTACTTCGGGGCCTCAGGCTTCTTAATTCTCATCAGTCCTTGGCCCCGGACTTGAATTTCAAAGCACTCTTGTCTGCAGGTCAAATGCAGACTCAACTTCTGAGAAAGGGGCAAACAGTTTCTGATGTGCTATCACATTTTGTTAGAATGTCTTGATGTCAAATGTTGCCTGAAGCAAACAGGTCATGGGACTCTTGTGTGGCGATTATGACAACAGTGTCAATTGTCCCGGGACTTAACCACCAGCTTCTCACATCTGCCACGTCACCAAGATTACCCATCACACCCGCTGTCGTCAAATATCTCAAGAAACCTAAAACTGCAGTCTGATTCCAGGAACTTCCAATATGTAAGGTTGTCCTTGATTCTAGAAATTTGCCCCATGATGACGAAGGGACAATTCCCCACCTTGTGTCTACAGACATCTCGAAGGTGGTGATGTGGCAGCCCCGACAATATTCCCTGGGTCCCACAGCCCATTTTCTGGGACAGACCTTCCGTCGCATTTGTACCCCAGCCAGCAGAGGCTTGTAGGAAACGCAGATGTGAGCATGTGGAGACCCTAATGAGGCAGTCTCTGGGGACATCAGGGATTTCAGTGCCTGGCTCACCGTGGCTACCTGGCCCAGCACCTGGTGGGAATGATCAGGGCGTGGAGTGCAGAAGGGGGCGGGGCCCAGGGAGAGGTGGGCTGTGGGCATATTTCTGAGGCTCTGCTGTGTGCGGACAGGTTTCTAGGCACTGACTGCACAATGCAGCTCCACGTGGTCGGGACTTAGCCCACCAGGCCCCGGCAAAGGGCAACCATGTCAGCCTAGAGAGACAGGCGAGCTTCCCCTCACCCTGGAGGCAGCTCGTCCTCTTTTCCCCCTTGAAACGCGGTTGTTTTCCTTCTTTTGGGGTGGAAGGGAGTGTGCAGAGGTGGCCATGTGTCTAAGCGTGTGTGTGCGCTGAGCGAGTGAGTGGGCTGTGGAGAGGAAGTGGGCCCCGCCTCCCTCCTCACCAGGCCCCCTTTTTGGGCTCCAGCTTCCCTCTTTTCTCCTCGTGGCTCAGCTTCTCACCCACCCACCCTCCCACCTCATCACCACATAAAGCTCCCCCAGCAGCCAGCAGGCTCAGTCCTGGTGAATGCGGGCAGGAGGGGACCTGTCATCAGGGCCTGGGGCAGGGGCTGGGGCCTCATTATAGAACCTCTCCAGGGGCCTGTGGGTGCCCTCCCTGGGGAGCCCAATGTGCTGCTATCGAGGGTGTGGCCACAGAGGAGGAGCTGCCTCTTTCAGCCTTGGGGTGGACGGTGTGGGAAGGGGTCTCCCCTTTGCTTCCAGAGCCTTCCTGCTGGGCTTGCACTGGTAATAAAAACTCCCCCTCCCTCTTTCCTTACATTCAGTGTGGTAACGGGGCCTGGGCTTGGATTAGGGCAGAGCTTGGCTCTGTGGCTCCCTTGCTGTGTGACCCCGGGCAAGTTACAGAACCTCTCTGAGCCTCACGTTCTCCTTGTGTAAGTTGAGGGATAATGACGGCACTTATCTCATGGGGTTGTCTAGATTAAATGAAAAACACGTGGAAAATTGTTTTGTGAAGCATAGTAGTTATTTGCACGTGTGTGGAGGGAACAGCACAGGTGGGAGTAGGGGCATAGCACCAGGTGAGGAAGGCGGGATTCCGGAGGGGGCGGGGTGGAGCTCCTCCCTGCTGTTTGCCTTCCCTGTCCTGGTCCCAGGAGGATCCCCGGGATCCTGGGCCTCCCCAGCCATCAGCTCCAGGACATTTTTCCATCACGACGCTTGAGGATGGTTTGGCAAAGTGGTGGTGGAAGGCCTTTGGCAGAAGGGCGTCCTAAAGGGGAAGTTCTGAGTGACCCCAGCCCTGACTTTCCTTTTAGAAGTCTCCACACTCCTGCATCCCCTCCTGGGGCTCACCCCACCTGCCTGTGCACACTCTCCAGGCCCCTGGATCCATGTGCTGGAATGGGATCAGCCGCCCCAGCACTCACCTGGTGGAGGGGTGGTGGAGGGGTGGCTGTGCCATGCACTCTGGGATCCCTGGACAAGCCCCGGAAGCTCCCTGGGCCACAGTCACTTCGAGTGTAAATCAAGAGCACCAGGCTATGCAGACACTGAAGCCTCTGCAGGATTTTTCCGGTGCTCTGTTAGAGTCACTTAATTTTTCTTATTTTGGTTATTTTCCAGAATGGGGGCTGGGGCTGGCTGGCAGTTGGGTGCCCATCAACTCTGAGAGTCTTCCTGGTCCCTGGCCGTGCAGGGATTTTGTGGTTGCCTCATACCCCACCCTCCCCACCACCTGCCTGGCACAGCCTCTCTCTTGAGCTGAGAGGGGCTTGTGGAGAAGGCTGGGAGCTCCCTGAGGCTGGTCCTGGGTGGTCCTGGGTAACTGGGGACGGGTTGCTTTCTTTCTGTTTGGGAAGAGCAGGGCAGCCCCACTGACTTAGTGAGTACTGCAGCCCCTAATGAAACCACCCGTCTGGGTGGTTTATGAAGCTTTCACAGACATGCAGGATAAATAGAAGAATCTTAGAGATGGACTCTTCTGATCTCATATTTGGAATTGGGGCTAGAATCCCATGCTGGGTTTTTAAACTCCAACTTTGATGGCTGGCTAGGGAATCAAATGATCAGGCTCACCTTCAGCGTGGGACCTGTGGTGTGGGAAGGTGCCAATGAGCTTTTTTAAGTCACTAATGCATGCAGGAGGGAAGGCAGGAGGGGAACCCTGGTGGTCTGGACATTCTATTCCATATCTCGTTCCCATTTCCCACTAAGAGCACAGCAGGAGGAGAGATGAGACTGGCCTGAGACTGGCCCAGCCCCGGGAGCACCGGGCTGTGTGTTACCTGGTCCTTCTGCCCAGCGGAGGTTGAAGACGAAGCTGCCAGCAGGATGCTCTGAGGCCTGGCGGTACCACAGCGGGAAGCGGTCCAGGGTGAACACGCTGGCCTCGTCCTCAGGTGTCAGGAACTTCCTGCAAGGAGGAAGATGTGGTACCTCTCCCCAGATCTGTGAACACAGTCATCACTCTTTCCTTTTCTCACACAAGGTCAACTTGGCTGGGCTAAGAGAGTGATTTTAGCCCCTAAATTAGTACGGCCCCAGACAATGCTTCCCAGCAATTCTCGCCTTTTCCAGAAACAAAACGATGTCATGTTGCATCTAGCTAGCAGCTGGAAGAGGCATAGGGTCTGTAGAGTGAGGGGATACTTTCCATTTTTATGTAAACTCTTTTGCCTGCAGGGATTCTTTCTTTTGGATAGAGCCCAATTTCTTCTTGTCTGGCTCGTTGGCACGTCTGAGGGAGGAAGCTGTAGTCAGCTCTATCACTGCACTAATAGGAGGGCATCAATCCCCCCAAATGGTTCCTTCAACAGGATTGCCTCTAGGTTTTTGCATACATTATGAGTTTCCTTTTTTTGAGCAGCTTTACCTTGCTAATTATGGTTTTGCATTCCCTGAACACACGGCAGCCCACAGAAGGGAGTGTTCGGCCAGAAGCAGAGTGGGAGGCAGGGAGAAGCAGGGTGGGGGTGGGGAGCAGACATTGCTGTGGATAATCCACAAGGTGGATAACTGAGATTTGGTTTTGAGAGTGACGGGCTCACATGTACCAGAAGCAACCTGCCTTGTGACACAGTTCCTGGGCTGCCATTCACCTCGAGTCTGGGTGAAGGGAGCCCCTGGGAGTGCTCGCAGGAGGCAGAGGCACTGGGAAGGTCTGTCTGCCTCGAATCTCCTGCTTCCAGTCTTAGAAGCCTCTGAGAGGGGGCGAGGGAAGGGTCAGGGAGGCAGTGGTGCTCTGCCTTCTCCACCTCCGCAGGGATGGGTGGGGGGGAGGAGGGGAGGGAGGAGGGAGGGAAAGGGAAGAGCAACTTAATTTGTTTTCCTAGAAAGCCTCAGCTTTGCTTAGCAAGTGTGGATTTGTCACAGAGTCCTGGAAGAAGCTCAAAGATGGCGCTCCGTGGCTGGGCGTGCTTAGCGAGAGGAGCAGCTGGCGGGTGGGAGGCGAGGAGAGTAGGGTCAGGTCGGCTCAGGGGCCCTGGGCTGCTCTCCAGGTGCCTGAAGGTCCTCACCTGTTGGAGTCTCCTGGGTTGCGAAGCGGCAGGTGGCACCGCTCGGCCCCTAACCCCTCCTCTGGGCTCCCATCCTCCCTTGAGCACCCGGGTGGGCCAGCCCCTGATTCCCCCAGAACCCAGCCTTGGCTTAGAGCAGGGTTTCTCAGCCTTGGCACCGGTGACATTTTGTGCCAGGCGATTGCTGTGAGGGCTGCCCTGTGCATCATGGGATGTTTAGCAGCGTCCTGGCCTCCACCCACTAGGTGCCAGTAGGAAGTTCTCTGCCTCCCACAGTGTGACAACCAAAAGTATCTCCAGACATCGCTGAATGTCACAAAATCACCCCCAGTTGAACATTCCTGGTGTGGAGGCCTAAGTCTTCCATGGCCTACAGGGAGCTGGGCCTGGACTCCTACCAGGTAGAGTAAGAGACCGCAAATCTCCCACACCAAGGTGGGAGTGGGTGGCTCAAGAAGGCACTGCGGGGTGAGCACTCCATCTACCACAGGGCCCCAGCAGCACCTCCTCTCCCCTTAGGAGTGGGGAAAAGAGACACAGCCAGAAGATTCAGCCTGTCACACAGAGACCAGCCCAGAGAGGAAAGCAATTTCGGCTTTGTCCCTTAGAGATTCCTCTAGGTGGATTCTCCGACCAACCCTCAACTTCAAAGTCTCTCCCTGACTGGTCCGGCCTCCATCCTGTTCTAGGGACCCACCACCAGGATGTGTAAGCCTTCGGGGAAGGGTTGCCTTTCCCACTGTCCCAATCTGTCAATCCCGATCCGTAAGCCTTCGGGGAAGGGCTGCCTTTCCCACTGCCCCAATCTGTCAATCCCGATCCTTCTGCCCTGCTGGGCTCCCAGGGGTCCAGCATGCTGGAGACCCGGTGCCAGTCCACCCATGGCCCAGGAACACACCATGGGACTCTGGCCCTCTCTGCCCTGCAGGGATTGCCCTCCCGAGGTGGCCGGCCCAACCCACCTGTCGGAGACCTTCTCGGAGCCCACGAACAAGCTGCTTCTCAGGAGGCCAGCCCGGGTGCCCAGGAAGGCCATGTCCACCACGTGTTCAGACTCCCTGTGTGGCAGACAGAGCGGGAATGGTCACCACATGGCTGTGGCAAGAGCTTGGGGGCGACCTGCAGGGGTTTGGGGGCCTCTCCTTGCTCCTGCCTGGCCTGGCTCAGGGAAGACTTTCCAGGAAGGCTGGGTTCCTGGGAAGGGGCCGGGACACGCACCCTGCTGGCATCCACGGTGCCCATCAGGTTTCAGGCCCGGCTTCCGGGCAGCACCCCTGTGAAGTGAAGCCCTGGGCCTCTGCCTCTCTGCCTCGGCAGATCTAGCTCTTAATTTGTTCTCCTGGCTTTTGGGGAGTTCGATCTAGAAGATGGAACTTGGAAGGGAGATTCTGTCCTGGGACCTAAGGAACAGGAACTTCTCATGCCCAGCACGTACCAGGCACCTCCTGGTCTTACAGCCCTCCTCATACTTCCCTTCTTACCGAAACGTGAAGGGAGGGGGAGCAGGCACTGCATACACCCACCCAGGAGAAGTCCCAACGGACCTCATAACCTTGCCGTTGAGACTTGAAAGAAGACAGATCCATGAGCTAGTTGGCGTCACATATCTCCCTCCCAGTCTCAAAGCCACAATACTTTGACCAGGGTGGGAAGTCATCTCTTTTGACCCAGATGATATTCTTGTCTTTGGCACAGTGGATAGGAGGCTATTACCTAGTTCCTCTCCATGCCCAAGGGTGTGTGCTATAGTGAGCATACAAAGTAGGCAATTCCAAAGCACTGCCAGGCTCAGAGGCTGGACTGCGGGGGTCTTCCTCATGGATAGACCTGTGTCTGTGGGTGGTACCCGGGACTGTAGTAAGGTCTGGAAAATCACTGAGGGAAAGGGTCTCCCCCACCTACTCCAGTCCTGTAGCCAGGGGGCTTGTACAGGGTGGGCATGGGAGTCATAGGACTCGAGCTGCACAGAGCCCTGCCCCAGACCTCTGAGTCAGACTCTCTGGGGACAGGGCCTAAGCTCCCCTAAAGCTTCCTGATTCAATTCTCTGTGTAAAAGCAGAGAGAATGGGCTAATGGGTCTCACTACCCATAATTTGGCTTCAACAATCACCAACCCGGGGCTGGTCTCAATTCAGCCACTGCCTCCTCCAGCCCCTCAACTAGATTATTTTGAAGCAAATCCCAGATATTTCATGGGTAAATATTTTAATTTATACAATCAAAATAGAAATAACATTTAAAAAAACTTCGATGCCATTATTACACCTTAAAAAAACCTGACAATTCATTAATATGATCAGATAATCCAGTCGCCTCGCGAATTTTTTTAAGTTTGGCTGAATCAGAATCTGCCTAAGGCTCACGCATGGCAACGGGTATCTCTTATTTGTCTGTCTGTCTCTCTCTGTCTTTATTGAGATATCGTTCAAATACCATCCAATTCACCCACCTAAAGTGTGTGATTCAATAGTTTTTCATGTATTCACAGAGTTGTGCCACCGTCAGCACTGTGAATTTTAGAACATTTTCATCACCCCGGAAAGAAACCCCATAACCATTAGCAGTCATCTTTGGCCTCCTTTAACCTGATTCCCTTTCTCTCTCCACTCTCCCTCTCCCCTTCTCTTTTCCTTGCAATCGATGTGTGGAACAAACAGAGCGACAAAGGGCGCTTGCCTGTGGGGATTCTCCGGTTCTGGCCTTGGCGGATTGCCACCCTGGGGTGCTCTTCAGCCTGCTCTGTGTCCCCTGCATTGCCTGTCAACTGGCCGTGAGACCTCAGGGCCTGACCGGGTTCCGGTTTGTGTTTTTACAAGGCTGTTCTTCACAAGAGGCACACACTCTGACTGATTAGGGCATGAAAAATACATGCATTCTTTTATTTCTTATTTTATTTTTACCCGAAATATCTGTATAAGGAAAAACTTCTCCTCATCAATATTTAGTTATCCTGAAGTACAACTTTTATAGAAGAGGCAGGATAAATAATTTATTCTTTTTGTTTCTTTGTTAGGTTTTAGAATAATGAGTTGCTTTCCTAACAATCTTCCAAAGATGGCCAATGAGGTTTTTTCCAGTATCATTATGAACCCAAGTATTTTAATATATTTCATATGTTTTAACCCATTGCAATTATTATTATTATTATTATTTTTATTTAAAGACAGGTTCTCACTACGTTGCCCAGGCTGGCCTTGAACTCCTGGGCTCAAACGATCCTCTCGCCTGAGCCTGCCATGAGGCTGGGATAACAGCCGTGCCTCCACAGCCAGCTCCTGCTGTGATTATAATTACTTTTGCTGCTCTGATCATCCACCTTTGGCCAGTGAGGGCCTCCTCCAGCTGGCTCTGGGGTCCCTTGGGCACAATATCATTTGTCTTTGGTAACTTCTTGCTTCCTCATACGACAAGATGTTCCAGGTTCATTGTGCGTATTTCCTGCCCCTGTCCTGGAATCAGACATTTCTTCTAGGATCATGGGCTCATTTTAAAGAGGACTGACATTGAAAGTCCGAAGTCTGGGGCTGGGGCACTTGCTGCGGTGGGCCCTTTCAGGGGAGAGAGCTAGGATATCCTTTTAATTTCTTTAAGAGAAATACATCATGAGTTCAAATTGATATTTCTAATTCAAATTTAGCATTCCATCTAATCTTAACTTCTCTGATTTTTGAAATTTGCATATCTCTTTTCCCTTTTGCTGAAGATCTTGGTTCTTAATGACATTAATATAATACAATTTGCTCTCTCTATTCAGAATAACAATGCCAATACTATTTCTAGCAATGTGATTACTGAGGACTGCTTAACATTTTATTTATTTAGTGTTTACAATTCTAAAGCCCCTTGAAAGAATTCCCGTATGTTCGATTATTTAATGAACTTGATATATGGCTAGGTTTAGCTGTTTCATTTGCTTTCAATTACTACAGGTTACTTTTTAAAATTTAATTTTGTTTTATGATTAGATAAAGCATTTATATGGTTCCAAAGTCAATATGGAGAATAAGGCCTATTCAGGGGAGTCTGTCTCTGTATCCATCTCCTTGTTCCTTCACTCTTCCTGTAGGTAACCTGACTTTTGGTTCCTTGTTCCACTAAAAAGTACGTGTGTGTATGTGTACATACATATACGCATGTACATTTATATGTACCTTTGTGAAAGTAATTATGAAAATATATTTGTATTTTCTCTTTCTAGATAAGCAGTGGAGATATTATTCATACTTTTTTCATTACTGAAGATGATTTCATAGTGGCAGTATATAGAGATATTCTAATTTTTCACAGCTGCATAGAATTCCATTATGTGGATCCACCATGATTTATGTAACTAGGCTCCCACTGATGAACGTTTGGGTTGTTTCCAATCTTCTATTGTTATTAAAGGTGCTATAATGAGCAGCTCATAGGTACATTTTTTTCATATTTTTGCCAGTGTATCTTTGGGATAAGGTTCCTAGAAGTGAGGTTGCTGGGTCAAAGTGTAAATGTACATGAAATTGTGCTAGACGTCATCAAATTCCCCTCGACGGGGTTTGAAACATTTCGTATCCCACCCACAATCTACGAGTGCCTGACTCCCCACAGTTCTGCCAACAGTGCACACTGACAAGCTCAGGTGGCTTTCAGTCTGAGAGGCGAGAAGTCCAATCTGGGCATAGTTGTCATTTGCATTTCAGATTACATGTTAGGTTGAGCATTGTTTTTCTTTATATTTTAAGACTATTTGAATTGTTCTTCTAAGGACTATTTGCATTTTTCCTCTGAACTGTTCGTATTTCTTGACTACTTTCCCTCTAAGGTAGTTGACCTCTTAAGTCTCAATTTTCAAAGTCCTTTGTCGTGAATACATAATATATAGAGTAACCCTTTATCTGTTTTATAAGTTGCAAACACCTTTCCAGTTTGTAATTTCTCTTTTTACCTTGCTCATGTTTTTATTTCTGCCATAGAAACATATTTTTTTCTTTTTTTTAAAAAAAGATGAGGTTGGCCAGGCGCGGTGGCTCACGCCTGTAATCCCAGCACTTTGGGAGGCCGAGGCAGGGGGATCATGAGGTCAGGAGATTGAGACCATCCTGGCTAACATGGTGAAACCCCGTCTCTACTAAAAATACAAAAAAATACAAAGAATTCACCAGGCGTGGTGGCAGGTGCCTGTAGTCCCAGCTACTCAGGAGGCTGAGGCAGGAGAATGGCGAGCTTGTGCCACTGCACTCCAGCCTGGGCGACAGAGCGAGACTCCGTCTCAAAAAAAAAAAAAAAAAAATAGATGAGGTCTTGCTCTGTTGCCCAGGCAGGAGTGTGGTGACATGACCATGCCTCATTGCAGCCTCCACCTCCTGGGCTCAAGTGATCCTCCCTGAGCAGCTGAGTAGCTGGGACTGCAGGTGTGCACCACCACATCTGGCTAAGTTATTATTATTTTTATTTTAGAGACGGGGTCTTGTCATTTTTCACAGGCTGGTCTTGAACTTTCAGGCTAAAGTGATCCTCCCACCTGAGCCTCCTGAGTGGCTGGGACTACAGGCACGAGCCACTACACCCGACCACAGAAACATTTTTAATGTTGTTAAATTTATCCGTCATTCCTTTATTGCTTCTGAATTTTGAGTCATTGTTGGGAAAGGTTTCCCCACTCCTAGATTTTAGAGCAATTGGCTCATGTTTTCCTTTAGTATTTATATGGCTTCATTTTTTACATTTGAATCTCTGAGTCATTTGGACTTCGTCCAGGTGTATGGTGTGAGAAAAGAACATAATTTTATCATTCTCCATATGGCTCTCAAACCGGTTATTTAAAAATCCATCTTTCCTTCATTGATTTGACAGGATGCCTCTGTCATAGACTAAATTTTCACATGCATTTAGATGAGTTTCCGGATTTCCTTTTGGGTTCCTGTGGTCTGCCTGCCTTTTCTTGTGCCAATACCATACTTTATAAACCTCAGAGGCTTTGTCATGTGTTTTAATATCTTGGTAGGCCCAACCTCCCTTCTTTGCTTTTTTTGGTGTGTGTTTGTGTGTGTGTGTGTGTGTGTGTGTGCGTTTTTTTTTTTTTTTTCCAGAGATTTCCTGGTTATTCTTGCTTGTTCTTCCAAATGAACTTGATAATCAGTTTATCTAGATGCAGAAAAAGACTGACGGTGTTTTCATTGGGGTTAACATTAACTTAGGGAGGATTAATATCTTTATGATGTTGAAGTCTCGTATCCAAAAACACTGTCTTTCCATGTGTTCCAGCCTCTACTTTTGTGTTTTCAGGAGTGTTTCATAATTTTCCTTATATAGGTTTTTGAACAGTTCTTATAGTTTATGTCGTATGTTCTTGTAGTCTTATAACTTTATCATGTATTATTTCTTGCCTTTTAAAATAAGCCTTCTCATATCTTCTATCTTTTTTGTGTGTAGATAAAGGCTATTAATTTTTGAATGTTGATATTATAACCTGCTATTTTACTAAATTCTCTCATTGGGTATAGTAATTTTCTTATTAATTCTTCTGGGGTTTCCAGATATATAATTATGTCATCTTTAAACAGCGACAATTTTACTTCTTTCTTTCCAATTCTAATTGCCTCTGCTTGCTTTCTCTTGTCTAATTCCTTCTGGCCTTGTTAAATAGCAATGGGGAAGTAGGCATGCTTGTCTTGTTCCTGTCTTTAGTGAGAGAGCCTCTAGCCCCATTAAGATGTTACTTTCATGCTTAGGTCAATTTTAATTCTACTGAGTGGCTTTAATGAACAAGAATGGTATGGCTGGGCATGGCAGCTCATGCCTGTAATCCCATCACTTTGGGAGGCTGAGGTGGGAGGGTTGTTTGAGGCCAGGAGTTCAAGACCAGCCTGAGCAACATAGAGAGACCCCCATCTCTACAAAATTTTTTTAAATGAATGAATATTAATATTTATTTAATGCCTTTTCTATATCTTTGGAGATGGTTATGTATTTTTTTCTCCTTAACTGTATGCTATTTTATATTAACTTCCTAGGAAGTCTTTTCTGAAGCATGCTCTGGTTAAGAATATTTCCTTCTCAATATTTCTCCACATTAAAAATCATCACTGACTAATCTCTGAGGTTGGAAAGATGAAGATGGTGCCCCTCTCCAAACCTATTTGCTCCAGCCCTCTGTAGAAGGCACAACAGTGCAGGGTTTAAGAGTCGGGGCGCAGGAGTGAGGCTGCCTGCTGTTGATTCCAGCTCTGCCACTTTCGAGGCGTATGACCTCAGGCGAGTTGCTTGATCTCGCTATGCTTTGTTTTCCTCATCTGTCAAATGGCAGTAATGAGAGCTCCTGTGTGGGTGAGGACTGCGGTGAGGATCAAATGGGTTATATACACTAAGCACTCAGAACAGTGCCTGGCCCACTAGATTGTTTTTCTTTCTTTATTCTAATTTTGTATAGGTCATATATTCATATGGTTCAAAATTACACCAACATGTTAGGGTGAAAAGTGTCCCTTCCATCCCTGTTTCAGTTACCCATTTTCCAACCAGAAACAGCTAATGAGGAATGTTTCCTGAGTAGCCTTGCGTAGACAGTATACAGATCATAGATGTTATCTATATAATCCACACAAATACTATGGCACCCACTTTTTACAGAAAAGGTAGCGTACTATACTATGTAGAATGGTAGCATTCCACATCTTGCTTTTTTCAATAGGAGACTGTCCCTATAAAATTCTGTAGGTGTTTTTTATTAGGATAGCACTAAAAAACTAATTTTTAATTTTCTAGTATCTAATTATGTGCTTAAATTTATTGACTGTGTAGAGGAGGTTTGACATCTTCACAATGTTGAATCTTCCTATTCAGGAGCAAGGTATGACCCACTGCAACCTTAACCTCATTAATACCTTACTCTGCCCCCCAACACTCATGGGCACACACATGCCCTACACTCACACTCACATGCCACTCATCTTCTTTCTACCAGGCCACTAAACACAATAGTATCAGGAGAAGACCAGCAAAGGGAGCGAGGATTTCTAAGGGGCTGGGAAAACCGAGGTCAAGTTCATTGGTGCCATGACCTTACCTGCTGGAAACCTATTTGAACTGCTCTTTGGCCAGGGGCATTTTGGCCATTGAAGTCTCATGGCTGGAGTCCAACCCAGAGAAAGGAGCTGTCGGAATGGGACTATCCTGGGGTGGGGATTTAGTCCAGTGCCCAGGGGGACCTCCACTTAATCTTAGGCCAAAGGACGTGGGTTCTCTCCTGAGCCACCAGCCAGATGGTGAGAGGGGTCCCAACTTAGCCAAGGGAATTCTGGGGGCTGGTTGGGGCCTGGGAACCTGGGAACCTGGACCTACTCGGACATGTTGAGGGCCAGCGCTGTCCAGTAGGCTTCCATGGGGGCTGTCACCACCGCGTCAAACAGCACCTCCCGGACCAGCTCCTCGTCACCTGGGTGCAAAACATCAGGGAACCAGGCCACATGCTTCCTCCATGCTCATGAACACAACTCTCCCATCCTAAGTTCAGGGAGAAGATGTGCTTCCTGAACGTGTCTATGGGACATGTAAAACTATCTCTGTGAGCTTGAGGGAGCTGCCTCACCTCTGTCTGTCTTCACTTTCTCAACTCCAAAAAATATGTCAGTACAACAGCTTGATATCTGAGGCTCTTTCCAATTGTAACATCTGATGAACTTAGGAGACCCTCAGTGACCTCAGGTTGGATCTTCCCAGTCTCCCCCATCTCAACTCTTCCTCATCTGCTTCTTAACCATCCAGACACCTTGGCCTTTGGTCAGTTCTGTGAATTTTTTGTTGTTGTTGTTGTTGAGATGGAGTCTCATTCTGTTGCCCAGGCTGGAGTACAGTGGCATGATCTTGGCTCACTTCAACCTCCGCCTCCCAGGTTTAAGCAATTCTCCTGCCTCAGCCTCCCAAGTAGCTGGGACCACAGGTGCACACCACCACACCTGGCTAATTTTTGTAATTTTTGTAGAGACAAGGTTTCACTATGTTGGCCAGGCTGATCTAGAACTCCTGACCTCAAGTGATCTGCCCACCTTGGCCTCCTAAAGTGCTGGCATTATAGGCATGAGCCACTGCCCCTGGCCAGTTCTGTGAATTTGACCTTGCCAAGCTCCTCCTTACCTCAGAGCCCCTATACATGCTGTTTCCCTTGATCTGGATATTCTTTTTCCCAGTCTTTGCATGGAGGCTCTTTCTTTTTCTTCTCTCATTTAAAAAATTTATTTATCTTTATTGAGGTAAAATTCACATAAAATGAAACTGACCAATTTAAAGTATGCAATTCAGTCAGCGGCATTTAGTACATTCACAATGTTGTACAACCACCACCTCTATTTAGTTCCAAAATATTTTTATCACCCCCCAAAGGAGATCCTCCTCACCTTGGTGAGGAGGTGTCACAATAGAGCCACCCAAGTGGCTTAACAGGATCTCCTTTAAAGCAGGCCTATTTCTCTCCCCTACAGCATCCTGTTCATGGCGCTTATCACAATTTATAACAACCTATATCTATATATGTAGGCTTATTTGCTTATCACCTGGCTTCTCCACTAGAATGTAAGCTCCATGATAGCAAGGGCCTTGTCTGGGTTATCTCTGTAGCTCTAATACCTACCCCAGGGCCTGACACAGGGTGCAAGCTCAGTACAGATTTGTTGATGAAATGAATAAATAAGTAAGTAAGTGCCCTGTTGGGTTGGCATGGGAGGCAGTCTTCTTATGCGGGTGACAATTATGTGACAGGATGACCTGCTCTTTCTTCCAAAGAGGAAGAAGGAGGAGCAAGCTGAGGATGTGGCCTAATGAGCTCACCACTCGCATTAGTGCAGGTGAGAAGGCCATGTGACCATGGAGCAGAGACTGAAGTGTCACAGCTGCAAGACAAGGAGCACCTGGGGCTCCTAGACCTGGAAGAGGTGAGCAAGGTTAGCCTGAGGAACTGGTTTAGAAAACAGAGCCCACAGGCTTCGAGTCATCTGGCCAAATGCTCCCCTTGTGGAGATGAGGACTTCTGGTGAAGAGTGGCAGCCATTTGCCCAGAGGTCCACTTCTAGACAGTGGTAGGGAAAAAGATGACAGACTCTGAATGGTGCTTTCTCCTGACCCTTAACAGAGCTTGGTGGATAGAGGCTGAAAAAGATCCCAGTCCCTGACCTGGGGATCCATACATGTTACCACAGTTCCAAGGGTGCTTAAATACCAGCTCAGCCCTGTGGTAAGGCTGGCTATGCCTTTTTCTTTGGGAATCTCCCTGTTTGATCTAAGCCATCCATGTGCTAATGGGATAGGGCTGTGCAGCAGCCTCCCCCTGCCTTCCCACCTCTCCTGGCAAAGTCCTGAACTTCAGGGCCCCAGAGGAAAAGCTTGCCTCAGTGGGCGGCCAGCACTCACACTCCAGGTCTGGGTCCTTCCTGGTGAGGAAGCGGATCATGGCCTCTAGCTGGCTGAGCTTCCGGTGGTCTGGGTCAATATCTGTGATGCAGTAGATCCTGAAACCCAGGAAAGTCAGTGTTATCTCAAAACATTCCACCTGTCTCCCTCCCATTTTTTACTCCTCACTTACCAGTCACCGGCCAGGGCCAGGTCTGGGTGAAGCAAGTCATGCAGGCCTGAAACCAGAGTCCACATTCAGGGTGATGCTCCCTCACTGCCATGAGGGTGTGTGTCTCAATTGTAGAAACAGCCACCCAGTGAGTTTCTAAAGAAAGGGACTGGGGTCTGTTCTTTCTTGCTCTTAGCTCACAGTAGGAGAACATGGCTAAGTCTGCACAGGTCCCACCTCCTGAAATGCTTTCTTCTCATTGTTTCATGTCCAAATCCTACCCCTTCTTCAAGGTTCAGGGCAAATGCCATGCCTTCAATGAGCTGCCCAGCCAGTGGGAGCATCTTTTCCTCCTGCAGCCCTCATGCCCCTCCTCCCCATCCAGGTTGGATTTGGGTTATTATGGGCATGTAATAACCTTGTGCTTCTGCCAGACAGCAGCTCCCTGAGGAAGCTGCATCTTATTCCTCCTAGCATCTCCCTCAAAGGGAGGTGATACTTTGAAACCAGTGATTTTGGCTTCATTGGCTTCATCCCCAGGATGGGCCCTGTGTGTTTTGCGGCCTCTCACCTAACACAGAGCCAGCCTGATCTCATGCTCAGTACACGCTGTTGACTGAAAGAACGATGAGCTGATGCTCCATGGCACCTACTCAGAGCTAAGAAATGAACAGGTGCTCCACTGAGGGTAAGTCCAAGGAGGGGATGACAGAAAGGCCAGTGGGGCATCTGTGGAGCCTCACAAGGGCTGCTGCTCTGATGTAGACACAGGGCAAGCAGCTGGAAGGGGAGCTCCCTTGCCCACAGAAGACCAGGAGACTCCGGGATTCCAAGCCCCTGACCACTGGAATGTCTCACTCCCAGGAGTGGGTATAAGACAGCACCCTCTGTCTCCTGGAGGAGTGCACCCTGGGAATATCTGGGCAGAGGAAGAAATGTGTAGGAAGAAGGAAGAAGGCACGATGGAGGCCTAGGGATGATGGGGAACAGAGGAGAGTGCCCCAGTGCTAGGATCTGTGCTGTGGAAGGGCAGACACAGCTTCCAGGTGAGCACACAGCTAGTGCCTGACTCAGTCCAGGTGCGGGAGAGGGGATCTACCAGGGGCAGCTCCCAGACAGATGACAGCTAAGCTGGGGCCTGAGAGTGGGTCAAAGTGTGCTGGGAGAGGAGGGCACTCCAGGGCAGAGCAAAGCAGCCAGGAGGAGCAGGCCCATCAGCAGTGATGTGGGCAGACTTGGCATTTCTAGGAAGATCCCTCTGGCTGAAGCTCAGAGAAGAAAGGAGTCAGGGAGAACAGCTGGAAGCTACTGTGGTTGTCCACAAGAGAGGTGACAATGACCAGGATGGTTGTAGGAAGGCAGGGTGATGAGATGTACTCAGCAGATAGCAGAGGGTAGTATGTGGGTGTTAAACAGAAAGTGGCCACCTCTTCCAGGGGTTCCTGGGATATCTGTGACCCCTGAGATAGGTTGTGGTCTCCTAAGGTGATTGGGCCACAGTAAGTCACCGGCAGGAGGGATGGGGTTGGATGGGGCTCTTCTCTCCCCGCCTCCACCACTGTTCTCTGCCATCTCACTTTGGTTCGCATCCCATAAGCTCCAGGTATGGGCTGAATTGTGTCCCTCAAAAGATATGTTGAAGTCCTGACCTGTGAATGTGACCTTCTTTGGAAATAGGGTCTTGGCAGAAGTAATCAAATTAAGATGAGATCATTAGGATAGGCCCTGATCCCATATGAGTGGTGTCCTTATAAGAAGAGGTAATGGAGACAGTGAGAGGCAGCTGAGGGGAGAAGGCCACGGGATCAGGGAGCAGAGACTGAAGTGTGCAGCTGCAAGACGAGGAGCACCTGAGGCTCCTAGACCTGGAAGAGGTGAGCGAGGACTCCCCTGGAGGCTTTGTGGGGAGCACGGCCTTTCCAACACCTGACTTGGGACTTCCAGCCTCCAGAACCGTGAGAGAATACATGTCTGCGGTTTTAGGATGCCATGTTTGCGGTACTTTGTGCTGGGAGCCTTAGCAAATGAATACAGGCTTCCCTCCTCTTTCTGGCCTCCTTTCTCATCACCTTTGCAGTCACCTGGCAGGGAAATTTCAGCTTTGAGCTTTGTTTAAAAAACATACTGCCTTGACGGTCCTTCTAGTCCAGCAAGGCCTCCCGGAAACTAGCAGTGCGGTTGGCAGGTCTCAGGCTCTGCTGGTTTGACGACAGACCCACAGATCCTGCATGCCCTGGGAGCCAGGGACACACACGCCCCTCTCCACCTGGCAGCATTGTTCTGAGAGGCTGCTCTGGAGCCTGGGAGCTGGGAGGCTGTCACACTGGCTCTGGTTGGGGTTGGCCCTGCCCAGTGTCCCATGAGAGCCCATTATTTTCTGCTTAACTGTCCCTCAGCCCCTGGTACCGACCCACCTTCTTCCACAGACGTGTTCCCCAGAAGGATGTATTCTCCGTGGCCCCGGGACAGCACCACCCCCAAACTGTGGGGAGAGAAGAGAAGGCACTCATTCAGCAGCAGCAGATGCCGGCCTGTCTCCCGGGCCTCGTCCTTGCCCTTACCAACACTAGGTGTATGGGCTTTTTGTACCCACGACGAGTGGTGTGCTCCTCATGCCCCCTTCTTTACCTCTGGCCTCACAGCCATCCCCTCCAGAACGGAGGCGGTGCTTCCAATTTCCCAGAAGCCTTCCTTCCTAAGCAGGACCCTGGCCATTCTGTAGACCAAGAGCCCTCTCAGCTCCCATTTTCATCAAGGGACACCCTGAAACTCACAGGCATCCCCTAAAATGTAGAACAGTCTCTCTGTTTCACAGGGGGTCCCACAAACAGGAGCTCCTTTTCCTACCCGGTGAGTCCTGCTGTGCCTTCCTCTCCTTGGCTGAACATCAGTTTTGAGCCTTGGCTGAATATCTGACTTTCTTGGGGAACTTTAAAAGATGCAAGTGCATGGGCTCTACCCCCAGAAATTGTGATTAAATTGGTCTGGCCAGCCTGGGCAACACAGCGAGACCCCAGCTCTAAAATTTTTTTTTTAATCAAAAAATTAATGGGGTGTGGTGGCACGCTCCTGTACTGTCCCAGGTACTCGGGAGGCTGAGGTGGGAGGATCGCTTGAGCCCGGGAGGTGGAGGCTGTAGTAAGCTGTTTGTGCCACGGCACTTCAGCCTAGGAGACGGGGTGAGATCCTGTCTCAAAAAAAACTGGTTTTGGATGAAGCCTGGGCAGTGGCAACTTCACATAATTCCTCAGGTATTCCAATGAGCAGTCAGGGCTGGGAACCAGGGCTTTACGGAGAAATCAGATAATTCAGAGGTAACGACCACTTGTTTTCTAATCTGCCTAATACCTAGAGCCAAATATTTCTACAGTTGCACGGAACCTGAGATCTTCCAATTTGCTCTTCTCACTGCTTTAGGATCTTAACTGGATGATATCACTTAATCTTCACAACATCACCAAAAAGCAGCAGTTATTGTCACCCCCATTTTACAGATCGAAATCTAAGGCACAGAGAAGTTAAGTGAAACTCAAAGACCTGTTAACAGAGTTGTAGGAGGCAGAGGTGACGCATCAGTAAAGCAGGGAGTGCTGGACCTCAGAGCCTCTTCTCAGAGACAGGGCTAACCGCCCTCGGGGAAATGACCTGTTAAGGCAGCTTGGCTGCTGGACGCTGATGAGCAGTGAAATAACAACAGCATCTGAAGGGGCGGGGCTTGCCTGGGGCCCACAGGAGCATAGCACAGGACATACACTTGACCAAGTTTACACAGCCTGTAAATGGTAGAGCTGGGGTTCACGTCCAGGCAGTTTGGCTCTGGAACCTGCATTCTAGGCTACACTGGCAAAGCAGGTCTACACCTCAAGTTTCCTGGATGCTGACCTGGGTCTTTTGCTATTACCACAAAATTGCCAACTAAATATGAGTTGCTGGTATTCATGTTCAACCCTCACCCCGTGCAAATAAAGCCTGTGTCCCTCACCTGAAAGGGGTGTCGCTGATGTCCGTGAAGAAGTAGTCATTGGTCAGGAAAAGAACTCGCTTCTGAAAGAGTAGACAAGGAAAGAGTGCTCACGCAGAGAAGAGCGGCCCCCAGCCCCCACCTCGCCCCCAGGGCTCTTGGGGTCTTCATCGTCACTGTACAGTCCCTCCGCCTTCTTGTCTCCTCCCTGACCAGCCCCTACACACCTCATCCTAGTGACACCCATAGGCAGATCCTCTCTAGGTGCAGCAAACTGCAGCCCTTTGGGGCGTGGCCTGGATTTCAGGATCAAGGTCTGGACCTGCACTGCCCATCACGATAGCCCCTAAGCAGCACTGAGCACTTGAAATGTGTGGCCAAGGAACTGAATTTTCAGATTTTAGTTGGCATAAATTTAAACTTAGTTAGCACATGTGGCTAGCGGCTATATTGGGCAGTGCTGATGTAGACCATGACTCTATGGTTCCTAGAGGGTTGAGGTTGGGGCTGTCAGTGTGTGCTAAGAACTTCTGGAGCCCATGTATACATACACAATCCACTTAAACCTCCTCGCCCTCAAAGACACCCAGGGAGAAGGGGTGCACCATTCTCCCTCCACTGTCATCCATGCCCGGGCCACGGGACCCTTTCACAACTTCCTTTTCCTTTCTAAGCTGCCATCTTTTAGCCTTGGTTTACTTTGTATAAACTAGGGCATCATGTAGTACAAAAGTGGCTAAGGGCATGGCTGGGCTTAGATGAACCAGGATTGAAGCCCAGCTCAGCCACTTTCGACCTGTGTGCTCTTGAGCAAGTTACTTCACTTCGAGTTCTCATTTGTAAATCAGGATTGTCCACGGCCTCTCTTGCACGAGGCTGCCGTGAGGGTGCATTCGGGGTGCTGAGGTTCTGTGGATTGTCCTGTCCACCACACAAGTTCATGTCATTGGGAAAGCCACATTTTGCAGTTGGCCCAGGACTTGTTCTTATTCCCTTTACTTCTTTCTGACTTTCCTTCTTTGATTTTGGAAACTGGAGCGAGGTGTCAGAAGGGACACAGAGAGAGAGGACGGCAACAAAAGCCTTGCTTTCTCTAGGAAACTGGCTTTATGCCAAATCAGAATGCACCTTTCACAAAACTGGACCCATCCCCTGGTCATGCCCTCTGGCTCCTCTGCCCAGTCAGACCCTCTCTGTAGCTTCTCTCTATTGCAGCGGTCGTGGGATGTCCTGGAAGATGTCTTGGGGGAGTTGGGTGCCCTGTGCTCCAAGGAGCAGCTGGCTGGAGTGTCAGAACTGGAGATCATTTTTTTATTTTTACTCTTTTTTTTTTTTTGAGATGGAGTCTCCCTCTTGTCACCTAGGCTGGAGTGCAATGGCGTGATCTTGACTCATTGCAACCTCCGCCTCCTGGGTTCAAGCAATTCTCCCACCTCAGCCCCCAGAGTAGCTGGGATTACAGGCACACGCCACCACACCCAGTTAATTTTTGTATTATTAGTAGAGACGGGGTTTCACCATGTTGGCCAGGATGATCTCAAACTCCTGACCTCAGGTGATCCACCTGCCTCGGCCTCCCAAAGTGGTGGGATTACAGGCGTGAGCCACCATGCTCGGCCTATCTTTTTTTTTAATTGAAGGAAAGGGTGGATGCACAGATCTTCCATGTATTACCTAATTAGCTTCGATACATGTATCCAGCCCTGTGATTACCAACCTGTCAAGGTACAGAACAGCCTCTCCAGTCTCTCTGCCTACCCCTTCTGGTCCATCCCATCCCACTCCTTCACAGGCAAACTCTGTTCTGGATTCTGTCACCATAGATTGGTTTTGCCTGTTCTTATAGTATGACACACACAAAAACTGCGTCTGGCTTCTTTTGTTCAAAATAATGTTTTCAGCGTCCGTCTATATTGCTGTCCGTCCAGTAGTTTGTTCCTTTCTGCTGCTGAGTAGTATCGCAGTGTGTGGACACGGCCCAGTATGCTTCTACGCTCATCGATTGATGGATATTTTGGTATATTTCAGTTGTTCCTCCTTTGGGGCTATAGTGAATAAAGCTACCATAAATATCCTGGGACATGTGTTTGCATTTCTCTTGGTAAAAATCTAGGAATGGAATCTGGATCACATGGTAAATGTATGTTTACCTTTATAAGACAACTGCCAATTTCCCAAAGGTGTTTTGCCATTTTATGCTCCTATTAGCAATGTCTGAGAGTTCCAATTTCTCCACAGCGCTGCCAGTATTTGGTGTTATTAGTCTTTTAAATTTTAGCCACTATAGAGAATCTTGCAGTTTTTTGGTTTTTGTTTTGTTTTGTTTTGTTTTGACAGAGTCTCACTCTGTCGCCAGGCTGTCTCACTGCAGCCTCAGCTTCCCGGGTTCAAGCAATTCTCATGCCTTAGCCCTTGAGTAGCTGGCACCACAGGCACACACCACCATGCCCAGCTAATTTTTGTATTTTTAGTAGAGACGGGGTTTCATTATGTTGGCCAGGCTGGTCTTGAACTCCTGGCCTCAAGCGACCTGCTTACCTCGGCCTCCCGAAGTGTTGGGATTAGAGGGATGAGCCACCGTGCCCGGCTAAGTCTTGTAGTTTTGATTTGCATTTCTCTGATGACTAATGTTGAGCATCCTTGCACAGCTTCCTTTACGAAGTGTCTGCTCAGTGCTCTGAGCATTTTTTATTTGGCTTTAGTCTTTTTGTTATTGCTTTGTAGGAGTTCTTTATGTATTTTGGATACAAGTCTGCCTGCTTTTTCATTTTCTTACTGGTGCCTTTTGAGGAGCAGAACTTTTACTTTCAATGAAGTCTAGTTTATCAGATTTTATTTCATGTTTAGTGCTTTCTGTGTTTTTGCCTAGGAAATCTTTGCATATCCTCAGGTTGAGAAGATTTTCCCCTATTTTTTCTTGTAAAAGCTTTACAGTTTTAGCTTTTACATTGAAGGTTATGATTCATCCAATTAGTTTTTGTATGTGGTATGAGCTATGGCTCAATGTTTCCCCTCCCCCATACATTTATTCAGTTGTTCTAGGACCATCTGTTGAAAAGATTGCCTTGCTCCAATGACACTCCAAGGTGTCTTGATTGAAAAATCAATTGATAATATATGTGTGGGCTATTTCTGGGTTCTCTATTCAGGTCATTGACCCATTTGTCTATTCTTTGGTCAATACCACCCAGCTTGGTTATTGTAGCTTTATAGTAAGTTTTGAAATCAGATACTGTGAATTGTCCAAATTTGTTCTTCTATTTCAAGATAATTTTGCCTATTCTAGGTCCTCTGCATTTTCATATAAATTTTAGAACCAGCTTGTCTGTTTCTAGGAGTCTGTTCAAATTTTGATCGGATTGCGTTGAATCTATAAATCAATTTGGGGAGAATGAATGTGTTAACAATACTGATCTTAACCCATAAACAGAGTTATATCTTTCTATATTTACTTTTTTCTTTGATATTCTTTCCGCAATGTTTTGTAGTTTTCAGTGTAGAGGTCATATATACGTTTGTTAAATTTATTCCTAAGTATTTTATGTTATTTGATGCTATTGTCATTGGAACTTTAAAATATTTCATTTTCTTTCTTTTTGGAGAAAGACACTTTTCGTTAGCATTGTTACAGGCAATGCATTATGTGAGCTGGTCCTGTGTACAACCATCCCAAGCCACAGCAGACACATCAGTAGATAATATCTATCTAATATTGTACACAGCGCAGAAACAGGATCACCCTGAATGTCAACAGAAGACTGAAAATCACTTTACAAAAAAAAAAAAATAATAACACCCATTTTCATATTTTAAAAAGTGCCAGCCCTTGAGCAGCAGAGTTTCGGAAATGCGGGAGGACATGCCACCAGGTGCCTTCGCTGGAACGTGGCCGCCAGCCGTGAGTGGCCGGGCCCATCCCGTCCAAAGACAAATGTCTGGAGTGCTTCCGCTCATCTTTAAAAGGCGGCCAGGCCCGTTTATCTTTGGAGTTCTTCTGTCTTAGGATTTTCCCTCTCTACTGTTTGTAATTTCATGAGCATGTCAGCCTAACGGTGAGCCGACCTTCAGGCTCCTAAGCGTGAAGGCCGGAGACTCTCCCTTTGTAAGGCTTAAATCTGAGTGCAGCAAAGAATGAGGAAACCAACCCCGGACATTTTAAAGTCGAATGACAATGGAGCCAGTGCCAATGTTGAGAAGCACTACCACCGTCCCTTAGAGTTCTATTTTGGTAAATACGAATGTTTAACCAGTTGGCAAAATATTTAACCCAGTTAGCAAAATTAACACCGTCATTTCCATAGTTACTCTGCCGTGTATGGCAAATGCTGCAAGATGAACATCCCATTTGATGAAGCACATTTGAGAAATGTTTGCCAGAAAGTGTGCCTCTGTCTCAGGACCCTAAGCCCAGGGGGATGAACAGAGACCCCAGCAGCTCTGTGCCTGCTGCCGTGCGGGTGACTCCTCTTCCTGCCGACAAGGTGGGCGATGAGAACGAGGAGGCCCAGTCCCACCAGGGCGCCGCCGACGGCGATGGGGATCGGCGTGTTGTTCTCGCCCAGCAGACGCTCCTCCGCAGATCCGAACTGGTTGCCTTCCACCTTGAAAGCCTGGCCCCACACTGGGAATATGTTGATTGAAAACGCCTTCGTGCCGCGGACACGCTCCGCTCCGGCTGTAGAATTGCCGATGGCTGCCCGCAATGCTCGCAGGGAGTCGTTGGCAGCTTTAAAAGTGGGGTCTCTGGGGTCAGGAAGAGTCGTATTCAGCTGGATTCCTCGTAGGAAAATCCGGCTAGAACCTGCATTCATCCCCAACCGGAAGCCCAGGACCGTGGTGCCCTCGCCGCGCCGCTCCCGGGTCTCCAGGTGGGCGCCGCGCTCCCGCTGGCTGAGGTCATGCCCAGGTCACCGTCGCGTGGTCCCTCCTCTCTGGGTGAGGTTCAGCTGCAGTCCCGCGCTGGCCGGCAGGCAGGCCCCGTGGGTGCCGCTCACGCTGTACCTGGCCACGGAGGGGAGAAGGGGCTCTCGGCGCCGTGGCGGGGAAGGCGCGTCTTGCTCGTGGCGCGTCTCTCCCTTGCTGAAGCTGCTGTTGGAAATCTAGGCCTGGATCGGGGCACCGCGGAGCCTGATGGTCTCGCTGTTCGTGCGGACCTGGGGGCCTTGATATCTGGTAGAGATTCCACAGTCCTGATTTCCTTGGAGCTTGCACTGAGGAAAATGTGTGTGTCTGACAAGTTGTAAACAAAACTCATGAGCTGGACGCTGTCACGTGTCGCACTTCTTGTGAAATGGAAGGTCAGTGTCTGTCTTCCTCCAAAGCACAATCGCGTGCCTGGGGTCGGAAGTGTTCTCTTTACTGCAAGAGCCACTGTCAAGCACTTCCGCATTGGATGGCAGGTCAAAGGTCACATTCTTAGAGCCACTCTTAGAGTCGTAGTTCATCGAGAAGGCAGCGAAGCTGGCCATTACGCAGGCTGTCCCGTTGCCCTTTTTCACCGCATCCGCTGCGGCTGCACCACGCACGAGGCCCAGCAGCAGCAGCAGCACCAGGGGCAGCCGGGGGCTCCACCAGATGCAGCCCGGGCGGCAGGCGCGAGGGGAGCCGGTGTGTGGGGAACCGGGGCGCGGGGAGGCGGTTGCGGGGCGCTGGCCTGAAGGACGGTGGCGTTCCTGGACCAAAAATATTCCATTTTCTGTTTGCTGCTATATATGCAAATAACATTAATTTTTATAAAATCGTGTTCTCTGAACTTGCTAAACTTACCTATTAGTTCTAGTGTTTGTTTTGTAGATTCTTGGGATGTTCTATGGAAACAATAATTTTGTCCCTGAATGAAGGCAGTTTTACTTCTTCCTTCCTTGTCTTTGTGCCTTTTATTTTGTTTTCTTGCCTTACTGCAGGGGCTGGGACCTACAGTGCAAGGCTGAATAGAAGTGGTGAGAAGTCCTCCTTGCCTTGTTCTCAATTTTAGGGTGAGAGTGTTCAATATTTTACCATCAAAAGTTAGCTCCAGGTTTTTCATAGGTGCCTTTCATCAGAGGGAAGAAGTTTCTTTCTGTTCTTAAATTTTGTCAAATGCTCTTTTAGCATCTATTGAGATTACCCTCTATCTTTTCTTTTTTATTCTGTTAATGTAATAAATTGCACTGACTGATTAATTTTTTCAATGTTAAATTAACTTTAAATTTTTGAGATAACTCTGCTATGTGCTATTGTTGCCATATAATTTACACTTACATATATTACAAACCCCACAATGCAACATCGAAACTTTTGCTTTAAATAGTCAGTTGTCTTTTTGAGAAATTAAGAGAATAAATAAAATATAGTCTTTTATTAACCCACATTATTTATCATTTCCAGTATGGTTGATTCTGTCCTGTAGACCTGCAGTTGATGTCACTTTATTTCAGCCTAAAGAATTTTCTGAAGCATTTTTGCTGCTGGTCTTGATAATAATGAAACCTCTGTTTCCTTCTATCTGAAAATGTCTTTTTTTGTTGTTTGTTTTGGAGACATAGTCTCACTCTGTTGCCCAAGCTGGAGTGCAGTGGCATGATCACAGCTCATTGCAGCCTCAACCTCCTGGGCTCAAGTGATTCTCCCGCCTCAATCTCCTGAGTAGGTGGGACTACAAGTGCATGCCACCACACCTGGCTAATTTTTTTTTTTTTTTTGTATTTTTTTGTAGAGATGGGGTCTCCCTATGTTGTCCAGGCTGGTCACGAACTCCTGGGCTCAAGTGATCCTCCTTCCTTGGCCTCCCAAAACGCTGGGATTACAGGTGTGAGCTACTGCCCCGGCCTGAAAATGTCCTTACCGAAGACATTATCCTTATTTTTGAAGTGTATTTTCTCTTTCTACAGAAATTTGAGTAGACAGTTTTTTCTTCTCTTGGCACTTTAACGATGTTATTTTGTTGGTTCTTATATACAGCAGTCTTATTGTTTCCCTTTATGTAATGCATCTTTTTTCCTTTAGCTTTTTTGAAGATTTTCTCTTACCTTTGGATTTTAGTAGCTGGACTATGAAGTACCCAGATGTGGTTCTCTTTGTCTTTTTATCCTGCTTGGGGTTTGCTGAGATTCTTGGATCTGTAGATTGCTGTTTTATGTCAAATTCAGGACATTTTTGACAATTAGTTTTTCAAATATGCTTTTTTTCTGCTTGAGTTTTTCTCCTTACCTTCTAGGGCTCCAAGAACATGTAATTAGACCACTTGATACCATCTCACAGGTTGCTGAAGTTCTGTTTCTTTCTCTGTCTTTTTCCCCATTTTCCCCCTGGTTTTTAAATTGGATAATTTCTACTGATCCATCTTTAAGTTCACTGTCCCTTTATTCTACAACCTGCTGGGAAGCCTATCCAGTAAAGCTTTCGTTTCAGATACGGTACTTTTTGGTTTTAAAATTTTCATTTGGAAGCATAAGAAACAACAGCTAAAATAAAAAGTGACTAATACCTTCTGCATAGCAAACAATCAATAAAATGAAATGGCAACCTATGGATTGGGAGAAAATATTTGCACATTTTATAAGGGACATAAAAATCTTATAAAATATATGGTTTGCAAATATTTTATAATATCCGAAATATATAAGGAACCCACACAACTCAACAGCAAAAAAACCAAAAAACAACACCACCACCCCACACATCCAAATAATCTGATTTAAATATGGACCTGAATAGACCTTTCTCAAAAGAAGACATAAAATGGCCAACAGATATTTGAAAAGCTGCTCAACATCATTGATCATCAGAGAAATGCAAACCCAAACCACAATGAGATGCCACCTCATACCTCTTAGGATAGCTTCTACCAAAAAGACAAGAAATAAGTGTAGACAAGGGTGTGAAGAAAGGGGAACCTTTGTACACTGTTGGTGGGAATGTAGGTTGGTGCAACCACTGTGGAAAACAATATGGAGGAGCCTAAAGAAATGAAAAGTAGAACTGCCATGTGACCCAGGAGTCCCACTTCCATGTATATACCCAAGGGAAAGGACATCACCACCTCATAAAGATACCTGCACTTCCATGTTCATTGCACCATTGATAGCCAAGATATTGAAACAACTGAAGTATCTGTTGATGGATGCATAAAGAAATTGTAGTGCTTATAAATACAGAGGAATATTATTCAGCCTTAACAAAGAAGGAGATTCTGCCATTTGCTACAACATGGATGAACCTAGAGGACATTATGCTACGTGAAATTAGCCAGACACAGAAAAAAATGCTGCGTGATCTCACTTATATGTGGAATCTAAAATAAAAATGGAATACATAGAAACAGAGAAAAATGGTGGTTACTAGCAGCAGGGGAAGGCACGGTGGGAGGTGGGGAATGAGAAAACGTTGGTCAAAAGGTACCATGTTGTGATTATCTAGGATGACTAAGGCTAGAGCTCTAATGTACAACATGAGGACTAGAGTTCATTGTATTGTATTGTATTGTACACTGGAAACTGGCCAAGAGCACAGAGTTTAGGTGTCCTTACCACACACAGGCTAAAGCAAAGGTAACTATATGAGATGATGGGTATGCTAATTTGCTTGACTGTAGTCATCCCTTCACTTCACTTTGTATATCAAGATAAGTACAGTTGGTCCTCCCATATCCACAGGTTCCACATCCCTGGATTCGATCAACTGTGGATCAAAAAGTATTCCAGAAAAAAGGATAGTTGCATCTGTACTGAATATGTACAGACTTTTTCTGTCATTATCCCTTAAACAATACAGTGTAGCTATTTATATAGCAATTACACTGTATTAGGTTTTATAAGTAATCTGGAGATGATTTAACGTATTAGGGAAGACTGTGTAGATTACACATAAATCTACACCATTTAATAGAAGGGACTGGGGCATCCATGGATTTTGGTATCTTTGGGGTGTCCTGGTCCAATCCCCATGGATGCTGAGGGATGACTGCGCATCACGTTGTGCACCTTAAATATATACAATCGAAAAGCAGGTCTAAAGCAAGAAAAAAATTCCTGTTTGGTTCTTATAATGATTTTGTACTGTGTCAAATTAGCTAAGCTGGAACTACACTTCCAGACTCAATGCCCAGTGTGGTTTCGAGTCAGGGTCAGCCAAAGAGAAGTGTGTGTGAGATTTGCAGACAGAAGTGCAGCAGTAGCCGTTTTGCACACTGAAGTCCGCACAGAATACCAGGCTCTGCCACTCTTTGCTGTAACCTACCGTCGTGCTTTCTAGGCATGGGCCGAAGCCAGATTCAAAGCCACCCGCTGCTGCTGGCTCTCCTCCTTCAGTTTCCCTGAGACCTAACCTGGTGAGGATGCAGCTCCTCATGGAAGGCACTGGCTCCGTCTGCGGGTCATCTGCCATCCTGATGGGTAGAGTTGGTGAGTGACAGATGTGGGTTTCAGTTTGTTTTCACGGATTCCTGTTTTTCCTCTTGAGTTCCAGTTCGTTCTTGCTTTCTTCCACATCTCATCCAGCTTTCCTTCCCAACTGCTGGTCATGCTGACCTACAATGACTTCAAGCTCACCATTGGATGCAGACACCAGCTTTCCATAGATTTCATAAACAGCTCCCACAGTTTCATAAGGTCTAATCCCTACGATAAAATCCTACATTCTATCACTCCCAGGGGCTCTGTTCTTTGACCAAGCCCTAACCATTTCTCCGCTGAGATTCTCCATCTGTTCCCTCATTATGAACATCTTTTCCTTTACACAGTTACAATGTCTGCACTAAAGTCATTCTAATTCTAACAGCTGGGTCATAACACTTTTTATTATATACTGGATATTTGAGGGGTAGGCTGTAGATACTCTTGTCTTCCTTTGAAGGTGTTTTTGTATTAAGCAGTAGTTAAATGATGGGTTGATAAGAACTGAGCATATAGAGGCTTGAATTCACATTTTGTTTGGGTGGGTCTGTCTCAGCTTTGTCTTTAGGCCTAGGGCGAATCTCTTGGTCGTGGGACAGTCTTTACTCCTAAGGTGTAGTTCTTCTGTGCTTTCAAAGGAAATCCTGAGGTGTTTACCAAGCCCCTCCACCTCTGTGTGACTCACACTCCAAACTGTCCCTACTACACGTGCAAAAGCTGAGATCCCGTGTTGAGATCCTGCTCTGGAATCCTGCTTTCGGCTTTCCGTGTTGCATTCCACTGGGGCACCTCGAGGCTTCCCTGTGTCTGCAGGGCTCAGGAGTCAGCCAGGAATTTCAGAGGAGTTTGTAAACAGATTTGGGGTCTAGCCTCCCTGTGGCTCGCTGCTTCTGGGCTAGCCCTCCTCATTTCCAGACACTCTGGAAATGCAAATTCTGTTCTCTGACACTTCACGGTGACAACCTTGCAGCCTTCTGCTTGAATTCTAGCTGTTGCGCTCCAGACAGACTGGGGAGTGCCCTTTGGGAAAAAGAGCCATCAAAACGCATATCACACCCAATGCAGTTCTCTTGATTCAAGGGTTGTTGCTGCCTGCTTTTGGTCGCTTTCAAGTGCCTTTCCGTTTTTGTTTTTTGTATTTTGTTCAGAGTTTATAATTGTTATCTGCTGAAGGGTGAGTCTAGTCAAGCTACACCTTACTCAAATGAACTTTGAGATCACCTTTTAAGGCTGAAGTAAAAGGAAGAGAGAAGGGGTGTGGGGGGTTGGGAGGGGGTCTGTGAATTCTGTTAACAGAAAGAGAGAGCGCGAGAGGTCTGGAAGACGAGGCTGGGAGTAAAGAGGTATCTGAGCAATCTGCTCCTTTAATACACTGACTCCTTCTGCCGGACAAAAATGTGAGGGGAAGAGAGAGAGAGAAAGACAGTGTAAGAGCACGTCACAGAGTACTCTAGCCCTGTGTTCCTGAAATCCAGGGTGCAGGGATTCAAGGGCACTGGAGGAACACGAGGCAAAGCTGCTCTGAATGCCAGCCGCTGGTGTGTGTGTGTATACGTGTGTGTTGCTGGTGGTGTGTACGCACGTGTTGCTGGTGTGTGTGTACGTGTGTGCTGCTGTTGTGTGCATATGTACACGTGTGTTGCTGGTGTGTGTGTACACATGTGTGCTGCTGGTGTGTGCCTGTGTACACGTGTTGCTGGTGTGTGTACATGTGTGTGCTTCTGGTATGTGTGTGTACACATGTGCTGCTGGTGTGTGTACAAATGTGTGCCACTGGTGTGTGTGTACACCTGTATGTTGCTGGTGTGTGTGTATACGTGTGTGCTGCTAGTGTGTGCATGTGTACACGTGTGTTGCTGGTGTGTGTACATGTGTGTGCTGCTGGTGTGTGTGTACACGTGCTGCTGGTGTGTGTACAAATGTGTGCCACTGGTGTGTGTACACCTGTATGTTGCTGGTGTGTGTGTACACGTGTGTGCTGCTAGTGTGTGCATATGTACATGTGTGTGTTGCTGGTGTGTGTGTACATGTGTGCCACTGATGTGTGCGTGTGTACACGTGTGTGCTGGTGTGTGTACGTGTGTGTTGCTGGTGTATGTGTGTACACATGTATGCCGCTCGTGTGTGCATGTGTACACGCGTGTTACTGGTGTGTGTACACGTGTGTGCTGCTGGTATGTGTGTACACATGTGCTGCTGGTGTGTGTGTACACGTGTATGCAACTGGCATGTGTGTACAATACACGTGTGCTGCTGGTATATGTACATGTGTGCTGCTGCTGTGTGTGCATATTCATGCGTGGACTCCAGTCAGTGCAGTTAATTTGGAAGAACCCAGAGGCTAGGAAGGAACACTCTGTCTGCCCCTTCCCTCCCCCATTGCTAATTATTGTTTGAAATGATCAAAAACGAGAATGACAGAACGACTCCTAGGTTAGACTCCAGGACACTTTGCTCTTCTGCTTTCTTCTTTTAAACTTGTGTCTGAGGGTGTCTGGCCAGCATGCTGCTGATGGGTTAGAAATTGTGGCACCTGTTACTGGTCTGCAATTTGGGACAAAACCCCTGCCATCAAAGTGGCAAATGGGAGGCCCGCCAGCCAAAACTGGGCTTCTTACGAGTTTAACATCCTAGATGTTGGCCCAGGTTGTGTTTTTAACATTTTTGGAATGAGTTGCACATGTTTCAAACATGGGTCTTAGCCGTCTCCTGCAGATGGTGTGTGTTCTCTCATCTGCCACAGTTCCCAGAGCCCCCTGCACGGAGGCCTGTCTGCTTCTCTTACTCGTGTTTATTAACAAATACAAGTTTGGCCCCATAGGTTTCTGGGTTTGTGAGTCCTGCCTTAAATCATGCTGTTGACGTGTGGAAAATAAGGATACCTATAAAATCCCCTGGAGAAAACAACACGGCAGGCGGTCCTGTACCGGGAGATGGCTCGAACAGTAACAGTTATTCCCACAAGGCTTTTAGAAAGCTTTCCTCAGCCTAGACCTAGACCTGGAGACGGTTTCTACTGAGAAACCAGCTCGTAAGTTGAGACACACCACTGAGCTGAGAGGGAGGGCTGGGATAGATCAGCAGGCAGGCCGACCATGGGGCGGTTGGATGGCTCTGTGAGAGCTGTGTGGAGGAGACAGGGCCTTTGGCAGTGAAGAAAACGCAGCCACTTTGGGGATGAGTGGCAGCCTAAGACATCAGAGCAGTGAGAGCCAGACACTGCCTCGGCGGCCCCACACCAGCAAAATGCCCTGCACAGAGTGGAGGCTGCCAGGCTCCTGGGGTCAGGGTGAAGAGATGGAGGATGAAGGAGGACTGTGTGGTGATAGAATGGGGTAGAGGGAGAGGAGAAGGCGATGAGTGTTCAAGGTGGAATAGAAATGCTATGCTAAAGCAAACTCTGGGAAACCTTTAAGGCTGGAGAGTTGAGAATTCAGGGCCAGTCCTACAGAAAAGGCCTTCTAGAGCAGTGGTTACGAATGGGAGATCTCGGAGCAGTTACACATGGGCTTTGCAGTTGATCATCTGGGTGACCCTGGGCAAGTTTTTAGCCTCTCTGAATATCCTCATCTGTCAAATGGGGATAGGATAGGCCCACCCTCAGGTTGTGAGTGTTCAATGAGTGAATACTTGACAGCGCCCAGCCCAGTTTCTTATAAATGTTAGTTTCCATCATTATTATTAGCTGTACTAATAGTAGTAAGACATGAACCCCTAAGTGCCATGGAACGTCCATTATGGTCATGATCGTCGTCATCCTCATTGAACGTTCTTTATGTTGAAGCACCCGTATATCAGGAAGCCTTTGCGAAATTGCAAATATGTAACCCAGATGGTCTATTAGTAGCAATGAACAAACTTTGAAAGGATGGGCAGAGGTTTCAGAAGTTCAGCCTACTGCATTTGGTTAGGACTCTGCCTCAGTGGCTCTGAGAAGCATAAAAGCAGCACGAGATTCCTGGGCACTGGGGGAAAGGGTAGAAGAGAACCACACCCACTGCATGTGTCAGTCTGTATTAGATACAGTATAGCCACATTCAGATCTACCTTTAAGCTGTCCTGTGCCATAAGCAGACTAAATTCTTCATTGTCAGTTCAGTGCTGTGGCCGTGCTGGGCTCCATGAGAGCTCATCTGTGCATGTGATCAGGAATCTGGTTGGGATAAAGGTGGGTGCCTGTGGAAGAAGCCTCTGTTCTTTTGGATCAGGAGAAGGAACAGCTGCCACTGGTGGTCTGACCTCACTATAGTGCCCAGTCTGCCTGCAGGAGGCCTTTCTCAGCCCAGAGCTTACAAAAAGCCAGGCAGATGCCACCAAAATCAGACACTGGTCCCAGTGAAAATCAGTCTGGCCTAAAAGGGATGCTTCCTTGTCTCTCCCTGTGCTTTCTTGTTTGGCTTTCATGGAGGTCTGTGTTGTGGAAGAACTTGGGTCTAATTGCTGCAGGCAGATGCCTGTGCTCTTTCAGCTGAGGCAGATGGGCAGGGGAGGAGGAGGTGGGGGTGGCTGTGAGGGAGGAGGTGACATTTGTAAATATGTCAAGGGACAATGCAGAATCAGTAGACACATTGGAACCTTTTAAGTGAGAAGATGAAATGATCTTTTATAAACGATGCACATGGTTGTAAAGATAGTAATGGGATTAGTGAGGGCATTGATTCCTAACTATCTGGGAATGACAGTGGATGAAAATCAGCTGTAGGGAATAGTGAATATTTCAATCTCTTCCTGTATAACACTTCACAAGAGCTGCTTACCATTTACAAAATCAGCTGTCACGTTTCCCCTTTTCATTATAAACAACAAAAGGGCCAGTAGCAGGCAGCATAAGGAGGAAAGAAGAGCTGTAAATGCCTTGGCCAGCTTTCTCCCCAGCTCAGCGGTCTCCCAAAAGCCAAGCATTGCATGAGCAATCCTGTCATTCCCTGGCTAGGTGTTTCTCCAGGGCCAATGCACCCTGCGTATACTCCCTAATGGACCCTCTAGGTGCAGCAAGCACTCAACTCTTCAGCTATAATTAGGCTAAGTCCAGGTCCCTCGTCACTACTCCAAACCCAATTAATGAAGATGCCTTCCTAGGCCATGCCCTGGCTGTTTCTAGCTCCTTACCCCTTTATCCATCGGAACCTTCACATCCATCGAGAGAGTACCTGTTTCCCTATTGATCATGGCTGTTCTCAGCTTCAGGAGGAAAGACAATGGCATTAGTTCCTTGGCTCACAGGGGATGGTGAAAGTATGGCATTCTTCAGACCAGATTAGAGGTGATCCCCAGAAACACTTTTGGTTCTTCCCTTTTTCCTCTGAGAGAGATACCAGGAGGGAAGATGGACCTGACTCTAAGCTCCATCTAGCTCATAATTCCAGGCATTCACCAAGATCCCACTCCCATGTGCACTGATGCATTGGGGTACAGAGTGCCAAGTTGCTGGGACATAATTTCCTCTAGGACGAGATATTGCAATCAAAAGCCAGGCTAAAACATCACTAAAACTCAGACTCTGCAGCTTATACACATGATCTCATCCAGCCTCAGTAGTCCTTGTGATTCAAGAAGATATTGTTATATTTTTATAGTTGTTAAAAGAATTGCTCATTTTAGGCATTGCTTGTGGCTTGAGCTTGGAAAGGCTCTGGGATGAACCTGTTCTGCCTGACAGGAACAGAGTGACCTCAAAGCTCACAGCCACACAGCTGACCCATTTAGTTGGATGTAGAGCCTAACTAGCTTCCCTTCCCCCTATTTTCCCCACTCACAGATTCAGCCTGGTCTTCCCACTCCACTTCGGAGAGATCCACACTGTTGTAGTTAGGTTTGGGTTTTAGTTTCTTCCCCTCTCTGTACTGGAGTGGGCAGGTCAGGAAGAAAAACATGTGGTCAGTATACGTCCTGCTCAAGTTTATCTCTTCTACAAAGCCTTTCAGGTATATTCATAAAAGCAAAGGATTCCTTAGAAATCAATCAATCCAGTAATTACTTAAGGTTATCTGGGCAAATTCCACCTGATACAGAGCTCCCCTTACTGACATCTATGACAGATGGTCTCACGGCCTCTGAGTGAATCTTCCCCATGGCAGGGAGCTCCCTATCTCGTGGGTCAGCTTGTTGGAGCTTTGGATAGCCCTAATTGTTAGAAAGTTCCTCCTCACACAAAGCTGAAATCCATCTCCCTGTTACTTCCATCCACTGATCTTCCTTCTTTCCCCTGGAGCTGCATAGAATGTGTTCCACCTGACAGCCCCTGGGATTTCCAAAGATACTTGTCACGCCTAAGACTTCACTGCTCCAACTGAGTTTGCCCGGTGTGCAGGTGCCTCAGCTCCCTCTGAATATGTTGTACTTTGTCTTCAATGTCACTCTCAAAATGGAGTTCCCAGGACAAAAGCCAACCTTCCAAATGGGGTCTGACCAGTGTGGCGTGGGCTGTGATCTGTGCACTAAGGCGTCAGGGGGCCCTGACTGCTGCCTGCGGTTCTGCTGTTTTCCTGGCCAGCCGCACTGACCTGGCAGTTCAGGCGGAGATTTCAGACAGTTCAGTCCCCTTGGTCTTCCTCATGGGACACACTGTCAGGTCCCTCTTCACAATCGTAAGCTTGGGCACTGAGTATTTCGCAGAGCTCTCCAGGCATCCCTAATATATTTCATCTTGCTAGTTTCAGCCCCTTTGTTTTAGGAGACTGCTTTCTGAATACTAATTTTCTCATTTAATGTATTAGCCATACCTTCCAGACTTTATGGCATCTGCCTTCTGCATTTTCATCTTAGGGATAAAATATTTGAATGGGACGGAGACAAGGACAGATCAGTGCTTAATAAAGACCTCCCTTCAACTTGACATACAGCCATTAATCAACATGCTGAGTGTTATTATTTTCTGGCCCTGACTTCTCTCTCTCTGAAGCCAAGACAGATGTCACCAAGTTATCTATGATTAGGTCTGCAGCACTTCCCGGGTTTAGTTTATTAACCCCAATCAAAAAAGCAAAGAGGATAGTTTATCATTGAGGTAAATTAAGGATTAATTAACATGTCTGCTTTGAGCCAAATGAGGCCCCCAGCAGATGCCTGGACAGCTCCGGTCCCCTATCACTGTGTATCTTGCTTCCGCCAGTTTTTTGTTTGTTCACTTTTTTCGGGGAAGTGTCGTGCTGATTTCTTGCCTGTTCAGGGGATCTGTAGGATCCCCTTTCCCCTCTTTCCCTCCTTTCCCATGCCTGGATCATGCTTCTTGGTCTTATTAATGACCATACTCATCAAACAGCCCTGTCCTGCCATCTTTTACATGGGATCTGTTTCCTTTGGGTGGGGCTCAACATTCCATTGCCATTTCCTAAATCCTGACAAAGCCTGAAGATCATCTGTAGCTCCTCATTTTAAAACTGCAATTCTACTCCATTAAATACTCCTACATGGGGCACTGACATGGAAAGATTTCAGTCCAATGGCATGGCTCTTTTAATTTATTACTGGGCATATCCTCGTTATTTTTTCTTTTTCAAACGTAACTATTGTTTTCCTGATAGTGCTTTCCTCAGATAACTCATTACTTTGGCTTTGCTATATCTTTTGTTTTGTAATCGTGTCCTGTGTGGTATTATTCCCTAATTGTTTCATTTGTGTAAGTCTAGTTTTCCTAATTAGAGTACAAGCCTCTGTTTATAGCATTCTTCACTGCATCGTGAGGTCAGGCACGAGGAGGCCCACAGTGTGAATCCACTGGTTGAAGCCTTATATTCGTCTAGAGTACATAGATGGTAACAGGCAGTTTATGATCAGTACCCCTCAATTCTACAAGTCAGCTCCAGAATCAGCATATTATTTCCCTAGTGAGTCATTCTGCTGGCACTGGGGCTGTCCCCCGCAGAACCCCTTGGTACAAGGGAGTGACATGTTATGGGCTCAGATGCTTGCCCAGCAGAGCCTGATTTGGAAGACAGCATGAACAGAGTGGCTTCCAGTGTGCCCTGATCTCTCTCTATTCAGAACCCCTAGAGTTTGCCTTAAATAGTTAATCATTGCCTTGCAGATATTCAGTGTCTATTTGAACCAAATGGAATGAATGGAGTGTGGCTTAGACTGACCTCTCCAAATGACACCTGGGCAGATGAGGCCCTAAGTTCTCCGGAAGGTGCTCTGCTGTCTGTCCTCTGTTGCCATCTGTTATTCACCATAAGACTGGTAGAGGGCAAAGGGCTACGATTCTCCTAGGACTTTAGCTCCCGCCGTCCCAACAGCCACACTGAGAGCTGTGGTCATTATTGCTGCATAGTGCTCAAGTGCATGACTAGCTCCTGGAGGCAGAGCTTTCAGATAAGACAATGCAACTTTCTTCCTCAGCCATCAGAGGCTCAGTTGAACTCATGTGAAAATACCCCAGCCTCTGTGTCACAGTGAAGAGGGCTGGGAGGGCCAGGAGCACTCAGGAATGCATCCTAAGGTGTGCTGCTCAGGAGAGGGCTCCCCTGCCATTTCCATGCTTAGCTCCTTGTTCACCCAACTTCGCAGGCCCCCAGAGTTCTGAGAGACTCCAAGCAGATGTGAATAATGGCCCTGCGGGCTCTTTAGCCTCAAAACTGCACACTTCGTTACGTGCTCTCTGGCCCACTCATCAGTCATTTCACATGTTTTTGCCTTGTCTCTTCTGATAGAATCTAAACAACTTGAAAACAGGGACCATGACTCGAATACATTTTTTTTCTCATATTACCCACTGGGTTCCTAAATGGAGCCCAATGTGTGTTTGTTGTTTTAATCGTTTTTGTGAATTACCCCCAAATCCCATACAGTAAGGATCCCAAGGCAAAGAAGATCTGTACCTACCAGGGGCCGGAGGTCGGGATGGGAGAGGATGTAGCCATTGTTGGTGTTCAGAAAGGCGTATCCGTGCACTCCAAGCTGCCAGAGTCCAGGGTGGAGGCGCATTAGGCCTGCTGTTTGTGCTGGGCATCTGGAGTTGGGCAGGGGTTTGGGGGCCACAGGACGGTCAAAGATGGCAGCTCACAGCAGTGAGTGTTTTCAATAGGAACGTAACTGAGCCAGTGCCATGCTTCCATCATTGATTGAGGAGTCCTTTCCAAACCGGACTGTTTATAGCAACCGTCATCATACATATTATTACCTGACTTCTTTACCACCACATGTTCTGGGTGCTTTGATGATGTAATCTCACTCACCCTTACAGCAGGACTGTGTGGCACGGAGGAGCAGACTGAGAAACTGAGACACTGGGCAGGGAAAGGACTTACTGAAGGCCACAGAGCAAGTCATAGTTCGTGGTGGGAAAGGGACCCAGGGGCACCAGTTGCTGCTCCCCTGCTCAGCACCTGCACTTCTTGGGCAGTGATGGAGGGGCCCCACCCCAGCTCTGGGCTTGGCTTGCCTGGAGAGAGGCTCCCATCACGGGGGAGGGAGTTTGCTCCTGGGGAACCTGTGATCCCCACAGGGAACAGACCCAGGCTCACCTTGTACCGGGGCGCCAGCTTCATCAGCTCTCTCAGGGCCACATCTGAGCCCACCACACCCAGGAGAATGCCATGGGATCGCTGGAAGGAAAGACACAAGGGGTGGGGGAGACCCAGCTTCCCTGTGTACAAGGTTAGACTGGACCCTGGGCCTGTCCAGAGCCTGGAAGAGGAAGCCACTTAGGCTTTAAGTGGTTCTTCCTCTGCAATTAGATTCTAGGCTGGGAATAAAAATCTAGACTCTATCAGACGAGGTCCCAGGAGCAAAACCAGCTGCTAGGAAGATTAATACCCAGTATTAATATTTAAGTTGTAATATTTAAATGGAATCCAAAGTTAAATGAAATATTAATCTTCACGGCACAGGGCGAAGTTATCGGGATCTCAGGGACCATAACTCACGGGGGCTCTGAAGCATACAGAGCCTGTAATGAAACATTTCCTGACCTGATGGAGGATGGAAGGCTCAAGAAATCCCCTCACCAGAGGCCTTTACAGACAAGTTAGAGTCTGCACAACCTGGCAGATTAAGCATGGCTTTGCAGGAAGGCTGACGGGAAACCCTCCGGTCTTATATCCCCAAGGCAGGGGTCCCAACTGCAGAGCAGTGAAGCTACTCCCAGCCAGCCTGCAGTCACTGGGGAAGCTGTGGAAAAGCACAGACCACCAGCCCACCTCCAACCAGGAGAGTCTGGGGTAGCTACTCTGGGACAGGCCTGGAAATCTGCATTCAAACCCTCCCAAGGTGGCTCAGAGGCACAGCCAAGTCAAGAATCACTGGTCTAAAGATGGCACTGAAGCCCCAGGTTCTAATCCCTGCTACAACGTCTCCAGGAGCGGCCACTCACCGTTTCGTTCTTCTTGCTGAAGACTGGCATGGCCACAGTGGTGAGCAGTGTCAGGCTCTGAGCCTGCGAGCTGAGGAGCTGTAAGGGAGGGGAGAACAGGGGTCAGAAGGTGCGGCCTAGGGCCACTGGTTTGCCGCACTCGGAGCACCCAGTGCGGAGAACCCACAGTCACCACATCAATTATCCAGCGTCACCTTCCCACAGGAAGGAGGAAATCCCAAATGAGGATTCCCTTCTCTGCAAAAGGAGAGTTGGCAGGAATGCTGGGGGCCAGAAGTGGACTGGAGGGCAGGACCAGGCTGATGTCACTCAGCAGGGTCCTGAGCCCCATGACCCAGCCCCAAGCACATTCACTAAGCTCTCTCGTCTCAGCGAGGCCCAGGCCGAGTGTTAAGTGCAAACCCAGGAAACAGGCCCATCTGCGCCTGCCCAGAAACAGAGAGGCTTTGCACAGCACGAGCTTTCCAGAAACCTCTGATATGGACTTAAGGTTGCTACAGGTGAGAGGGAGGACATTGACCCAGAGCTACCCAGAAACACAAGCACACCCCGAGGCACTGCAGTGCAAAGGCAGGCCGTGGTGCAGCTGTGGTGGGCTTCGGGGCCGTTCCTAGGACACAGGTCAGACCCACATGGACTCCACTCACAGCACCAGAGCCAAACCCTTGCCACCTCTAGACGGCTGTCCGCCCTGACTGGCTGGGCTCGCCGTGCCGGCTCCTCCAGCCACTTGAAAGGGGCTCTGCATGTGTGCCCCACTTTATAACAAAAGTAGGCTTCTGACAAGCATGTGGGAAGAGAGGTATCGTAAGTCCGACCTTGGATGAGATCAACTAAAGGGGACTGCTGAGTCATGGAAGTCCACAGTTGACTTTCTTGGAGAAGGAAGCACATTTTGGCCACCACGTCTCTTTCTCTCATCTCATCTGAGTTTTCAATTTAGAGTTAGAAGTAAGGCTTTCTGAGAGTGAACCACGATGACATCTAATTGTTTTCTGAGCTTGGACACATCTCTATGGGCTGCATGAGGGCTTTCCAGTCTCCTTCCTGAGTTAGGAATGCATGAAGCCAGCTTGTCCCTGGCTCCCAGAGAGCAGCTCCCAGGCTCTTGGAGGCCCCTGTGGCCTGCTCTCCCTAGGACATGTCTCAGTCTGGGAGGAGTCCAGTCACAGCTGTCCCTGCACTCATGTTTCTGGATACCCTTGCAAGGGCGGACACCTGCCCTGGGCTCAGGGGAGTGACATCCTCCACTCAGAGGGTTCCGAAGTGGGTCCGGGAGACCTGCAGGTGACCCTTAACTTCAGGGACTCCTAAGTCAGGGACAGGAGAGGGAAGGAGGAAGACAGAGGAGATGTAGGGACTGGTTGCAGGGGGCGGTTCTCACTGAGGGACAGGTGTAAAAGTGAAGATCAAACTGTGAACTGTGGCCTCGTCTGTGTGCGTGGAGGTAAGAGAGCGTCAGAAGGTCAGGCTGTCCATAGAATGCTAAGGACATCCTAGCACCGTCTGACATCAGTTGCAGCACACAGGGAACCTGGGGTTGCCTCTACCCACCTTCTGCCAAACTCACACCCAACACTCCAGGCCACCTTCAGCAGGTATGGCCTATGCCCGGCTTCTCTCATCGGATTTCATGGTTCTGAAAGCCTTCGCTTTCCAGCTCCCGTGGCATGACCACAACACTCCCAGGTGAGGGAGGCCCACACGGAGCACCGGAGCCCTGGCCCCTCCTGCTGGGCTGGCTACTGGCAGGCAGATGAATGCACGGGTGATGGAGAGGAAGTGCAGGTGCCAGGGTTCACAGGAAGACAGCTCAAAGAAGATCCCCTCCTGTCCTCCTTCTCCCCACCCACCTCTCTCTCATCAAACCTGGACACTCAGGGCCCTATGAACACTTGGACAAGGGAGGGAGAGCCCTGCCCAAAGGCAGCCAGCTCGTCTCTTCTCAGCAGCAGTCGGTGATGGTCAGATGACATCTGCTGAGCATGGCCGTGTTGGCGGAGCCCCTTTAAAGTAGATTAATGAGCTTTTCATCCCAAATTTGGCCAGATGGCTTATGTCTACTATTAACAGGTGGAGGTAAGTAAGCATGCCACTGCTTTTGGACATAGAGCAACTCAGAAGAAAGCTGACCATTGCCTCGTTGCATTCCCAGCCTCCTTTGTCAGCACAGGGACTGAGTTCTGGCCAGTGAAAGGTGAATTCTGGGTTCTGGCAAGAGTCCCTGCAAGTTTCCCTCACAGGGGCGAAGTATCCCCCTTCCCCTTCCACAGCCTGATGCTTAAGTGTGGTTTCAGTTGACTCATGTTCCACCAGCCTCCTGAGCATGAGGATGAGGGCCACATGGCTGGGACAGCAAAGGGGACAGCAGGGAGGAGCCTGGGTCCCTGATGACCAGGCCAGAGAGCTCGTGGTCAGCTCTGGGCTTTGTTTACCCAAGGGGGACATTCACTTCTATCTTATTTAAGCCACTCTTTTCAGGTCTCTCTGGAGCCCAGCCTGATACATCATCACTGAAGCAGGTGGCTGCCTATGTGATGGGGATTTGAGAAATGGCAGAAAGGTCTCCCTTCCCCAGAAAGGTCCCATGTGAAGCTCTCCCTTTGATGTTCATTCTTTCGTGCAAGTCATTGCTGCCTACAGTCCTTTGAAAATGCAGGGACCCAGGAAGGGAGAACGTGTTCCAGCTGTGGGATGGTGGATTCTTGGTCTGACCCCTTTCTGTCCCGGGTGGGTGGGAGGGAGGGATGATGAGGGAGGCGAGGACTGTGGAGGAGGAGGAAGGAACAACTTCGGAGCAGGGACCCTGTCCGTGGAGAGCACCTCAGGCAGGTCTGCTGGGGGTCTAAGGCAGCATATGAGCAGTGGTCCCATTAGTGGGCCAAGGGCTGTCAGGAAAAGAGGAGGAAAAGCATGGAAAAGCGGCTTCATTCGCCCCTTCTTAATGTTCCCTAAGGAGGTGCTAGGCCCACCCCTTTCCTGACCCAGGAAGTAACTTCTTACTCCCTGGGGTCCCTAACTCTGAGGTGGGCTTCTCGAGCTGGGAGCTGCTGCCAGGCTCACCTTGCTGTCCATGTAGGCCTCTGTCCAGATGATGTCGTGGTCGTGGTTGATGACCATGGGGCGGCTGAGCACGTGCAGGTATTCCATCACGTTCTCCTGGGTGTCCGCCAGCGTTGAGATCTGCGTGTAGTAGCCTGCGGTGGGGAAGGCCGCGTGGGTGTGGAAGGCAGGGCTTCCCTGGGAACCCCTCGCCAGGGCCTGCACCCTCCCCAGCTGCAGATGGCTCATAGCCGAATACTCTCTGGAAACTGGACCGGGGCACAGGGAGCTGCTTCCCCACAGTTGTGTCCTTTACCCAGGGGCAGCCGCAGGCCAGTGGGAGGCCAAGGCTCACTCTGCTGCACCCTGGAAGATCTCTGAGGGGCTGTCCCACCCAGAGCTCCGGAAGGAGCAGCAGGGCCTGACGCAAGAGTGTTGGGGGTCAGCCTCTCCCTCTCCCAGCCTCGCCCTCCCACTTCCTCACAGGAACATCTCATGAGAGTGCCCTGTAAGCTTTCTTCTGCCACTCTTAGGTCTCTTCAGGGAACCCAATCAGAGGCAGAGATTTCTGCCTCTCCGCTCCTCCTTCCTCTGGTCCTTGTTCTTGCTCAGGTTGTGGGGTGGGTGTTACAGCCTATTCCCTGGAACCATGGTGACACTCCAAAGCGCAGATGGCGCAGAAGGCTGTGAATGGCCTCTCCACGCCCCCACCTCCCACCGTGTTCATCCCCCTCGCCAGTGAGATGCAGCACCTCTCTGCTCCCAGCAGGTCTCAGACCCTTTCAGCACACTGTTCCCTCTGTCTGGAACACCCTTCCAGTCGCCCCACTGACTTGGAGAGTGCCTCCCCCATGGCCCCCGGCACCCTGAACAGTCTGTGTCTCTCCACCATCAAAGCACATTTCAGGCTGCATCGTGGGTGGTGTTTTACTTGTATGTCTCCCTGCTGGACAATACTGAGAGGTAGACCGACCCTGAGTCCATCCTGATCCCTCTTGGTCCCCTGGTGCCTGGAAATGGGGCCAGGTGCATAGTGGATGCTCAGTGAATTTTTGTTGAATCAATGGGGTCTGGTCAGAGATAGATGAGGACCATTCACACACAAAACATTATTCCAGAGAAAACAGTGACCCTCTGCTTTTTGTCTGGGAGCAGAACCAGAGTCCATGGCTTACTTTGCTGAAAGAAAGAATGGGGGCAGGATGGAGACAGAGCTGACATTGTCTCACCTTGCTTTTTCCAAATATGAAGGAGGGACTGAGGCTGCTGTTCTTGACATAGCACTGCTCCTCTTAGGGGCCCATGGGGAAGCCCGTGCTCAGCACTTCCAGGGCTGGGTAACCCTGTCTCCTGTGCTCAGGTGCAGGTGGGAAGGTACCTGCTGGCCCGGCACTCACCTTTGTTGTTGCATGCAATCCACTTCATGCGGTCAGCAAAAGACACTTCTCTCCCAATGAGGTAAGTGAAAACTCGGACCTAACCCACAAGACACAGAGGCACTCAGCAGCAAAATTCCCGGCCATAAGTAATGTTAACATTGTTTATATGAGTCTTAGATGTTGGCCCCAGTGCCTCTCAGTCTTCGGGTTCTCCAATTTCACCCCCTGAGGCCCAGGCAGCAACACAATTCGCCCAGGGCCATGGGGACTGCGGGTAGGTGCAAGGCTGAGATTTACAGCCTGGCAGTTCTGATGTCCCCAAACCATATTCTGGTCCCTTACCCCAAACTTCCTACATCAGGCCTCTGTGTCTCGGGTAGCCATAATTTTGGAACACTCAATTAAAATGCATCTGAAAGCAAGAATGGCTCTAATAGGAAAGCAGATTTGAATGGGGGCCATCCTTCTAGGGTCCCTGCTGGTGATCCCATCCATGGCAGCAGGAGAAGCTTTTTTCTCCCTGGACACCCGTGGGAGGGTCACCTTACAGTCTGGCCAGTTATACTTCTCAAACACCGGCTCGTAGTCCTCCACGGCGCCGTCGCTGATGAGCATGATGGCCTGGTTGCAGAGGCTTCCTTGCTTGGCCTCTTGGAACTGTGTAGGGAAGAGGAGTGCCCATGACCACAGGCCAAGCCCACCCCCCTCCACCTGCCGCCTTCCTCCCAGTCCTCCCCTCCCAGGCCTCATTACAGTGGGCACCTGCTTCAGGATCTGGAAGGCTTCTCTCAGGGCTTGGTCCACGACCCCCACACCTTTGACCATCAACTCCTCCACCAGCAGTTTGAAATGCTGCCATGGGTGAGATATTAGAGAAGCATCAGGGGGTTGAGTGGGCCAGTGGAGCTTCATGTTTGGTGTTAATTTGGGAGGCTGTTTAGGGCCATCCAGAAGGACATGATTTCAGGGCCTGTGTCTCCATGATGCAGTTCATGGACTGGTCCTCTACAATAGGTGTTTCTCAAATGTCCCCAAGATAAACTGAGAGAGGGGAAATGACTTGGTACACATCCATGGCCACTATTGATGGGAAACGCCAAGTGTGAAGCTGAGTACAGGGGGAGGACAGTTCTGGGATGGAGGCAGGGTAACCTCGGCTCCCAGACCACAGCCCGCAGCCCGCAGCCCAGGGGTGCACACTTCACAGCAGAAAGTGTGGAGGTGCCCAGGGCAGAGGCCCGGCTTCAAGAGGAACTCAAACCCCAACTCCTCCATCACAGAGGGAGGAATCTATGATGTGCAAAAGCTCTCTTTAAAAAATTATTGCCATGTCCTCTCCTCCTTGGTCTTTTACCAGAGGAAAGGATGACACTCAATGAAGTTTAAATTTGTCCTCCTTTCGGGGAAGCTTCTCATGAAAACTGACATAATGGAAAGGTCCAGGTGGGAGGCAAAAGGGGAAATTGAGTCCTATATAATCCACAGGGTGAAAAACCAGTCCTGAATAAGGAAGGTTCCCTTTGCTATGAGGTCTCTATCTGCTCACTGTTTGCTCTGATAAGCAGCAGTGTGTTTACAGGGCGGTTCCCTGGGTTGTTTGCATGGGTAACGTGCTCTGCTCTCATTCCAGGTGCCATGGGAATAAGCAAAAAGGGCCACAGAAACAGTCTACAGAGACAACCGCCCACCATCCAGACAAGAGCAGGGGCTTGGAAGTCTCAGGCCACCGTGGACACTCACCTCTCGATTGTCTCGGTCCGCCTGGACGAGGATCCCTTTAAAACAAGGCTCGATGTAATGGACGTAGTCATTGTACTGCAGTTGCAGTGAGTTGAGGGGAGGTGGGGGGAGAATAAACAGCATCAGGTTGCAAAGTCCAGGCCCAGCAAAGACACTCATGCAGGTCACCGGGTGGTCAGGGGTTGTGGGTCACCTTGGTACCTGTGTATGATTTCTAGAGCAAGTGAGAGCTATTCTAGAACAGGAAGGCACATTTACCGCTATGATATTAATGAAGTCATTCTCCCCCAGGGTGTCCAAGATGGTGGTGATGGTGTGCTTGGCAATAGTCATCCTCAGCCCCTTCATACTGCCGCTCACGTCCACCAAAATCACTATGTCCTTGGGAGAAGTAGCAGCTTGAATGTACCTGAAGGAAGAAAGGGACATGCCCAAGATGGGAAAACCAAAGCCGGAACCAATACCTGACCAAGGGGTCTGCAGTTATTTCTGTTCAGATGCTGGCTCGAGCCCACCCAAAGTTCAGGGCAACCCATCTATGCCAGGTTTCACATGTTCCATAACCACTTGACACAGTGCTGAAGCCATCTGGGGTGGCAGTGGTTGGGGATGTGCCACCTAACAGGCCAGGTCAAGCCCTGGAGGTAACGCTTGTTCCTTTTGATTTAGACCAACCGGGGTCCCTGAGGGGCTGGCAGCAGAAAGGGAGAGAGCTGGGCTTCAGATTCTGTTACCAACTTGCCACAAAAGGGGTGTGGAAGGAGAGGAGAGCCTAACAAAAGGTTGACGTGGAGACAGCTCAGTGTCCTGGCAGGAGGTTTAGGTTGGGAAAGACAAACATGATCAGTCCTGGAGCAAGGCAATTGTAGAGGGAAGGGAGGAATGCTGGCCCTCTTCCTGCTCTTGTGTCGGGCTAGGGTTCTACACACCCAAGGCCCTTGAGTGGCGGTGGGGGAAGGGGCGGAAGTGGAGGAGGATGAGGCAAAACCCAAAAGCTATGAGATAAATACCCGGGCCGCAAACCTTTCCCCTGTGAGCTCTTACCAGCCGCGGTTTCGGCAGTCAAAAGTAATGACTCCATTCTCATCAGGTGTCCATTTTATACCTGGGAGAATAAAGACTCGTTCTTTTACTAGCTTGGTGAGGCCACCCCAGATCCCCTGGCTGGGTGTGGACCCCCAAGATGGCCATGATCCCCAGGGCAGAACAGCTTTGGAGCTAGGGAACAGGGTGGGGAACACTGGGACATGCCCTGTAGACTGAGACAAGCTGGCAAGGAGACATCTACCAGCCAAACTGCCCAGATGCAGAGCTGGGGGTAATTTCACAGGTAGGACCACATAGGTGGTGCCTGGGACTCATTTGTGAGGCAAAACCTCATATCAAATAGTGGAGGGGGAAGCTTTGGAGAAGTGTGACTTTTAACATCCATTACCATCCAGCAAAGTGTGGACAAAATGTTGAAAAAGGCAAGTGCTCTGACTTCTAACACACTTGCCTCTAGGTGTTAAGCTCATTAGCACTCAGGATCCTTCCTGTTGGCTGGGATGGGAGAAATGATTTGGCTCTATGACTGTAGGCTCTTTGAGGTCAGGGATTCCTAGAACCCAGCAGAGTATATGCTTAATAAATGTCTGTTACTTGAATGAAAGGACAAATGAATGGATATGAAAGATCTTGCGTTGACCCAGTAGCAGAATGCTGGTGTAGATTTTTATCCTATCCACCTAATAAAAAAATTTGTATAGATGCACAGAAAACACTGACATGATCCACAATAGAATCTCGATTTGAAAAGACTTTATGATTGGGAATAGTGGGTTTAAAAGAAGAAGAGTAAAAATAACAGGTGGAATTGCAATATGTTGTGATTGGGATAGACAAAATGATTGTAGCAGTATTATGAATGTCTAGAAGCTCCAAGGGCCCTTCCTCCTCCACAGTGGTTAGACTTCAGATGACATACACCCTTTGAGGCATTGCTGGCATCTCAAAGGTAGGAGAGGTTGTCAGAGACCATGATCTCAAAACCAAACAAATGAGAACAGAGCCCCAGGCGTGAGGCATATGTGTGAGGTCAGCTAGCACCCAAAGCCTTGAAGGTGGGAAGCAGAGCCATGGGAGTGTGGTGTGATGGGAGCTTGAGTACCACTGGTCTGACCTAGTCTTGCAGGCAGTCATGGGAGGTAGGGCTTTCCTGAGGCCACATTCTTACAGCAACATGGTCATGGGGAATTTGATCCTTAGAACAGCAATGAGGAGGAGAAGCTGAGTCTGAGATTACTGGCTCTTAACCAAAATCTTCGAAGAGGACTTTGGAGGTCCTGGATGAGGGTACCCTCAAGTCCAAGCGGAAACAGAAGCGAATTTTCTTGTGGATTCCCAACTCAGACCCACTGGACTCTGAAGAGGACAAGCAGCATGGCCTCACAAGCAAAGATTCCCAAATACATAAGGAGCAGACCCCTATTAGTGGGAGGCAGCAGACTCAAGAGCTACCTCAAGAGCTGGATATAGCTTCTCAAGAATTACAGATGTTGGAATGGCCAAATACCAAACACAAACTAGGTAGGTATGAGAAGAACACATAATACAAAGAACATACAAGAAATGACCAGGAATGAAGAAACAGCCTTGCAAATATGAAGCTTTCGGAGATGAAAAAATGTATAGGTTGAAAAAAATAAATTAAATGGATAGTGCTTTATTCATGGGTAAAAAGAAAATGCATACATTTGTGGATGTATCCAGAGTTCTACTGAGGCTGGAATGAGAAGGTTTAATACACATCTGATTGGAGTCACAGAAAGAGAAAAGGGAGAGCATGGAGGAAAGGTGATGGTTGAAGAGATGATACTGGCAAATATTCTAGAACTGATTAAAAATCCAATTCCACAGATCTAGGAAGCACAGCGTATCCCAAACAGCATGAATAAAAAGATATCCACATATAGACACATAGTATTGGAACTGCAGAACTTCGAAGGCAAATAAATAAATAAACAAATACCACGAAGGCAGCCAGAAAGCCCACGACACCTACAAAGGAAGAGCAGTTAAACTGGTAGATTTTCCCAACATCAATGAAAGCCAGAAGACAGTGGATAAACAGTTTTAAGATGTTGAGAGAATAGAATTATTGATTTAGAATTGCATTGTCAGCAAAACTATCATTCAAGAATGAGGATAAAAGGAAACATTTGTAGATAAACACAATCTAAAGCAGTTTATACTGAAGTCCCCACTGTAAAGGAACTTCTGGAGGACTTACTTTAAGAAGAAGGGGAATGATATGGGAAAAACATCCTCACATGCATGAGGGAATGGTGAACAAATAAAATGGTAAATAAGTCATTAATTCCAAGTAAGTGATGTTTATATCAAATAACAATACTTGTGTGTCTGATTTGTGGGGATGAAAAATTTGAAATATTGACAATAGAATGGAAGTCTAGAATAAAGAGATGGAAGCACAAAAGTTCTAAAGGCCTTTGTTGACTGAGTAGAGAGCAAAAATATTATTTAATTTTAATTTTTTATTTTTAGAGATGGGATCCTGCTATATTGCCCAGGATGGTCCTGAACTCCTGGGCAAGGGAACCTCCTGCCTCAGCCGCCCCCCCCAGTAGCTGGAACTATAGGTACAAACCAAGTTCCCAGCTTAATTTTAAAATGTTATTGTATTAAATATGCCTGATAAGACTTCAGGGGTAATAACTGAAAGAATAAAAACAAGGGGACAAGTTCTAAAGTGCTAGAGAGAAAAAAAGTTATATTGGGGAAATTTATTTTTTAAATGTTAAGTATTTAAAAAGGAAAAAAGGAGAAAAAGAAAATATAAAAACACCAGGACAAGTAAAAATTTAAAAAATAAGATAATAGACTTCAAGATGGCTGACTAGAGGCATCTGGTACTTTCCTCCTCCACAAAGAAGGACAAAAATAGCAGGTAGATAATCACACTTTGAATAGATCATCCAAGAGAGAACATTGGAATTCAACAGAGAAGTGACAGGAAACACCTAAAGCAAGGAAGGAGACGGAAGCAAGTCACCCTGCTTGGCCAGGATTGGCTGGGAGCCTCTCCAGGTTGCTCAATGCAATGAAAGGATAAGTGAGAGACCCCCAGCAGTCCACATTCCCACCATGGATTCCTGCAATCCTAGCCGCAGGAGAGCCTCTAGACTCTTGTAGGCCTTAAGACTAACATAGGGAGCTGCCTGGAGCCTGGGTGAGGGCATTGCTCCAGAGAGGGAGCTCACACTGGATCTCATACACCCCCAGATCTCTAAGCAGCTGCAGCACAGCACGATATCAAGAGTCCAGACTCCACCAGACTGCGTCCTGCCTGGGGGCCCAACAGCTTCTGGATCTTCATATCCCTGGAGAACCACTGACATTTCCTTCCCACAGCCACCACCATGGCTGGATGCTGCCACCAGGGCTGAAGCGTGAGCTATTGGCAATAACCCCACTGCCCTTGGCAGTGAAATCACCACAAATTTTCATGCACCCTGAAGACAAAATCCTCCATGTACAGCCGTTGCACTGTGGGCTGCTGCCAACAGGGATGAAGCACAAGTGAAGCAAGCATTCGCCAGCCGCCTGCATCTGGCTGCTGCCACTGAAAGCAACCTCACCCTCCCCAATAGCAGGGCTGCCACACAGCCACTGCTGCCCCAACCCGAGCATTCCACCAGGGGCCAAGGGATCACCCCACCCTTGCCTACCACAGCCAGTGTCTGCATGCCCCAGCAGAGGGCATTGGGACAGGTCCACCTGACCTGGCTCTCTGTTCCCCCCATCCAGTGCCAGTATCCTGTCTGGGGCCTGGGAACTGCCCAGCCCACTCTACCATCGTTGGCACCTGAGAACTTCTCCCAGGGTCCTGAGTTCAGGGCCACTCAACTTCCTGGTACCACCATAGGTTGCACCCACCCTTACATGTCACCCACTGTCCTGGGGACTGAACTGCCCAGCTCACTGCAGCCACTGCCAAGAGCAGCACAGACCACTTTGGAGGCAGAGGGTTGCCCCACCACTGCTAACGATTGCATCACCTTTGCCACACCCACTTCTCTGGGGACTGAAAGCCTGCCCAACAGCCTGGCCCACCACTACTACTACTGTCCCCTGAGCAAGCCACCTGGAGGCCCAAGAATTGGCCTGTCTGGACCCACTAACACCAGTGCCAGTGTACACCTCCCTGGGACCCAAGGACATGCATGCTCAGCCCACTGCCACAACTGGGGCCCAAGGACAGGATCATCTGGCATCCTTGTCCCCAGAAAAACTTCACCACAGCCTCCACTAACAATGCCACCCTAAGCCACTGAGGAAATCACAGACACCACAGACGCTGTTTATAGCTGAAGAAATCATATTGAGACTACACTACTGCATGTGTCTAAGATCAAAGTCAAAATGTCCTACCCAACCAACACCATAGATATAGCTTTAGGAAAAAGTCCTCCCATATAAAAGCAAATTTTAAAAATGGGAAGATGCAACTATTACACCAGATGCACAGATATCAATGTAAGGACACAAGAAATATGAAAAAGCAAGGAAATACGACACCTCCAAAGAACACAATAATTCTTCAGCAACAGATTCCAATAAAAAAATAATTTATATAATACCGGAAAATGAATTTAAGATAATATTAAAGAAGCTCAGTGAGATACAAGAGAATACAGAAAAGCAATGCAAAGAAATAAAAAAAACTCAGGATATGAATAAGAAATTTGCTAAGAAGATAGATATCATTACAAAGAACCAAACAGAAATTCTGAAACTGAAGAATTCATTAAATGAAATACAAAATACATTTGTAAACGTTAACAATAGACTAGATCAAGCAGAAGAAAGAATTTCAGAACTCGAAGACAGGTCTTTTGAAATAACTCAGACAAAAATTTTCTTTAAAAAAAGAATAAACAAAGCCTATGTGACATATAGGACATCATTAAGTGGCCAAATGTTCACATTTTTGGTGTCCCATAAGGCAAAAGAAACAAAAAGGATGGAAAGTCTATTTCACAAAATACTAGCTGGAAACTTTCCAAGTCTAGCAAGCGATTATGACATCAGGACACAGGAAGCTCATAGATCCCCAAACAGATATAATTCAAAAATACATTGTAGTCAAACTGTAAAAAGTTAAGGACAAAGAGAGAATTCTAAAAACAGCAAGGGAAAGTTGTCTAGTTGCTTACAAGGGAACTTCCATGAGACTAGCAATGGATTTCTCAGCAGAAACCTTTCAGATCAGGAGAGAATGAGATGATATATTCAAATTTATTGGAAAAGGAAAAAAACTGCTAGTCAAGGATACTATACCCAGCAAAGTTATTCCTTATAAACAAAGGAGAAATAAAATATTTCCCAGATAAGCAAAAGCTGAGGGAATTCATCACCACTAGACTTGCTCTACAAGAAATTCTTGAATTGTCCTGAAAAAGAAAGGACAATATCTACCATGATGAAAACACATGAAAGTATAAAATTCACTGGCAGAGCAAACACAAATAAGGAAGAGTAAGGACTCAAATGTTACCACTACAGAAAACTACCAAACCAGAATGATAAACAATAAGAGAAAAAGAAAAGAACAAAGGATACCCAAAATAGCCAGAAATCAATTAATACAATGACAGGAATAGCTCTCACATATTGATAATAACCTTGAATGTAAACAGATTAAACTTTCTATTTAAAAGGTATAGATTAGCTGAATGGTTTAAAAAAAAAGGGACCAACTATATGCTGCCTAGAAGAAACTCATCTCACCTGTGAAGACATATACAGAATGAAACGGAAGAAAAAAGATATTCCACGCAAACAGAAACCAAAAGCAAACAGGAGTAGCTATACTTATATTAGATAAAACAAACTTTAAGTCAAAAACAGATACAGAAAAATGAGATGAAGGAGGTCATTATATAATGACAAAAGGATCAAGTTAGCAAGAGTATATGGCAATTCTAAACCTGTGTGCACCCAACACTGGAACACCCAGATATATGTGGCAAATATTATTAGATCTAAAGGGAGAGACAGACTCCAATACAATAATAGTTGGAACGTAAACACCCCACTCTCAGCATTATGTAGATAATTTAGACAGAAAATTACCAAAAAAAATGGATTTAAACTGCACATTTGACTAAATGGACCTAGGCATGTACAGAACGTTTTATCTGACAGCCACAGAATGCACATTATTCTCACCAGCACATGAAACATTCTCCAGGACAGATCATATATTAAGACACAAAACAAGTCTCAGTAAATTAATCCCGGCACTTTGTGGGGCTGAGGCGGGTGGATCACGAGGTCAGGAGTTGAAGATCAGCCTGGCCAAGATGGTGAAACCCCATCTCTACTAAAAATACAAAAAAAATTAGCCACACATGGTGGTGGGCGCCTGTAATCCCAGCTACTTGGGAGACTGAGGCAGAGAATTGCTTAAACCCAGGAGGCAGAGGATGCAGTGAGCAGAGATCACACCACTGCACTCCAGCCTAGGTGACAGAGCAAAACTCCATCTCAAAAAAATATATAATAATAATAATTGAAATCATTTCTAGTATCTTCTCGGACTACAATAGAATAAAACTAGAAATCAATAACAAGAGAAATTTTAGAAACTATTCAAATACATGAAAATTAAGCAACATGCACCTGAATGACCAATGGGTCAAGGAAGAAATTAAGGAGGAAATTTAAAACTTACTTGAAACAAATGAAAATTGAAAAACAATATACCAAAACTTGTGGGATACAGTAAAAGCAGTATAAAGAGGACAGTTTGTAGCAATAAGTGCTTACATCAAATAGTAGAAAGATTTCTAACAATCTAATAATACACCTCAAGGAAATATAAAAGCAAGAACAAACCAAACCTAAAATTAGTGAATGGAAAAAAGTAAGAAATACTGGAACAGAAACAAACAAACTAGAGACTAAAAAATTATGAAGGATCAACAAAATGAAAAGTTGGTTTTTGAAAAAGATAAAACCAATAAACTGCTAGCTAGACTAACCAAGAACAAAGAGAGAGGACCCAAATGAACAAAATCAGAAATGAAAAAAGCATACATTACAATGAATACCACATAAATAGAGACCATTATAAGCAACTATACACTAAGACAAACTGGAAAACCTAGAGGAAATGGATAAATTCCTGGACACATACAAGCTACCAAGATTGAACTGAAATAAATAGAAAACCTGAACAGACCAATAACACATAATAAAATTGAACCAGTAATAAAAAGCCTCCCAACAAAGGAAAATCTAGGACCAGATAGACTCACTGCCAAATTGTACCAAACTTTCAAAGAACTAACACCAATTATCCTCAAGTTATTCCAAAATATTGGAGAGGATGGAATTTTCCCTAACTCGTTCTGTGAGGCCAGCATTACTCTAATATCAAAACCAGATAAAGACACAACAACAACAAAAGAAAACTACAGGCCAGTATCTCTGATGACCATAGATGCAAAAAATCTTCAACAAAATACTAGCAAGCCAAATCCAACAGCACATCAAAAATATAATATGCCATGATCAAGTGGGATTTATACTAGGGATGCAAGGATGGTTCAACATATGCAAATCAATAAAAGTAATATATGACATCAAAAGAATGAAAATAACCATATAATCATCTTCATAGATGAAGAAAAAGCACTTAATAAAATTCAGCATTGCTTCATGATTAGAAACTCGCAGCAAACTAGGCATAGAAGGAAAATACCTCAACATAATAAAGGTCATATATAACAAACCCACAGGTAACATCATACTGAATGGGGAAAATCTGAAAGCCTTTCTTCTAAGAACTGGAACAAAAAAAAGATGCCCACTTTCACCACTCCTATTCAACATAGTATTCTAAGTCCTTGCCAGAGCAATCAGGCAATAGAAAGAAATAAAAAGCATCCAAATTGGAAAAGAGGAAGTCAAACTACTCTTCTTTGCAGATGGCATAATCTTATATCTAGAAAAACCTAAAGACTCCACCAAAAAACTCTTAGATATGATAAATACATTCAGTACAGTTACAGGATATAAAATCAATATACAAAAATCAGTAGTGTTTCTATATACCAATAATGAACTAGCTGAGAAAGTAATCAAGAAGGCAATCTCATTTACAGTAACTACCAAAAAAGTACCTAGGAATAAATTTAACCAAGAAGGTGAAGGACCTGCATAAGGAAAGCTACAAAACTGATGAAAAAAATTGAAGAGGATACAAATGAAAAGATTTTATGTTTATGGACTGGGATAATTAATATAATTAAAATGACCATACTGCCCAAAGCAATCTACAGATTTAATGCAATGATTATCAAAATACCAATGCCATTTTTCACAAGAGTAGAAAAAAATCATAAAATTCATATGGAATGGAAAAAAAAGTCAGAATAGCTAAAGCAATCCTGAGTAAAAACAAAAACATAAACAAAAACAAAAAACAAAGCTGGAGGCATCACACTGCCTGACTTCAAAGTATGTTTCAAGGCTATAGTAACCCAAACAGCATGATATTGGTATAAAAACAGACCCAAAGACCAATGAAACAGAATAGAGAACCCAGAAATAAATCCATATATTTAGAGCCAGCTAATTTTCTTTTTAAAAATTAATTACTTAATTAATTAGTTTTTAGAGGTAGGGTCTTGCTCTGCCACCCAGGCTGGAGTGCAATGGCGTGCAAGACTCACAGCAGTCTTGAACTCCTGGGCTCAAGCAATCCTCCCACCTCAGCCTTCTAAATAGCTAGGACTATAGCCATGTGCCACCACATGGCACATGGTTACATTTTAAAATTTTTTGTAGAGATAGGGGTCTCACTATGCTGCTCATGCTGGCCTCAAACTCATGGCCTCACATGATCCTCCCACCTTGATCTCCTAAAGTGATGAGATTACAAGTGTGAGCCACCATGCCTGGCCTCAAGCCAGCTAATTTTCAACGAAGGCACCAAGAACATACAACAAGAAAAGAACAATCTGTTCAATAAATGGTGCTGGGAAAATTGGATTTCCATATGCAGAAGAATAAAACTGGATCCCTATCTCTCATGATTTACAAAAATCAACTCAAAATGGATTAAAGACTTAAATGTAAGTCCCCAAACTATAAAGCTACTAGAAGAAAACGTAGGGGAAATACTTAAGAACATTAGTCTCTACAGAAATTTTATGGATAAGACCTCAAAAGCACAGGCAACAGAAACAAAACAAACAAATGGGACTCTATTAAGCTAAAAAGCTTCTGCACAGCAAAGGAAACAATCTAAAATGAGGAGACAGCCTGTTGAATGAGAGAATTATTTGCAAACTATTCATCTGACAAGGGACTAATATCCAGACTATCTAAGAAACTCAAACAACTCAACAGTAAAAACAAAACAAAACAAAACAAATAATCCCATTGAAATGTGGGCAAAAGACATGAATAGACATTTCTCAAAAGACATGAATAGACATTTCTCAAAAGAAGACATACAAATGGCCAATAGATATATGAAAAAATGCTCAATATCACGAATCACGAGGGAAATGCAAATCAATACTACAAAGATATATCATCTCATCCCAGTTAGAATAGCTATTAATAAACACACACACACACACACACACACACACACACACACACACACACACACAAAACAGATGCTAGCAAGGATGCAGAGAAAAAGAAACTCATATGCCATTGGTGGGAATGTAAATTAGTATAGCCACTATGGAAAACAATATGGTGATTTCTCAAAAAACTAAAAATAGAACTACCATATGATGCCACTACCTAGAATTTATCCAAAGGGAAAGAAATCTGTTTATCAAAGGTATACCTGCACTGGCATCTTTATCACAGCACTATTCACAATAGCAAAGATACAAAATCAATCTAAGTGTCCATCAAAAGATGAATAAAGGAGATGTGGTATATACACAGAATGGAATATTTGGCCACCAAAAAAATGAAATGCCATTTGCAGCAACATGGATGAACTGGAGGGTGTTAAGTGAAACAAGCCAGGCATAGAAAAACAAACACTGGGCCGGGAGCGGTGGCTCTTGCTTGTAATCCAGCACTTTGGAAGGCTGAGGCAGGAGGATCACTTGAGGCCACGAGTTCAAGACAAGCACTACATGTTCTCGTTCATATGTGGGAGCTAAAAAAGTTGATCTCATGGGGGTAGAGAGTAGAATGACAGATACCAGAGTCTGGGAAATGTGTGTGGGTGAGTGGGGGAGGAATAAAGAGGAAGGTTAGTGGGCACGAGCATACAATTAGATAGAAGGAATGAGCTCTAATATTTGATAGCAGAGTAGGGTGACTATAGTTAGCACTGCATTGTATATTTCACAATAGTTAGAAGAGAGGACTTGAAATGTTCCCAACACATAGAAATGATAAATACTCCAGGTGATGGACATCCCCAAATACTCTGACTTGATCATTACACCTTCTGTGCATATAACAAAATATTACATATTCCCATAAATGTGTACAAGTATTATGTATCAGTAAAAATAAGATGATGGCACATTCAAATATACCAATGTTCACAATAAATGTAAATATGCTTAACTTGCTAACTAGTAAAAGAGATTGCCAGTTTGGATAAAAATGTAAAAGCTATAAACTATTTTCAACAGATATGGCTAAAATGACAGAAAGTTCGTAAATAAAGGGATAGAGGAAAAAGTATATATCAGGTAAATACTAAGCATGAGCATGCTGGTGTCACTCTATGACTATCAGACAAAATACACATTAAAATAAAAAGTGTTGTAGGAGTTAATAAGGATCAAGCAAATATAAAATCAGCAAAGATACAGAAAATTTAAGCAATACAGTTAACAAGCTTGATCTAATGGCATGTATAGAAGATTTCATCCAACAATGAGAGCACACATATTCTTCTCAAGCACATATGGAATATTTACAAAACTTGATGTCATACTCAGCCATTAAAATAAATTTAAATTAATTTCACATAGTATATGCACCAAATTCTTGGACCACAAAGCAACTGAGTTAAACATTTAGAATAAAAAGGTAAATATAAATATTTATCTACATTCCCATATTTGTAAATTTAAAAACACACTTTTAAATAACTGAAATATGGAAGAAATCACAAAGAAATTTCAAAATATTTAGAAGCAAATGATAATTAAAACACTACCTCTATACCAAAACTACAGGCAACAAAAGAAAAAATAGATAGACTGGACATCAAAATTAAAAACCTGTATGTATCAAAGGCTACAGTCAACAGAGTGAAAAGGCAACCCATAGAATGGGAGCAAATATTTGTAAATCATCAATCCAACAAGAGGTTAATGTTCAGAATATACAAAGAACTCCTATGACTCAACAACAACAACAACAACAACACCTGATTTAAAAATGAGCCAAGAACATGAACAGATATTTCTCAAAGATGAGCAAATGGCCAATAAGCACATGAAAAGATGTTCAAAGTCATTAATCATTAAGGGCATGCAAATCAAAGTTGCCATGAGATACTACCTCACACCCATTAGGATGGCTACTACCAGGAAAACTAAAAAAAAACTAAACAAAAAGAAAACTGCAGAAAATAACAAGCTGGCAAGGATTTAGAAAAGTCGGAACCCTTGTGATAGAGGCTGCATCCTTTTACATTCCCACAACTCTGTGTGTGTGTGTGTGTGTGTGTATGTGTACATATATATGTATACACACAAAATGAAATATTATTCAGCCTCAAAAAGGAGGGAAATTCTGACATATGCTACAACATGGATGGACCTTAAGGGCATTATGCTAAGTGAAGGAAGCCCATCACAAAATGACAAATACTGTATGTTTCTACTTATATGTTGTACATAGAATAGTTAAATTCATAGAGATTGGCATAGAATGAGGGTGCCAGAGGCTGGGGGGAGAAGAGAATGGAGAGTTATTGTTTAATAAGTATAAAGTTTTGCAAGATAAAAAGAGTTTTGGAGATGGATGGTGGTGATTGTTGCACAACAATGAGAATGCACTTATTATCAGCGATACTTTTAATAAGTTCACTTAAAATGGTTAAGATAGTAAATGTTTATATTATATATATTTTGCCATAAATAAAAATAAAATTTAAAAAACCTCACTACCAATCAAAACCTGTGAGATGCAGCAAAAACAGAGCTTCTAGTGGCATAGTGTAGACTTAACATTTATTTTAGAAATACAGGGAGGCTAAAACTTAAAGCTATGTGTCTCATTTAAGAAGTCAGGAGGAGGAACAAAATAAACCCAAAGAAAGGGAAAGGAGAACATAAGAAAGAGCTAAGATAGATGAAATAGAAAATAGAGAAATAGTTAAGAGCAGTCAATGGAGACAAAAGATGATTCCTGACAAGACTAACAAAATAAAGAAATCTATAGGGAATTGGAAAGAAAAAATGCATAATACTGTAAATTAAAAGGGGACACAATTACAGATACAGCAGAGATTTAAAAGATGATAATAAGAGAATAATAGATTCATACAAATAAATTTGAAAAGTCAGATAAAATGGATGGATTCTAAATAAAAGTACTTCAAATTCTAAGAAATAGAAAGCCACATTAGCATTACAAGTGATCAATAAATCAAAGCAGTAATTTTATCTTCCCATAAGAAAACATCAGGCCTATATGCTTTATAGATGAAATCTATCAAGCATTTGAGGAAAAGATCATTCTAATCTTATTCAAATACTTCCAAAAACCAGAAAAAGAGGGACTACTTCCAAATATATTCTATGAAGCTAGTATAATTTTGAAAACCTAACAAGGATAGTAAAGGAATGAAAAATTAAGGGACCATTTCACTTATAAATATAGAAGCAAAAATCCTAAACAAAATATTAATAAACCAAATCTAGTAATGCATAAAAGGATAATTTACTATAATCAAGTTAGGTTTCTCATAGGAATGCAAGGATTGGTTAACATTAGAAAATTCAATAGTTAAGTAGGCAGAAGACAATATGCATTTCACAAAAGAGGATATACATACAGCTAATAACATATAAAGAAATGCTCAACTTCATGAGTGATCAGGGAAATGCAATGCTAGACCACTATGAAATACTATTTTATACTAAAGAATTGTTAATAAAAATTGTTTTTTTGAGACAAGGTCTTGATCTGTCACTCAGGCTGGAGTGCAGTGACATGATCACAGCTCACTGCAGCCTCAGACTCCTGGGGTCAAGTGATCCTCCCACCTCAGTCTCCTGAATAGCACCACAGGTGCACACCACCACGACTGGCTAATTTTCATTTTTAAAAAATTTTTGGTGGAGATGAGGTCTCACTATGTTACCCAGGCTGGTCTTGAATTCCTGGGCTGAAGCAATCCTCCTGACTTGACCTCCCAAAGTGCTGGGATTACAGGCATGAGCCACTGCACCTGACCAACAAAAAACTTTTAACAACATTCAGAGTTAGATAAATTGTGCATCAGTGGGATCTCTTATTCATTGCTTGTGGGAATATAATTGGTGTGAGTATTTTGGAAAACCAATTTGGAATTTTCTTTTCAAAGTTGAATGCCCACATATCTTAGGGCCTAGCAATTCCATTCCTTGAATGTCATTAGATAATGATAAACAGGTCAATTCAGCAAGAGGATATAACAATTGTAAATATATATGCACCCCACACTGGAGCACCCAGATATATAAAGCTAATATTATTAGAGCTAAATAGAGAGATGGACCCCAATACATAACAGCTGGAGACTTCAACACCCCATTTTCAGCATTGGACAAATCATCCAGAGAGAAAATCAACAAAGAAACATCATACTTAATCTGCACTACGGGCCAAATAGACTTAATTGATATTTACAGAACATTTCCCTCAATGGCTACAGAATACAAATTATTTTTAGCACATGGATCATTCTCAAGGATAGAGTACATTTAGGCCAGAAAATAAGTCTTAAAACATTTCAAAAAAATTGAAATAACATAAAGTATTTTCTCTGATCACAATGGAATAAAACTAGAACTCAACAAGAAGAGGAATTTTGAAAACTATACAGAAACATGGAAATTAAACAATATGCTCTAGAATAATCATTTAGTCAATGAAGAGATTAAGAAGGAAATTGAAAAATTTCTTGAAACAAATGATAATGGAAACACAACATACTAAAACCTGTGGGATACAGCAAAAACAGTACTAAGATGGAAGTTTGTAGCTTTACGTGTCTACATCAAGAAAGTAGAAAATCTTTAAATAATCTAACAATACATCTTGAAGAACTAGAAAAACAAAAGCAAACCAAACCAAAAGTTAGTAGAAGAAAAGAAATAATAAAGATCAAACAGAAATAAGTGAAATTGAAATGATAAAAAAACCCAAAGATCAATGAAATGAAAAGTTGGTTTTTAAAAAAGATAAACAAAATTGACAAACCTTCAGCTCCACTAAGAAAAAAAGAAAGAAGACTTAAATATATAAAATCATAGATGAAAAAGGAGACATTACAACTGACACCACAGAAATTCAAAGGATCATTAGAGGCTACTATGAGCAAATATATGCCAATAAATTGGAAAACCTAGAAGAAATGAATAAATTCCTAGACACATACAACCTACTAAGATTGAACCATGAAGAAATCCAAAACCTGAACAAATCAATAACAAGTAATGCTATTGAAGTCATTATAAAAAGTCTCTCAGCAAAGAAAAGGCTGGGACCTGACGGCTTCAGAATTGCTGAATTTTACCAAAAATTTAAAAAAGAACTAAAACTGATACCAATCCTACTCAAACTATTATGAAAAATAGAGGAGAAGGAAATACTTCCAAACTCAGTACACAAGGCCAGCATTATCCTGATACTGAAACCCAACAAAGACATACCAAAACAAAAACCAACCAAACAAAAAACCTACAGGCTAATATCCCTGAAGAGCACTGATGCAAAAATCCTCAATAAAAACACTAGCAAACTGAATACAGCAATACATTAAAAAGATCATTCATCATGACTAAGAGGGATTTATTCCATGCAAAGATGTTTCAACAAATGCAAATCAGTCAATATAATACATCTTACCAACAGAAAGAAGGAAAAAAACTGTATGATCATTTCAATTGATGCAGAATAAGCATTTGATAAAATTCAACATTTCTTCATGGTAAAACCCCTAAAAAAACTGGGTATACAAGGAACATACCTCAACATAATAAAAACCATATACAACAGACCCACAGCTAGTATCATATTAGATGGGGAAAGACTGAAAGCCTTTCCTCTAAGATCTGGAACAAGACAAGGATGTCCACTTTCACCACTTTCATTATTCAACATAGTACTAAAAGTCCTACCCACAGCAATCAGACAGGAGAAAAAAATTAAGGGACTCCAAATTCGAAAGGAATAAGTCAAATTATCCTTATTTGCAGATAATATGATCTTATATTAGGAAAACCTAAAGACTCCACCAAAAAACTATTAGAACTGATAAACAAACTCAGTAAAGTTTCAGGAGACAAAGTCAATATATAAAAATCAGTAGCATTTCTATATGCCAACAGCAAACAATCTGAAAAAGAAATCAAGAAAGTAATCCCATTTACAATAGCCACAAATAAAATAAAATACCTGGAAATTAATTTAACCAAAAAAGTGAAAGTTCTCTACAAGGAAAATTATAAAATATTGATGTGAGAAATTGAAGATGACACAAAAAATGGAAAGATATTCCATGTTCATGGATTGGAAGAATTAATATAGTTAAAATGTCCATACTACCCAAAGCAATCTACACATTGAATGCAATCCCTATCAAAATACCAATGACATTCTTCACAGATATAGAAGAAACAATTCAAAAATGTATATGGAACCAAAAAAGACCCAGAAGAGCCAAAGTTATCCTGAGCAAAAAGAACAAAACTGGAGGAGTAACATTACCTGACTTCAAATTATGCTACAGAGCTATAGTAACCAAAACAGCATGGCACTGGCATAAAAACAGACACATAGATCAATGGAATAGAATAGAGAGTGCAGAAATGAATCCATACATCTACAGTGAACTCATTTTCTACAAAGGTGCCAAGTACACACATTGGGGAGAGGACAGTCTCTTCAATAAATGGTGCTGGGAAAATTAAATATTCATATGAAAAAGAATGAAACTAGACTCCTATCGCTCACCATACACCAAAATCAAATCAAAGTGGATTACATACTTAAATCTAAGACCTCAAACTATGAAACTACTAAAAGAAAACATTGGGGAAACTCTCCAGGACATTGAACTGGGCAAGGATTTCCTGAGTAATACCCCATGAGCACATGCAACCAAAGCAAACATTGATAAATGGGATCACATCAAGTTAAAAAGCTTCTGCACAGCAAAAGAAACAATCAACAAAGTAAATAGACAATGCACAGAATGGGAGAAAATATTTGCAAACTCCTATCCATCTGAGAAGGGATTAACAACCAGAATACATAAGAAGCTCAAATAACTCGGTGGGAAAAAAAATCAAATAATCGATTTTTAAATGGGAAAAAATCTGAATGTACGTGTCTCAAAAGAAGAAAGACAAATGGCAAACAGGTATATAAAAAGATGCTCAACATCATTGATTATCAGAGAAACACAAATCAAAACTACAATGAGATATCATCTTACCCTAATTAAAATGGCTTGTATCCAAAAAACAGGCAATTGCAAATGCTGGCAAGGACTTGGAGAAACTCATACACTCATACACTGTTGATAATAATGTAAATTAGTACAACAACTATGGAGAACAGTTTTGAGGTTCCTCAAAAAACTAGAAATAGAGCTACCATGTGATCCAGCCATCCCACTGCTAGGTATCTACCTAAAAGAAAGAAAATCAGTATATTGAAGAGATATCTGCACTCCCATGTTTACTGCAGCACTATTTACAATAGCCAAGATTTGTAAACAATCTAAATGTCCATCAACATTAGAAGAATGGATAAAGAAAATGTGGTACATGTATACAATGGAGTACTATTCAGCCATAAAGAGAATCAGATTCTGTCATTTGCAACAACATGAATGGAACCAGAGGCCACTATGTTAAGTGAAATAAGTCAGGTACATAAAGAAACTTCACGTCGCACTTTTTTGTGGGGGCTAAAAATTAAAACAACTGAACCCATAGAGATAAAAATTAGAATAATAGCTACCAGAGGCTGGGAAGGGTAGCGATGGGGTTGGGGAGAAGTGGGATGGTTAATGGGTACAAAGAATAGAAAGAATGGATAAGATCTAGTATTTGATAGCACAACAGGGTAACTATAGTTAGTAATAATTTAATTTTACATTTTAAAATAACTAAAAGAGTATAATTGGATTGTTTGTAACACAAAGGATAAATGCTTGAGGCAATGGTATCCCATTTGCCCTGATATGATTATTACACATTGTATGCCTATATCAAAATATCTCATATACCCCATAAATATATATACACATACTATATACCCACAAAAATTAAAAATTAAAAAAACAGAATTATTAGTTTGTGGTTTTGGGCACCACAATGTATAAAGAAGGAATTTTGTGACATCAACAACCAAAGTGGGTAGATAAGGAGCTGTAAAGGAGCTGAGTTTTTGTATGTTATTGAAGTTAAGCTGTTATAAATCCAAATTAGAATGTTATAATTTTAAGATGTGAAATGTAATCCCTCTGGTAACCAGAAATAAAATAACTATAGAATACATATAAAAGGAAATGAGAAAGAAATTTAAATGTTTCCCTATAAAAAATCAGCTAAACATAAAAGAAGACAGTAATGCAGAAAATGATGGACAAAAAAGCTTAAGGCTTATAGAAAACAAATAGCAAAATGATGGAAATAAGTCCCTCAACAGTAATTACTTTAAATATAAATGGATTAAACTTTCCCATCAAAACACAGAGATTGGCAGCATGGATAAAACATAAAACTAGCAAGCAAATCTCAGGAGCATATTAAAAGGATTACACACCATAACCAAATAGGACTTATTCCTGGAATGCAAGGATGGTTCAACATATGAAAATTGATCAAGGTAATATACACATTAACATAATGAAGGGAAAAAATTCCATGGCCATCCCAATGGATGCATAAAAAGCATTTCACAAAATTCTACATCCTTTGATGACAAAAACATTAAAAAAACTAGCAATAGAATGAAACTGATATAAAAATCATATATGGAAAATCACATCCCAAATATCATACTCTATGGTGAAAGACTAGAAGCTTTTTCTCTATAATCAAAAACAAGACCAGGATGTCCACTTTTGCCCCTTCTACTCAACATAATATTGGAAATTTTAGCTAGAGCAATTAGGCATAAAAAAGAAATAAATGACATTCAAACTGGAAAGAAAGAAGTAAAATTATGTCTGTTCACAGATGATCTCATATGTAGAATGCCCTAAAGATTCCACAAAAAACTGTTAGTTCTAATAAATAAATGCAGCAAAGTATCAGGGGACAAACTCAACACACAAAAATCAGTTGCATTTCTATACATTAACAGTGAACAATCTGAGAAATTATTTTTAAAAATCCTATTTATGATAACATCAAAAAGAATAAAATACTTAGGAATTAACTTAACCAATGAGGTGAAAGACCTGTACAGTGAAAACTATGAAACACTGCTGAAAGAAATTAAGGACAGAAATAATGGAAACACATTCCATATTCATGGACTGAAATACTTAATATTGTTAAGATGTCAGTACTGCCCAAGGTGGTCTACTGATTCATTGCAATCCCTATTACAATCACAACGAGCAAGAGAAACTCATTCTAAAATTTATATGGAACTCAAGAAACCCCAAATAGCCTAAACAATTTGGGGGGAAAGAAAAACTGATGGAGGCACACTTCCTGATTTTTAAGTTACTGAAAAGCTACAGTAATCAAAACAGCATGGTACTGGCATAAAGAAAGGTATATAGACCAATAAAATAGGACAAAAATCCCAGAAATAAACCCCCACATATATGATTAAATGATTTTTGACAAGAGTACCAAGACCATTCAATGGAAGAAAGGCAGTCTTTTCAACAAAAGGTGCTGGGGCAACTGTATATCCACATGAAAAAACGGAAGTTGAACTCTTACCAAATACCATATACAAAAATTAACTAAAAACGGAAATGTAAGACCTAAAACTATAAAACTCCTGTTAGAAAACATAGGGGAAACACTTTATGACATTAGAGTTGGCAGTCATTCCTTGGGTATGACACCAAAGGCAAAGAAAACAAAAGATAAAATAACCAAATTGGATTTCAGAAAAAATTTAAAAGTTTGTTCATCAAAAGACAATATGAACAGAGTAAAAAGGCAGCCCACAGAATGGGAGAAATTATTTGCAAATCACATATCTGATAAGGGATCAATATTCAGAATATACAGATAACTCCTAAAACTCAACAACAATAAAAATAGTGCAATTCAAAATAGTGAGAAATGGCCTCTCTCTACTGACTGATGCGTTCACATCTGGACTGTGTTGTTTACATATAAGTTGGTGTCTCTGGAAGCCCTGATGTGGCAGGAATATTTACAGGAATTCCACCCTGGAGTAGACAAGAGGGGCACGTGAACTGCTGCATGGAAGAAGGATAAACCTATTCATTGAAGCTCCAGAGAACCGAAACAGCCACAATAGCTAGCTGTGAATTCTGGCAGAGGAACACAATGCCAACTATGGGAACTGCAGGAGCTCTGAGTTCCCTTGGCACTCCAAGAGAGAGATTGACTTTCCAGCCTGTGGACACAGTGGAGTCCTCTCGGGCCTTTCTGGTTTCCTGTTTCAGAAAAGTGGGATAACTTTAAGACTTCCTGGACTGTGTGCTAAACTATAAAAATGGGTTGGGGTGAAATGGAGAGCTGACTTATTTTAAATGGGAATCAAAAAGAGGTAGAACTCTTGGAAACTTTGTGCTCTGTGTTTTCTATTTTTATTGATGGACTCTATTAAGTTGGCCACTAGCCACAGAGTGTGGCCTGTGCCATTTTCCAGATTGCTGTTGAACACTCTTGGCGAGTGCGCCTCATTTTTCCAATTGGGACATAAAGTCCTTAAGGTAAAGAATTGTTTTATCCTTCTTTGTATCTTCCAAAGTACTTTTCATGGGACAGGAGCTTCATGTGGGCATTCATTGACTGGTTTCATGGTGTTTGATGGTTTCATTCATTCATTCATTCATCCATTCCACAGCCCTTTAATATGTGCATATCATGCAGTGAGAAGGGCTAAAGTGTGGGCTTGGAGATGCTTTGGGATAGGAGGACCAGCCCCATTCACTGGGGACCTGAGTGCCAGGGTCCATCTTCAGTGCCCCTATTATTTCCAGAGAAGAATCCCAGAAGGTCGGGGAGATGCAACTCCATGTCCTTACCTGGATAGATCCTGAAGAATCCAGTTGCACTGCCAAAATATTGCCAGGTCAACGTTGGGTCTCTCTGGAAGTTCTCCACGAAGACAGCATTCAAGGCTTCAGACATGTAGACTCCATTTAAAATATCTGGGTCTGAAGGGTGAGACTATAGATTATGATCCTGTAGAACTTCTCAGGAAAATGGTGATCATGCCCGGTGAGGGTGCCTGGTGGGCGTGTCTGGTGGGCGTGTCTGGTAAGCGTGCCTGGTGGGTGTGCCTGGTGGGCGTGTCTGGTGGACGGCCTGGTGGGCGTGCCTGGTGGGCGTGTCTGGTGGGTGTGTCTGGTGGGCCAGCCTGGTGAGTATGCCTGGTGGGTGTGCCTGGTGGGCGTGTCTGGTGGGTGTGCTAGGTGGGCGTGCCTGGTGAGTGTGCCTGAGCTGAGCGTGCCGGCTACCTTTGTTGTACACGTTGGTGGGCAGCTGCACGCTGCTGATGGAGGTGTTCACCGGCAGGTTGCTGAAGTGAGCATTGGACTCCAGGAGGAACTCGGCGCCCAGCTCCACGAAGTTGCCCTTCTCGTCCCTCTCGTTGATCAGGACCGAGTTGTAATAGTCGAACTGGGGTGGACGGGTGAGGCCCACGGAGGCGGCCCGAGCACCGGGACAGGCGGAGAGAGAGGAAGAGAAACGGCGCAGGTGAGAGGACGAGAGGGCCGGGGCCGGGCGGCCATCAGAGTCTACACAAGCACCCGCGGCGGCGCGCTGGGCACTGATCAGGGCGATTCGGGACAAAAATATCCAGGAGGCCGGCGCGGAGAGGCGTGAGGCCGACGTTTGATGACAGTTGTCCTGACCGCTGCCTCAGTCCCCAACTTGGTGCAGCGTGTGTTGACACGGCCGAGGCAGAGTGGAGACAGGCAGCCGCGGAGTCAAGGACAGGTAGAGACAAAAAGCCCCATCAGCCCCCTCCACTTCTCGCAGGCCAGGAAGGTCCCAGAGCCCCAGAACCGAGCCTGCGCAATCTTGGGGCCTGCAGCCTTGGCCTCAGACGGGGCCCAGGTTCCGAGTCCCGCAGCTGCCCTCGGCCTCTCCCACGCGGTGTTGGAGGGCGTGCTAGGATTGCCTCCGGTGGAGCCCCGGCCCCGTTTCCTCCACACGACCGGGTTCACACCTGAACACCCCCCAGGACTGCGTCACGGACATCCCCACGCCAACTCCCACGCCGGACTGCCTCACGGACATCCCCACGCCAACTCCCACGCCGGACTGCGTCACGGACATCCCCACGCCAACTCCCACGCCGGACTGCGTCACGGACATCCCCACGCCAACTCCCACGCCGGACTGCCTCACGGACATCCCCACGCCAACTCCCACGCCGGACAGCGTTATGGACATCCCCACGCCAACTCCCACGCCGGACTGCGTCACGGACATCCCCACGCCAACTCCCACGCCGGACTGCGTCACGGACATCCCCACGCCAACTCCCACGCCAGGTTCCTGCACCCCACACCCGGCTCCTCCTCACGACACTGTGGCCCGCGCTGGCCTTCCACGCATACTCCCAGCCGCGTCCCTGCCCTGCTCAAGCCTTCTGCACCTGCCTTTCCCTGCTGAGAAAGGCTCAGGCTCCTACGCTGACACCCAAGGCTCCCCCCACCTCCTCACCTAACTGTCCAAGACCACTGCCTTCCTCACCAGCCTCTGGACACACAGGGCCCAGGTCCCACTGTTTCCTCAACCAACCTGGTGTTTGTTTATTTATTTGTTTATTTATTTATTTATTTGAGACGGAGTCTCGCTCTGTCGCCCAGGCTGGAGTGCAGTGGCGCGATCTCGGCTCACTGCAAGCTCCGCCTCCCGGGTTCACGCCATTCTCCTGCCTCAGCCTCCTGAGTAGCTGGGACTACAAGCGCCTGCCACTACGCCCGGCTAAATTTTTTGCATTTTTTTAGTAGAGACGGGGTTTCACCGTGTTAGCCAGGATGGTCTCGATCTCCTGACCTTGTGATCCACCCGCCTCAGCCTCCCAAAGTGCTGGGATTACAGGCGTGAGCCACCGCGCCTGGGCGTGTTTTCTTATTTCTGTGTTTTCTTTCTGCTGTGACCAAAGGCCCTTTTCCAGGCCCTGCCTGCCTAAATCCCCCATGAGCCCTGGGCGCAGCCCCAGGCCGCCCTGTCTGCAGGAGTTTGGGGGCAGACCTCCTCTTCTCCAGCCTGCATTCCCCGGAGGCTCCATCCACCCATCTGTAGTGACTTGTGATGTGCTTTATACCGGAGTTATTTGCACTGTGAGCTTCTTGAGGTCAAGAACAAGTTCCGATCCAGAGGCTAGCACATTGCTGTGCCTGTGAGGGGTGAGCAGTAAATGTCTATGGAATCAGTGGATCGCCACCCTACGCCGCCACCCTATGCCGCCACCCCCATATCTGGTACTCAGGCGATCCTGGCCCTCTGGCACCAGTGCCAGGAGTGGGACTCACCACCAGGGATTCATTGAATTCGTGGTTCAGGTCGGCCTCCTCGGCAGCTTCCACCAGATTCTGAGGGATGGGAACACAGAGGTAGGGAGAATGGGTAAAAGGAGCCCAGTGGGTTTTCAGCAAGTGAAACAGTTGCCGGGTGACCCAGCAATCCCACTCCTGGGTGTATGCCCAGAAGGATTGAAAACAGGGATGCAAACAAGAACTTAGGAACGAATATTCACAGCCACACTATGCACAACAGACAAAAGGCACACACATATGGCTAAGTGAAAGCAGCCCATCGGCAGAGGCCATGCACCTGTGATCCCAACAACATGGCATTCTGGAAAAGGCAAGACTAGGGAGATAGAGAAGATAAGTGGTTGCCAGTGGTTGGGGATTTTTAGGGCAGTGAAATTCTTTTGTCTGATACTGTAATAGTGGATGCATGTCATTGCACATGTTTGCAAACCCACAGAATGTACGAGAATGAACCCTAATGTGTGCTATGGACTTGGGGATAATGGAGATTCATTGATTATACCCAATCTACCATGGATGCAGGATGTTGATAGCGGGGAAGGCTGTGGCAACAGGGGATGTATGGAAACTGTACTTTCTTCTACATTTTGCTGTGAACCTAAAATGGCTCTTAAAAATAAAGTCTACTAAAATATGCGTGCGTGCCAAAGCCAAAAGGTGGAAACAACTCAAATATCTGTCATTTGATAAACCAATAAACAAAATGTGGGCTATGCACACAATGGAATATTATGCAGCCCTAAAAAGGAATGAAGTGCTGATGCATGGAACAACACAGATGAACCCTGTAGATATTATGCTAAGTGAAATAAGTCAGGTACAAATGGTCACGTATTGTATGATTCCATTTATGTGAAATACCCACAACATGCAAATCCATAGAGAGAAAGCAGAATAGTGGTTGCAGAGCTAAGAGGAAGGGGATAGGGGAGTGATTGCTTACTTAGTAACCGGATTCTGTTTGGGGCGATGAAAAAGTTTTGGAACTAGATGATGGAGATGGTTGTACAACATTGTGGATGTACTTAATGCCACTAAATTATACACTTTAAATGGTCAACTTTATGTCACCTGTATTTTACCGCAATACAATTTTTTTTTTTTTTTTTTTTGAGATGGAGTCTCACTCTGTCACCCAGGCTGGAGTGTGGTGGTGCAATCTCGGCTCACTGCAACCCCCTCCTCCCAGGTTCAAGCGATTCTCCTGCCTCAGACTCCCGAGTAGCTGGGACTACAGGCACCCACCACCATACCCAGCTAATTTTTGTATTTTTAGTAGAGACAGGGTTTCACGTGTTGGCCAGGATGGTCTTGATCTCTTGACCTCGTGATCTGCCGGCCTTGGCTTCCCAAAGTGCCTTCCACGTGAGCCACCGTGCCTGGCACAATTTTTTTTTCTTTTTTTCTAAAGAGCAGGCCAGCATCGCAGAGTGTCAGGGGAAGTCAGGGTGGGGGAAGTGCTTTGGGAGTCAGAGGACCCAAGATCCTATTCTGGCTTTGTCAGGGCCAAGCCACTAAGCCTCTCTGGTCCTCTGCTTGCACAACTATAAATTGGGTAGGATAATTCCTGCCTCCCCACTCTCAGCCTACAGATCCTAGGATAAGGAAATCCCACAGGGGAAAGCTCATTTCAGGGAGGCTTTGCAGGAAACTTCCCACGCGCACCCTCATGGAAGGTCTGAGGCCCCCATACACCACCCGCAGGAGGCGCAGGGACCGGTCCTCAGAGAAAGTCTGCAGAGCAGCACTTCTTTGGTCTCTGAGGCTGTGGAAGGGCACAGGGAGCCTGGAGCCCCAGCCTCTGGGGGTGTCTCAGGACTGCTCGCTGCTCTAGTGACACAAGGACCGACGCCTGAAGTCAGGCGAGTCTCATACCCCACTGTCTGTGTTTGATCCAAGGAGGCTGTTTACACAACGCTCACTGATTGAAAGAGGCAGGTGTTACTGCGGGTGCCAGGCTGTGTGTGAGGCTAGTGCTTTCCTGCTGTGGTGTGTGATTCAGGGACCCAGGATAGGCTCTTGAGTCCCCAGGCATCTTCTCATTGGTTCCTGATGCTAAGATCCCTTGCCCTGCAGAAATGCTGCACATTATAACAAGTGGGAAAGAAGGCCCCAGCAACCCTGACCCCGGCCTCCTCCCAGAGTGGGGGTTGTGATGGGGGTGGGGGTACACTGACAGTACACTGGAGAGGCCGCAGCTCGCCTGCCCTATCTGCCCCTTCCCCTGCTGCTTGGCCCTGGCCTCAGCCTCCCAATCCAGCCAACCACTCCCGATCTCCTCTCTCCTTGTTCTCCTGGCTGGTCTTACGAGTCCTTTCAGGGAGAGCACTGGTCTTGGATGGTCCGATTCTTGGCTGGATGGAGTGGAGGACTGTGTCTCTCCAACCACACTGTATCTACTGGTTTATACCATCCAGGTCCCCATAGGCCTCAGTGCAGACACTTCACCCCAGAGAAGGGGAAAGCTTCTGTTTCTCCTGGGCCCCACCAGGCTTGGTGGATGTCCAGTAACAGAGTCACCTGGGCACAAGGCCCATCCCTGTAAGCACCTCTGCTGCCCGGGTGGCCCTCAGAGCACTTGGAAGCCATGAAGGTGGGTCCTGATGGCTGAATGAGGGTGAGGGAGGAATGAGGACAGATGAGAAGGAGGAGAGGGGAGGGGGGAGCTTGGCTTTGCTGGCTCCAGCTAGCTCGACTCCCACCCTCCTTCTGCTCCTCTGTCCATCCATTCCCAAAGCAATTCCTAGGTGCTCACCCCGTGCAGTGCTCTGTACTGGTCACTGGGTATGGCCTGGTGACTCAGAGTTCCTCACAATGCTGCAGGCTGACCCGGCAGTGCTGGGCATGGCCGCCTCGGGGCAGAGCTCTGATCCCAGCCCCTCCCCTCTCCTCTTGCTTCCTGTCATTTCCTCTTTCACAGGGATTCTTGGAGTGAGGGTTCTTTTGGCTAACGAAGGTACAAGGCGGAATCTTGTAAGATAGGAGAGGGTCACGAGGGGGGAGGATGCAGGGCCATGACATCGGGAGGGTCACTCTGCCACCTGCGTCATGGGGCTGGGGAGAAACGCCCTGCAGATCACAGGCCTGGAGTACCTGGACCGCCTCGACTTTCCTCCGCAGCATGTTCTCCATGTCCTCTGAGAACTTCCTCACCAGCTCCAAGCCATCCACCTCCTCGATCTTCAGACTGGACTCCACATCCTTGTACTTCTGTTTGGGGAAAGTGGGAGAGATGCGTGCATGTGGTTTTGTACCAGGATAGTTGCACCTGTGTATGCATGGCCTCCAACCTCTCCACAGATGCATTCCGGCACATGGAGCCTGGTTTACTCAACTAGGGTGAGGCCCAGCCCTCTCCTCCCTGGACAACATCCCCAGTGATAGAATAGCTGCCTCTCCTCAAATATCCTCTCTGTTCCAGGTGCTCTAGACGCATTGCAGTTATAGCCTTAACAGGGGAGTAGACCGAGGCTCAGAGAAGTCAGTGAACTTGACCAAGGTCAACAGCCAGGTGAGCAGGTGACCCCTGATGGGGCCAGGTCTCTCAGGCATCCCCAGCCATGTCCTTTGTGCAGAGCCACGCTGCATCCCAGGGCTTGTGAAACCACCCCTGGCATCAGTTCACCTTTCCTCAATGTCCCAGAAGAGGCATCTTGCTATGAAAGTGCCCCCGTGCACATGGATGTGAACCTCAGTTCCCACTGTCCCAGCAGAGCTCAGCAGCTCCAGGCACTGAGGATGGCTGCCTGACAATTGCCAGTGAGCCCAGGAAAGCCTGGAATGGGGTTTGGGTTTTCTCTCTGGGCCCAGGGGAGACCAGCTCTCACTGACTGTGTATTGTGAATGTCTATTCACCCAGCTCTGCAATGTATTGGCCGTGTGACCACAGGCAAGCCAGTCAATCACTTTCCTCATCTGTAAGATGTGACATTTACATAGCTTTAGTGAATGTTCTAGAATGCACAGATTTTACAGAATGTTTTTACCCCAAACGGCCACATCCGTACTGCTCTATGCTCCTCTCCCCGGGCTGTGGTGCTCTGAAGCATAGGAGCGTGCTGTGAGGGGCAGGCGGGGCCTCAGCTGTCATCGCTACAGTGGCCTGTGGGGGCCCGGGGAGCCGCCCACCCTGGCTCCTCTTACTTCCACCAGGGACAGGCCTGGGGGCTGTGGGCAGGGCAGTTGAGCAGGGACATGTGGTCACATGCAGGCATAAGAGCCTGGGATTCAGGATCTTTGTGATATGGAAAAGGTGCCTCATGAATTGGTGGTGGGAATGAAATCATGACAATGAAGCTCTTAGTGAGTGGCAATGATAGAGAAGGGTGAGCTGCCATTGGAACTGCTCTGGGGAGTTACAAATATTAGAGAACAGTGAAGTTGTTTATAACCTGGTAAGAAGACCAGCCAGCCATAAATCGGCACAGAAAGCAATGCATATTAAGGGGGCGGATGCTGGACATGGCTCGGGGGCTGACAGCTGGAGGTATGGGAGGTCTCCCTGCGCAGAGGCCACAGCCCTTTCACCTTCTACGGCCCGAGCAGCTTCCAGGGCCCTGCACGTGCCCTCCAAGTCTCCGCTGGCATCACAGGTGTTAGGCCTGCATCCCACTGCATCCACTCCCTCCGTCTCTCCTTTATTCTTCACCCCACCTCCACCCAGTACATCTGCAGGTCTAATTCCACCTTGGCCTCTGCTCCCTGAGGACCTGACACAATGCTCTTGACCACGCCCCCGAACCACCCCCACTGCCCTGCTTTGGGAGTTGAGAAAATCATTCACCTCCCTGGGCCTCAGTGGCCCCATCTGAAATAAACCGATTTGATGGGATGCCCAAGGCCCCTCACAGCACCGGCATTTGGGGGCTTCGATGGCTGACTGCCCTCTGCCACCCGGTGGGCTCTCTGGAAGGGGGTGACTGACCTTCTGCAGCAAGAGAGAGCCTGAGTATTTGGTCACAGTGTTATACAGGTCCCCGCCGAAGGTGTCAGCCCATAGCTTCACTCTGCCAGGCAATGAAAGGACACGCGTATACACACACGTACACGCACAAATACAGAAACACACGCGTAGACATATGGGTTCACACACATAGAAAGCCAGTGTCTACACACAGACACCTGCTGATGCATGCATACTCCAACACACAGACACATAATGCATAAGAAATGCACACACACGTACACACACATACATACCCCCCACACACATGCATATGCATACACACACGTGACATATGCCCAGAAACACACAAAAGAGCACCTGTCCCTCCTCCTTGTCCCTAAAGCTACAGCCATGGCCTGGGCAGGAGACGCGGAGAACCCTCAGGACCCAGCGGCTGCACTGCTGTGTGCTGAATGTCCTCGGCAGGTTCTCCTGCTGAGGGTTGTGGGGCCGGGCTGACGAGCCCAGGACTGAGCTTGACCCCAAGCTTCCAGGGCCTCTGGTTGGAGAGTGGCAGACTGAGAGGAGAGAAGGAGGGGAGAGGCAGTGGACAGCCTCAGGCCAGGGCCGGAGGACCCTGAGGACAAAGGACAACCTGCCTGGCCACAGCTGTGGCCTCTCAATAAATCGTTCCCTCCAGTGCACTCCACTCAAAGCCACTGGGGGCTGCCGAACCCTCTGTTGAAACCTCAGAGAACGCGTGAGGCAAGGGCACAGCAGGAAAAGGCTCTGAGCTGCCACTGCTGAGCCTGAGGGCAGGGCAGGCCAGGAGGGCATAAGGAGGCCACACCTCACCCTCTGTGTAGGCAGCCTAGTGGGGAGCCCCGACCTCTCGCCCATGCCCCAGAAATGCACCACAATCCCACCATCTTGGCCAGGCTGGTGGGGTCCTGGGGGCAGGTACACAGGGCTGGGGCTGAGCCTCTCCAGATGGAGCGGAAGTGGTTTGCCTGTGCGATCCTTTCAAGATCAGCAGTCATCACTCAACCAATGTTTATCAAGGTCCTACCATGTGGCAGCCTGGAGCCACCCCACAGTCCCCACCCTTGCAGGGACAGCTTTGTCATGCGGGTAGCATAGTACATGTTTGAAGGTGCCCATGAAGGTTGGGGAGGGGTAGTGGTATAAGGGAAGGCTTCCCTGGGGAGGGAGATCTGAGCTCCAGGTTAGAAGTTTGGTAGAGGTTAGCCTGCAAAGGGGTCTGGGAGAGGATTCTAGGTCGGGAGTACAGAAGAGCTTGGAGGAGTAAAACGTGACTTCCGGGCTTCCAGTGTGGGTTGTTGACCTGATGGTGTTGTTACTGAATACAATTAAGACTATCAGGAAGGGCAGGGGGAATGAGCTGAGGAGGGTGAAAAGTGATGTGTGTACCTTGGGCTCTGCTGAATGTGAGGTTCCCGTTGTAGAGCTACCAAGTACCATTGGGAAGGTTGTGCACTGCACAACTCTAGAAGGCACCAATTGTGTTTTACCTTGAAAGACACAAATCTGAATTTAAAACCTCACATGATGTTTAGGAAAAGCTGCCCATAAGCACTGGGTATGTGTCTAGTAGGTAGAGACAGGGCTGGGAGTCATTGATGCAAAGGTAGGGATTGAAATTCTGAGGGCAGGAGGGCTCTCTCAAGGAGAGTGTGCAGCGTGAGATCTCTGAGCGTCGACAGCTGCTGGGGAGCACCCCCCACCTCCGGGGCAGGCAGAGGAGGAGGAGCACTTGAGGACAGCAGAGATAAGCCGTGCCCATGCAGGCCCAGCGGAGCGCAGTGCCACGGAAGTCAAGGACTGGGATAAAAGAAGACGGGGGCTTGTGTGTCCCAAGCAACAGGGTCTGGGGTGACAAGGCCAGGAATGTCTCCTGGATTGGGCATGAGGAGGGCTTTGGGAACCCTGTGGAAACAGACTTGGGAGGAGGTGGAAGCCCGGCTGGAGGGAAAGACTGAGAAGAGAGGTTCGGCGGGAGTGAGGACAGGTGGGGCCAAGTCCTGGGCAGGCAGATGAGGCTGTGTGCAGGCTGTTGTCTCTGGCAGCACCCAGGGCTTCTGCATAGATGGCCGCTGGGGCCCCCCTCCCTGAAGGCCTGGATTCCAGCCACCCCGACTTGGCCCTCAGCCCACTCCTGGAGTTGGCCCTCTCCTATCAGCTGGTGTGTGTTCTGGGGATGAAAATTGTTCTGAACATCTCCTGCAGCAACAGATAGCGTTACGGGCTGGCGGCGGGTGTAATGGTGAAAGTGCAGTCCAGGCTGACAGGAGTTCAAATCCCAGCACCTTCACTTCCTGGCCTTGTGAACTTGGGGAAGTCACCTGACCTCTCGGGGCCTCTGTTTCCTCAGCTGCAAAATAGGGATAAAAATAAGCCCCCACTGAATGGCTCTGCAAACTAACGGTGTCATTTGTGAAGCGCCCAGCTCCGTGCCAGGCAGGGAACAAGGAGAGCTATGCGGCTCGATGGGAAACGATGCTGCCTAATCCACTGGTCAGCAAAGGCTAAGCACAGGCACGGTGTGTCATTTAGGCTCCCTGTCCCCACTCCTGCTAAGACATGCAGTTGGCAGGTGGCTCTGTTGGTGGCCTGGCTATGGTGCTGGGCTCAAGCGGCTGGAGTAAACAGGATGGGGTCTGTAGCACCTACAGTCTAGAAGGCTCTGCTACCCACATGTATTGGAAATTTCCTTCCTAGGACCACCTGAGCTAGGGCCTAAAACACAGACACCCCAGAGAGGTTGCACAGTAATTTACATGTACACCAAGGTGCACATGACTGATACCGGGTTCTTTCCTGGAGCCGGTCTTAATGGCCGGCTAGAGAATCAAGGTTGGAAGGAGGCAGAAAGGTGTAGAAAGGGAAGACTGCGGCCACCAAAATCCATTTTTTTCCCCAGTTCCTGGACAAGCCACCTCCTGTGCGCATGAGACGTTCTGTGGGTTCAGAACTGCTTCCCCTTTTTGGAATGTCAAAATACGCATTTCCTGCCAAATGCTTCGGGGAGCTGCGATGCTGAGATAACCCGGCTCCTCCAGGCTGCCTCATCTCAGCGATTATCCTGAAGGAGCACCCGCCCTTCAGGTGTCCCAGAAGCTGCTTGTCAGGCCAGGAAGACAGCAGCCCTGATGATCAGTTCTTCCTAAAGCCATCCGGCTCCTGGGGAGAGGCAGGTGGGACTCCAGAACTCACAGAGCTTTTGGGAGGAGAAAGAGGAGGCCGGAGAAGCAAAGGGCTTTACAGCAAGAGAGTGGTCAGTCGCAGCCACTGGGGAAAAGCCCAGAGGGAGGGCAGGGGCGGGAGGAGTGGGCAGAGGATGGAGGCCCAGCCCGGGAAGAAAGTGGGAAAGGGTGACCGGGTTTTTGGGGTGGGGTTGAACGTGATGCTTACGTTTCCAGAGGAATCTTGGCCTGTCCCCACGCAGGGGACAGGGAGGTGCCTAGAAGCAGCAGCCACAGGAGGGCCGAGGTCTTCTGCACAAAGGCCCAGGCCACGGGCATTGGCTGGAGGGGAATCCAGCGGCTGCTGGAGCTGGGGTTTGCGAGGAAGTTGGGAGTTGCAGGCATGGTGGGCCTGGGGTTGGGGAGGGGAAGGAGGGCAGAGCAGCCACAGACCATGAGCTCTGTCTGCCTTCCTCCCAGACCCCAGGACGCCCCAGGCCTTTGTCTTCCGTGCCTTGGCGAGCCTGGGGTCTCCAGCCTCTCAGTCCTGGGTGGGGAGGGCTTCTCTCTGCCCCACAGCTGCAGCTCACAGAAGAGTCGCCCCACCTAGCAAGCAGGCCTCGGAGACAGGGACTGGGGGAGAGGCTGTGGCAACATGAAACCCTTTAATCCGCTGGCCTCTCCTCTAATCCTCTCCTGACAGCAGGGAGGGGGTGGCAGGGGGTGGGGAGCTGCCTCCCAAGATTACCACAACTGCAGCTGGTTCCCTCAGGGCTATAGTGCACCCCTCTGCTTTAAAGAGGCAGCCCCGTTCCTGTGGAACCACCTTCTGGACCCAGGAAGGGCTTGCTGTGACTATGGCCAGAGGACAGCAGCTGAGTTTGCACAGTACTCTGATTGACCCACAAATCTCTTGTTGACCCTGAGGTGGGGGTGTGTCCTCATCCCTGCTTGGCAGAGGCTCTTGAGGCCCGGGGAGTCCCAGGGGCAGAGCTGGGACTCTGGCTGGTGTTTCCAGGCCTGGTGCCTTTGGGACAGGTCATAGGTCATAGGTGAAGTCAGTGGACCCACGCCTCCACATCTCAGCTGCTCGTGGGCGGGGCTGGGGACGCATTTGCTGTGCAACTGATGAAGCTTCAGGACCCCTGAATCCACAGACTCCCCCCTTTCCCGGAGAGGCCCTAGCAATGTGTTCCTGTGGCCAAATGTTTTTGTAAAATATGCAAAAGTTGAGATAGTTTAACCATAACCGGTTGAGACTGTCTGTCTCTTTCCATCCCAACTTCTCTTCCGTCTGAGGGACTCTTAGTTGGATGATGTTTGGGTGGCTGAGGGCACTTGGGGGATCCAGTTAAGAGGAAAGTGAGCTGGGGAAACACTTAATCTGGGCTTAGTGGGATATGCTGACATGGTTCACAGTGACTTCTTTGTACAGAGAAGTTACCTCCAGCTGAGTGTAGGCAGGGCTTCCAGGAACACTCATCCCACAGGACATCCCACCAGCAGATGCAGCAAGAGAGGCTGGGCCGTGATGTGAGCGCACGCTGTCACACCCACCCTGGCCATGTGTGGTGGGGAGGGCAAAGTAACAGTCAGGAGCTCATCTGCAGAAAATCTACAAAAAGCCACACAGGTAACATCGTTGGTGGAGGATTTGGTTCTCACCAAGGCCTGGCCAGGACAGAAGTTCTCTCCTGTTAGGAAAATAGTGGATATTGAAAGAATATAATTACACCGTACATTGCTTTGTGTTCTGATGAGAGTTACACAAATTAGAATTGATCAAAATTCTTGTGTTGTGAGCCCAAACCAGTAGTAGTACCACATGGGTTCTCCGGGGGTGAAGTCATAGATTTTATGCAGTCCCCGTATCAGATTATTTTCTTAGTGTAACTGGTGCACTGTGTCTTCACAAAATCTGGTGGTTCCAGCAAAATGGTAAGCAAAATTGCCACCAACGCAGAGAAATGCTTGCAGAAGCAAGTGTTCTGATGACAAAACTCCTACACAGATTCATCAATAAGTCAGTGCTGTAGTATCAGAGTAATCTGGTGGCACAGTTTTGTGGCTGAATACAATGTATTTTTTAAAGGCATCTAAATGATTCCTATGAATGCCTTAATTTCACATAAATTTTGTACATGTTTTGAGGATTACAAATCAAACACATTTAGAAAAAATACTACAGAGGCACACTGGGCAGTCAATACATAAAAAGAATGTAACTTCTCTAGGTTTTGTGAATTTGGTGGAATTCACCAGCTTCTTAAAATTTGTAATTTGGAATGATTTTTAAAACTGAATAAATATTCACCTTTTTTCAACTTTTTTATTGTGGCCCAATATTTATTGTGGCATAAAATGTGCCATCTTAATCATCTTTTTAAGTGTACGGTTTAGTGTAATTAAATACATTAATCATGTTGCTCCACCTTCGCCGCCATCTATCTCTATAATTCGTTCATCTTGTAAAACTGAAACTCTGAACCCATTAAACACTAGCTCCCGTTCCCTCCTCCCCCAGCCGCTGGCGGCCACCACTCTCCTTTCTGTATCTCTGATGTTGACGGTTCTAGGGACCTCACAGAAGGGAAGTCATCACATAGTTGTCCTTCCATGACTGGCTCATTTCACTTAGCACAATGTCGGTAAGGTTCACCCACGGTGCCGCGTGTGTCAGAATTTCCTTACTTTTTGGGGGTGACCAATGATGGGTTAATATTTCATTGTGTGGATAGACCTCATTTTGTGCATCCGTTCCTCTATCGATGGACCCTGGGGTGGTGTCCTCCTTTTGGCTACTGTGAAATATGCTGCCGTCAACACGGGTGTGCAAATATCTCTCGAGATCCTGCTTTCGATAATAAATATTCACTTTTATTTTTATGTTTGTACCTGGGATTTGCATTATTTTTCTTTTATGGGTAACCACTCCCACATTATACAAGCTCCCACTGCCCCCACGGGGTTCCAGCACCCTGTCCGGAAAGCCTTCGCCTCCCTCTACTGTGTCAAGCGTGACAGCGGCTTGGAAAGCTCCGTCCTTCGCAGACACACTGGCGGCCTGTGTCCTGTGCGCCCCTTAGACATACTTAGGAAGCCTCAAAACCAGGCCTTCTCAGCCCAAGGCCACCGCCGGCCTCCAGGCGGCTGCCTCTGCCCACTTCCCCTTCAGGCTCCAGCGACGGCTTCCTTCCCTGACTGGTGGAGGAGGGGGTACAGCTGGGCTGCATCCTGCGTCCCCTACATCCACCCCTTTCCAAGGAGTCCTTTGGAAACCAGCTTTCCCACCTGTTTCCTGCGGGCCCCTGTCTGGTACCGGGCCTCCCCACCCTGCCTCTCATCATCTATTCTTAATGCAGCAACCGAAGGCTCTTTTCAAACGTAAGTCAGACCCTGTGGCTCCCTCCCTCTGCTCCGAAGCCCCCAGGGCTGCCCATCTCCCTTAGAGGAAAAGCCACAGTTTTGACCACAGCCACGAGGCCCTACCTGGCTGGAGCTGGCTTGATTTTAAAAATCATTCCAAATTACAAATTTTAAGAAGCTGATGAATGCCACCAAATTCACAGCCACGAGGCCCCACCTGGCTGGAGCTGGCTTGATTTTAAAAATCATTCCAAATTACAAATTTTAAGAAGCTGATGAATGCCACCAAATTCACAGCCACGAGGCCCCACCTGGCTGGAGCTGGCTTGATTTTAAAAATCATTCCAAATTACAAATTTTAAGAAGCTGATGAATGCCACCAAATTCACAGCCACGAGGCCCCACCTGGCTGGAGCTGGCTTGATTTTAAAAATCATTCCAAATTACAAATTTTAAGAAGCTGATGAATGCCACCAAATTCACAGCCACGAGGCCCCACCTGGCTGGAGCTGGCTTGATTTTAAAAATCATTCCAAATTACAAATTTTAAGAAGCTGATGAATGCCACCAAATTCACAGCCACGAGGCCCCACCTGGCTGGAGCTGGCTTGATTTTAAAAATCATTCCAAATTACAAATTTTAAGAAGCTGATGAATGCCACCAAATTCACAGCCACGAGGCCCCACCTGGCTGGAGCTGGCTTCTCCTGACCGCGCCTCTCTGGGCGCGGGCTCCCGCTGCTCCTTGGGTGCCTCAGGCGCGCCCCCCATCGGTGCGGCTGACCCCCGAGCTTGCAGTCCGCGCCGCGGCTGTGTCTGCCTGCTTCCCCCTGCGTGGCCGGCCCTCTCATTTCCATCAGTGTCTGGCGTCGGGTTTCCTGCAGGAAGAGCTGGTACCCCTGGATCGGGCAGCTTGAGACGAGTTTAACAGAGAGGCTATTTACAGAGGTGTGGACGGAGTCCTGCAGGGACACTGCAGTGGCCAGGGCTGGAAACCGCGGGAGCTAGCCCCTAAGCCTCGGGGAGGGGGACGGGGACGGGGACGGGAAAGCCACTGTACCCTGGAGAGAACAGGCTGTATGGGGGGGACTGTGGCCGCCAGGCAAGGGATGCGGCCAGCCACAGCAGTCCCGTGGGAGGGCTGGGGCCGTGGACACCCACTCACCCTCTGCCTCCCCCGCTCTCCTGCTGGTGCCTCCACCCGGGGAACCTTAGGGACTTATCCGCGTGCCCTCGCTCCCCCCCCAGGACAGCCCCCCAGGGCAGGGAGAGCACTCGGAGGGGCCAGCAGGAGGCGTCCGGCTCAAGGTCTTCAACGCCACCTTTTATGATGAAAGTGTCCTTGAATGAGAGAGTGGTGGGCAGTGACGCACGGCTTTGTGAATAGCCTGTCAAGCACCGAGCTGCAAACTTTAACATGGAGAATTTTACGGCATGTGAATTACTTCTCCATTAAAAAACCTTTTTTTTTTTTTTGAAAATCACCTTTTTAATGAGTGAAGACTTTCCTGGCTACAAGATCCACCATCTTGGCCCGACCCCTGACGTTCCCTGTCCTTCTTCACAGCATCTTTCTTCTCCTCAGTGGCTATCATGGGACGTGCCATATACAGGCCTCCTCCTCTAGCACGCAGCCTCCATAAGGGGCAGGGCCTGCGGGCTGTTTGTCCCTGCTGTATGCCCAGTCCCTCAGCACAAGGAAATAAAAATGTGATTGGAATGAAGGAGGGATTGAAAGGGGGGTGATTCTGGGTGGAGGTGAGGGCGCTTGGGCCAAGTCCTGCTTGTCTCCGCCTCCGCTCTCTGGGGCCTTTGAACAGGAGCCCCAGGGCCCCAGGGTCAGTTTGGAAACCCCCATGTAGCCAGGCAAAGGCTTTCATTTCCCGTTCATTTTACGAATGTGTCTCCGGCGGCTCATTTCATCTTCAAGTGACACAGGACATCACGAAGGCCTTCTGTGGTATTTGTACGCCACTATTCATTGCAGTGTGATTCACGACAGCAGAAGGTGGGAGCAACCCGGGTGTCCACCACGGATGGACATGGATCATGGATAAATCCAAGTGTCATCAAACAAACAAAACGTGGTATTGCACATGATGAACTATTAAGAGGAAGGAAATCCTGACACACGCTACAACATGGATGAACCTTGAGGACATTATGAGTGAAATAAGCCAGTCACAGAAAGACGAATACTGTATGATTCCATTGATACGTGGTTCTCAGATTCACAGAGACAGAAAGCAGAATGGTGGGTGCCCAGGGCTGGAGGAGGGAGCAGTGGGGAGTTAGTGTTTAGTGGGTGCAGAGCTTTGGTTCTGCAAGGTGAAAAGGGTTCTGGAGATGGAGGGTGGTGGTGGTTTCACAAGCGCATGAATGTATTTAGCACCACTGAGCTAAAACATGCTTACGATGGTACATTTTGAGTTACGTGTATTTTAGCACAATGTTTTAAAAGAAGAGAGAAAAAAGAGGTGTGTGGGGGGTGCTATAGAGCTGCCCGGGGCAAAACCAGGAGTCCAGAACCCTCCCAACTTCCTCATCCCCCAGAGACTGCTTCCCATTCTTCACACATCCATCGCTCCAAAATGCCAGTCTGGCTGGATTGCAGAGCTTTGAAAGGGAGAGTGCATTTCAGACTCCTAATGCCTTTCATCATGGCCCAGGCAATTTTTTTTTCTTTTTTTTGAGACGGAGTCTCACTCTGTCGCCCAGGCTGGAGTGCAGTGGCGCGATCTCGGCTCACTGCAAGCTCTGCCTCCCGGGTTCATGCCATTCTCCTGCCTCAGCCTCCCGAGTAGCTGGGACTACAGGTGCCCGCCACCACGCCTGGCTAATATTTTTTTTTTTTGTATTTTTAGTAGAGACCGGGTTTCACCATGTTAGCCAGGATGGTCTCGATCTCCTGACCTTGTGATCCGCCCACCTCGGCCTCCCAAAGTGCTGGGATTACAGGTGTCAGCCACCGCACCCGGCCAGCCCATCCAATTTTTACTCAACAAGGGAGGAGGAAGTGAGAAATAAGGTCATTAAACAAAATGGTCTTGCTTGAACATGTGCCTCCTGCAACTACCCACACACACATGGGCACACACATGCACACGCACGTCTCCCCACCATCACTAAGAAATGCAGCTTGAATCCAGATGGTAAACAAGCTCATTAGCCTAGCATCAACCTAGATTTGCTGGTGCAGTCTCCTGCCTGCGGGACGTCAGGCCTCCAAATTGTACCTTCTGCCTGGAAAGTCTGAAGCACATCAAAGCCCGGGAGCAGAGGGCAGCGGGCTAATTAGACGCTGCCCAGGCAGGCAGCCGCTGGGAGGCTGTGCGAAGAGGCGGTCTGCCAAAGAGTGGATCCCTGGGGACCTGCCATGTCTATAAATACCCTGAAGGTAACTTGTTAGAGGGTGTGTGTGTGTGTGTGTGTGTGTGTGTGTGTGTGAGAGAGAGAGAGAGAGAGAGAGAGAGAGCGAGAGAGAGAGAGAGAGTATGGGGAGGCAAAGACTGAAGCAGAAGAAACTCAGAGGGCCCAGCGGGGATTTAGGAGCTGGGGGAGGACTTCGTGGTGAAAAGACCTGGTGAGTTTCCACAGCTTCACAGCCCGGGAGGAGTGCAGGGAGGCCTCAGGAGGAAATTCAAGCATCAAAGAACAGGTTTTGAGAGGAAAGACCAGAGGAAGTGCTGAGAGGCACCAGCAATTTCCTCATTTAACCAACAAGTGAGGGCTAGCTGTGAACCCAGAGGATGTGTTCCAGGTTCTGACCCGTGATGGGTTGGCCCCAGGACCCCATGCGTAGGAAAATGGGAAATGGAGGCAGAGTGGCAGTATGACATTGTCCATGCCAGTGGCTCACCAGCATCCTGACAGCAACTTCACCATGGGGACAAGGGCGAGGCATGTGAGGACTCTGGTCTGAATCCCAGGTCTATGTTGACCAGGTGCGCTGAGGTGCAGTGCAGGGGAGGACAGAGGGAGCACTCACCTGGGGAAGAAGGCCTGGAAACCTCCTGGGAGGACGGAGGGAGCACTCACCTGGGGAAAGAGACCTGGAAACCTCCCGGGAAGACAGAGGAAGCACTCACCTGGGGAAGGAGGCCTGGAAACCTCCTGGGAGGATGGAGAGAGCACTAACCTGGGGAAGGAGGCCTGGAAACCTCCTGGGAGGATGGAGGGAGCACCCACCTGGGGAAGGAGACCTGGAAACCACCCAGGAGGATGGAGGGAGCACCCACCTGGGGAAGGAGGCCTGGAAACCTCCCGGGAGGGTGGAGAGTGCACCTACCTGGGGAAGGGGACCTGGCATCAGGTCTCAGCTCTGTAACTCAAAATGTAACTTTGGGCAAAGCACTTCCCGCTCTGGGCCTCAGTTTCCCCATTTGTATGTGGGAGGGGCCTGGGGTGCTGGAGTTCTCCACAGGTGGCTCTGACTTCCCTGAGCTGCTGCAGATGGCCCTATGTCTGAAAAGAGTTTGCATGTGCTCAGCACTGGTTGGTCCAGATCTTCTCATGAGGGGCTGTCCACATGACCTTGGCCAGAGAGAGGGTGCCGGCAGTCCTGAGAGCCAGGGCCACTGTGCTTTATGTAATATAAAGACAAAACGTGTCTGTAATTAGCCTGTTAAATGGGGTGAGCATCTGCCTTGCAGTCTCATTGATATTAGTAATGTGCCTAACCAACACTTTACAGACAATGCGCAAGCTCAGGCTCTGGCATCTGGGGGTCTGGGCTTGAACCCCAGCACTGTCCCTTCCTAACCCTTTTATCCACAGCATCTCGTTTTTCTTATCTATAAAATGGGAATGATACTACCTGTGTCAGGCAGAAATTTACTCAGCTGCAAGTAACAGAAAACCCAGATGACAAATAGGGATTTGTGAAAACACGAAGTTTGGAGTGGGCAGTTCCAGCAGCAGCCGGTCTTGGCTCAGCTGCTCCGTGATGTCTGCAGAGACCTAGGCCCTCCTTCTTTCTGCCTTCCCTCCTCTGCCTGCTGGCTTTCATCCTCATGTGGTTCACCTCACAGTCACAAGTTGGCTGCTGCCATTCAACATCACGTCCAAGTTCACAGTAGGGGACAGGAGAAGGGCAATGCCTCTGACTAATTGGCCAAAAGTTGGCAACATGGTCACCCTCAGCGGCAAGGGAGGCTAGAAAGATGGGAACAGGATTACCGTAACTTGTCTAACAAATCATGATCTGTTGCCTGGGGCTGGGTGTTGTTATCAAGGAAGAACAGAAGGGTACGATGTGGGCAACTAGGTCTGCCTCACTCCTGTGAGTATTGAACAAAATGAGGCAGGTAAAGCTCTCAGCACAGGGCCTGGCACTCAAAAACACTCACCATTATCATGTACATGTGAGTTTTCTCCCTGTTTAAGGACCGATGGGCAACCCTTAACTCCCAAGACACGTTCAGGGGAGCGAGCAAAGGGTGCACCCCCTCTTCTTCAGAGCAGAAAACAAAGGTGTACAAAAAGGGGCAGAGATCGGGCAGGGACTCAGCTGTGGGGCCCAGGGGCCCATTTGCTCTTGGAGCCTTTCACAGCCTTTCTGGTTGTGTGCAGGGGAACAAACCTCACCCACATGTGAGTCAGAAGACCTGGTTTTTAGTGTGCACCCTGAAACCGATCTCCTGTGCAACCTTGGCCTTTTCGCTCTTAATTTTGTCATCTACATACAAGAGAGTTGGGTGAGAGGATCACCGGAGACAGTGCATGTGAGCTCATGATGTTCTACACAAATGTGAGACGTTTGAGCTCATGAGGAAGAAGCAAGGCAAGCTTAGGGAACATAGTGAGCTTAGTGACTGCGGGCGGCGGGCAGTGAGCACACACATGAACGTACACACACACACGCATGCACACATGTAATGCACCACACAGTACCAACCAAGCACGTGTGCAGCACTTGCAGATGAATGCACATCCCACACACATTAAGACACAGGTTAGCTGTCTGCCAAGATGTACCCTGGTGACACATGGTATAAAAGCTTTGTCAAAGGAGAGGGGGAGATGGAGGATGCAGCTGGGCTGAGGTCAGCTGGCCCCCAGCAAGATGGTCTTGGTTATTCCCATCACATCAGGCCAGAAGGCAGAGTTTCCAGGGCGCTCACTGGGGCATGCGGACAGGTGTTGACCATGTTGCTCCTCTTTGGAAGCCACCTCACTGCCCTTTGCAGTGACTCCGTCCAGTAGGGTCATGTTGCTAGAAAGTCTGGTCTCCAGGTCATCTCCATCTGCAGCTTTTCCATCCCTTTCAGGGCAGGCAAGAGGCTGTGACTACACAGTCAGCTGAGGCTGAGGAGGACAAGGGGAAGCAGAGGGGCCCAGAAGCAATGCCGGCCAGAGCCCTGGCTGCCCAGCAGTCAGGAGGGAGGGGGATGGAATCCTGGGAGAGTCCCTTTGAATCAGAAGTCCTCACAGCCTCCCTTTCAGCTCCCTACTTCACTTAGATTTGCACCTCTGCAGCCGTGCCAGGTCAGAGCCCGGAGGAGGTGGGCAGCCAGCACGTGTAGCATTACACCAGGAGGGTGGGCATGAGCACCTGGCCGGGCAGCCACCACTGCAGTGGAAATCAGTCCCTAAGCCCTGCCATTAGAAATACTGGGGCCCACGCCAGCTAATCCGAGGTGTTGGAAACGTGCTGAGATGTGACCATGTGCGGCTCAGAGCACCGGGCCAAGCCCAGAGGCCACAGCAGCCTGGAGGAGGCAACTCACAGCAATGAGAGTGAGGAGCGGGGCTAGCCTGGCAGGAAGCCGAATGCTTCCTCGGAGAACCAGGCCAGCTTCCAGGAAGGATGCCTGGTCCAGGCTGGCAGCTTGCTGGGAATTTGCTCTTCTGAGCTCCCCAAGGACAGCATTCCAGAAACGCCAGAGAGGGCTGGTCAACGTCAGAGAGACCCTGGTCTACTGAGGGTCACACCAGGGTCGGCATTATCCAGGGCCAACAAATGAAGACCAGCCAGGAGCCAGGGCTGCTGCCCGGGTTCTCCTTCAAGCAATCCGTGGAGAAAACATTGCCTTACAGACTGCCATGATGGGATTAAAATGAATCCCATTGGCCTTAGGAAGAGTCCATCTACTTCCCCCTGATGGGGGAAACGTACAGAAATGGTGCAAGTGTCTCCTGTTAGAGAAATGGAATTATGGGTGTGACCGTTTCGTGACTGTGGCTGGCCTTCACTGGTGAACTCTTGCTCCCTTGGCCCACCGCCCTCAGGGGCCAGCCCCATGGCTCGCCTTAGTTGGGCTGATGTTCCCGTGCTGAAATCCTTGGGCACGCCTCGGAGGATAGAGGAGGACTCCGGACCCCGGTTCCCTCTCTGGAAACAGTCCCGGAGGAAGTGGCAGAGGCGAGTGGGAGCCATCAAATGCTCATGCTCAAAGGGGCTTCTGGAATTACTGGAGCTGAGCCCTCAACTTTCCAGAAACATAACTGAGACCAGGAGAGAAGGGCCCTCCTCGGTGTCATGCCCCATTCACGAAAGAGCCAGGACCACCGAGCCCAGGCTGCCTGCACTCACCGCACTGCCTGCGGGAGGCTTCGTGGGATGGGCCTCTCTCCATGTCAGGCACAGCAGGGGTGATACAGAGGTGAGGGGATGGGATCCTTGCGCTCAGAGATACACCAGGCATACAATCAACGTGAAGACCGTAATAGTCAAGGATAAATGTGAGAAGGGCTCTTGGATCATTACGGAACACACTGGCAGACACTTCTGAAGAGGTTAACACAACGGGGGTAGCATTTGAGTTTGAAAGAAGAATTAATGCTGATTAAGCTTCCAACACAGTGGCAACAAGGAGTGTTGTAGCGGCTAAGGGCTTGTTTAGGCCCTGCCATTTATTAACGACGTGATCTTGGGCACTTCCAACTCAATTTCCTCCTCAATAGAATGCAGGGCAATGATACCTGCCCTGCAGGCATCGGGGGAGGCGACATGGTGTGTGTAACGTTCCTCCACATTGCTCAGCAAATGGCGAGATCTCTATAAACCCTGTGGTCATCGTGGCTCCCCTTGTCATTATCACCCTCCTCATGCCCGTGGCCACCATGCATGGGTGGGGGCCGGGTCCCACCGGGAAGTCTGTCTGTAGCAGTCTCCCTAGGGGTGGGCACAGTGACACCTGTGTAGCCCTTCCTCTGCCTGAGTCACACCTGTTCTGAAGCTACAAAATTAGGTGTGTAGATGAGGAAGCAGAGAGGCAGCTACTGGTTCTGATGAATCCTCAAAGCATTTTGGGGAACCACAGCTACAACTAAATTCAGCTGGAGGTTTGTCCTCTCAGTCTGAGCCATGTGCTCATTTCAGAGTGTGGGGAAGGAGGGGTAAGGCGGGGAAGGAGGAGGAGGAGGAGGAGGAAAAGGTTGAGGAAGAAAAAGAGGATAGGAGAAGGAGGAAGAAGAGGGGGAGGAGGAGGAGGAAGGGGAAGGAGGAGGAAGAAGAGGAGGAGAAGGAAGGGGGAGGAGGAGGAGGAGGAAGAGGGGAGGAGGAAGAGGGGGAAGAAGAAGGGGAGGAGTAAGAGGGGGAGGAGGAGGAAGAGGGGGAGGAAGAGGGGAGGAGGAAGAGTGGGATGAAGAGGGGGAGGAAGAGGGGGAGGAGGAGGAAGAGAGGGAGGAGGAGGAAGAAGAGGGGGAGGGAGAGGGCGAGGAGGAAGAGGGGGAGAAGGAGGAGGAGGGGGAGAAGGAGGAGGTGGAGGAGGAGGAAGGGGGTGAGGAGCAGGAGGAGGAGGAGACAACCAGATAGGCATGGGGATGGTTCCGTCTGCTCGGGCTCACTTGTCCACTGGCCTGGATCCCTCAGGCCTCCATCCTTCCATTTCACAGCCTCAGTTCCTCTCTGGTGGGGCCTCCTTGGGTCCCCATGAAGAGACTGCTCTCCACGAACCTTTCCTTCTCTGCCTGTCTGGCCTTCCACTTCTCCTTTTCTCTTGCCCCTCAATGCCTCCGTTCCCTTCTCTCCCACGGTGCCCAGCAAGCCTTCGTTACCTGCCCACTCTGTCCCTGGCCCTGTGCCTGGCCCCAGGGTCCAGAACCCCTTAGCATGATGGCAGTTTTTTGCCCTGGAGGAGCTCATAGGCTGCTGAGAAGACAGACACAAAAGAAAATACCAAGAGGCCAGAGAGCTCACTCTGCCTGGGTCTCATGCCCTTATGAGGGTGGTTTCTGCCTGGGGTAAACCCTATGTGTTCGAACACCTGCTGCTCCACTGGGCCCTCAGAGTGGAGCACAGACCCTGCCTCGCCCCCACCTCAGGGAGCTCAGAGCCATCAGAAGACTGCCCTGCAGGGGTGGGGTGGCTACCACTTACTGCTTCCGGCTGCAAGGAGCAGGAAACCCCTACTTGAGGAACGAAATAATAATAACAGTGTGACAGCTCACATGAAGCCAGAGGCAGGTGGCTCCAGGGCCGGCGAGTGCAGCAGGTCCGGGATGTCACCCAGGACGCAGGTTCCTTCTGTGTTTCCTCCTGCTGCCCTCAGCATTTCAGGTTGTCCTCCAGCCAGCTCCCCTCAGGGCCACAGGATGGCTGCCACTGCTCCCATGCTGATTCCCAGGGCTCGTCCCAGACCTGGATCCAAAGCCCTGAGGTGCAGGGCCCCAGTCTCCCTGGGTGCCCCCAAGGTCCTGGCCGCTGTTTGGGAGCCAGTCCCCCGGCCTTCCTGCGTGGATACGGGAATGCTCAGCCTTGAGCCGGGGGCACATCAGAGGAGCAGTGAGGGCAGCACGTCCTGGAGTGAGCAGAGGCTGCAGACAGGGCTTCCACGCAGACCGTTTGCCTGTTACCAAATTTGAGGACAAAGGTTTCTTTCTTTTGAAGTCATGGGTTCTTGGATGGAGCCTTGTCTGACCCCAGCAGTGCAGCACAGGGGAGTGAATGAGCAGGAAGACGACCAGCATCTCCTCAGGGCAGGGCCATGACTGGGGCCTGTGCGTCCATCCCCGCGGAGCTGGTGGCAGAGTGGCGGATGCCGTGGTGGAGCACTGCATGGAGCACTGACGGATGACACGTGCACATGGCGATGAGGACGACACCTAAACGTGGCAGTCAGTGGAGGGAAAGCCAGAACGGGATTCATGACACAGAACCACAGAAATTAAAAATAGATAAGCTGGGCGTGGCAGCGGGCACCTGTGGTCCCAGCTACTCAGGAGGCTGAGGCAGGTGGATCACTTGAGCCCAGGAGGTCAAGGCTGCAGTGAGCTATGATAGAGCCACTGCATTGTAGCCTGGGTGACAGTGAGATCCTGTCCTAAAAAAAAAATAGGTCCACAGAGTTTCATACAAATGAATACGACACAGTGATTAAAAATGGGCATAATGAGGAGTGAAAGAATCCAGATAAAAGACAGTGAAGACACTGCTTTGTGTCACTCCATTTATGTGAAATTCCAGAAAGAAACCTATGATGACAGGAATCAGCATAGTGACATCCCGGAAGGTTGGTTTGACTAAGCAGGGTATATACAAGACCTTCTGGAGTGTCGGAAATGTTCTAGATTGCCGTCTGGATGTGGGTTAACACACGTACGCAGACACACACAGACGGCTGTTTATAAACTTCGCTGAGTTGTGCACTGAGGACTCTGCATACTTTTCTGTGTGCATCTTACACCTCTGTAGAATTAATATAAAGCCACGCACACAAAACAATATACATTTTGTAAAAACACAAACAAAAAATAACACATTGAACAGAATACGATGGCTGAGGGGTTGTAGGGAATGGGAGTGGGGTACGGATGTAAAAGGGAGGAAATGAACTTTTAAAGCGTCCTTGTCCAAACCAATGATGAAGGTTTATATACACTAAGGAGCAAGATTACCTTGATTGCTTGTGTGCCCGAGGGTGGGGTCGGGAGAGAAAAGAAAAAGCAACAGCAGCAGAATAGCAGAGGCAAGAAGTTTAGGGCTTCAGAGGCTTGGACCACGTGGGGAGTGGCGGGGCCTCTGCGGGCAGCCTGGCACCACGGCTTCCTAGGCCCATTGCCAAGGGCAGGCCGCCCTGGTCTGCTCAACGTCAAGAACAAACTCCAAGATCGTGACAGAAGAACGCAGGACAGAGTTCCTGGCGGTGGTTACCCAGGGCTGGAGCTTCCCAGCCCTGGCGGGGAGCTGGCAGTGAAGCCAGACTCAACGTGCATCGTGCGTCTCTCTCCACAGCAGGGGAGATGGTGTGAGCTGGAGCGTGCACAACATTCAGGAGTGAAAGTTTTAGTGAGCAGAAGTGGAGAGAAGGGGTGTGGGCTGAGGGTCATGTGAGGTGAAGTGAAGAGGTTCTGCCTGCCTCTCCCTGGCTGCAGAGGGAGCATCCGCTGGGTGCTGTGGGGCCAAACCACAGGGGATGAGACTCAGCGATGCTTGGGATGGAACTGGCAGAGGTTTGTTCCGCAGGATAACAGGAGACTGCTGGAAACGGGCTGGGGCGTGTGTGTGCAAATGTGTGTACATGGGTGTCTATGATGTGGCTATGTGGAGGTGTATTGTGTTAATGTATGTGTGCATGTATGTGTGTGCATGTGTGTGAGTGAACGTATATGGGCTTGTGTGAATGTGCATGTCTATTGCATGTGTTTGTGTGTGCGTATGTGTACGTGTGAATGTATGTGCATATGTTTGTGTGTGATGTGTATGTATATGAGGTGTATCTGCGTGTGTATTGCATGTTTACACATGTGCACGTGTGTGTGTATGTTTGTGTGATGTGTATGTATATGAGGTGTATGTGTGTATTGCATGTTTACACATGTTCATGTGTGTGTATGTGTGTGCATGTTTGTGTGATGTGTATGTATATGTGAAGTATGTGTGCGTGTCTTGCATGCGTGCATGTGTACGCGTGTATATGTATGTGTGCAGGTGCGTGTACTTGTGTTCTGGAGAGACTGAGAAATTAAAGAATAAACAGGAGAGGCTCCCGGCAGGGGTGACTGGTCCTTTAATGAATCCCCCAAACTCTCTTTTCCTTTGCCTCCCAGGCTTGCTGCGCGGCCTCCTTAATTAATGCCTGTAGAATGCGTTCAGATGCTGGAAGGAGAAGCAGCAGCTTTATAAATAAACACTTCTAAAGGTTGACTAATCCCTGAGTCCCCGAGGGAGAGGAGAGAGCTGTGCTGTGTGGGAGGAAGGGGCACCTTGAGCGAAGGAGGCAGCTGCGGCGGTTCACTGAGGTTTCGGTCCCGGCCCCCATTAGCAAGTTACTTCTCCAGGGGCAGGCCCTGGCTCCTTTCTGGGCCTGTCTTCAGCAGCCAAAGGAAAGGCTTGGATTATGGCCTCACAAGATCCTTTCTCATGCTCCCATTTTATAAAGTGCCTGTTGTGGCCAAGGTCACAGAGTTGCCCCAGCTGAGCACAAGAGGGCACCTGAGAGAGGCAGGCAGGGGCCACGTGGCTGCCCCTCACATGCAGGCAGCCTGGCCGGCTGCAGCCACCCGTGGAGTGACCTGTTCGTGGAGGTCCAGCTCAGAGCTCTCTAAGCAGGCTCAGCAAAGGCAAGCAACACAGAGGAGGAGGCTCCTGTCCACGGCAGAGCCAAACCAGGGCTGCAGGGCCATTCCATGCTCCGCAGAGCACCCCGACCTGGAGATGGAGCAGCCTCTCCAGGTGATGTGGAGGCAGAGAATGTGGTGGCCACCCTACACTCAGGACCAGGGGCCACCTCTGACAGTGATTTCCCCTGAACATAACATCTTAACCAGAAGGAAGGACCTGAAAGGAGATAGGGGGCTGGATGGTGAGATGGGAAGAAACTACATCTGGTAGAGACTCTTTGTCTGACAGGGGAACCTGCCCTGTGTTTGCACGGCCTGGCTTTAGCACCCAGGGCGAAGAAATGATGGAGCTGGCCCACTCAGCCTCCTGACTCTAAGGGAGCTGTCGCCTGCCATCTGACTCTTTTAGGCTTATCTAAGGGATCCCTGTGGCTGGAATTTTGGCAGGGGCCTACCTGGCGATATGTATGGGGATCATTTGTCTGCATTTGCCCAGGACAGTCTATGTTTCTGCCTTTTGTCTGTGTGATGAGTTCACATCCAGAAGTATCCTAGTTTGGATGAGGAATTACGTGGTCACCCCATTGATGGACAACTGGGTGACACTTAAGAAGAAAGAGGACTTGAACCTCCAGAATCTTTGACTTTTAGAACTTTTTGGACATCTGTTCTCTGCAAAATCCCTCCAAAATGTTCTGCAGCCTTCAGCTGAAGTCATGAACAAGAAATTATTCCTCATTTGCTCACGTTAGAGTGGGGTGTGATGGGGAAGTGAGTGACCCCAGTATCTGAGGAGGTTCCCTGAGACCCCAAAGCCGGGGTGGCCCCCATCGGACTAACATTTTCTAAGTGCTCTCCCACAGGCACCCACATCACCATGCAGCTCACGGGCGTACTGAGTCTCATCTGCACGGAGCCCCTCACGTGTGAGGCATCATTTTATTATTTTTTATTATTGGCATTATCAATTTCCTTATCTCATAAAGAGAGGAACAGACTCCCGAGGGGGAGACGGCCACATCCTGCTCTGTGAGTGGCCATACAGAAGCTAGAGCCCAGGTCCCTGGGCCCCGCCTCCCCTCCGCAGGACACTGCCTCTATGCACCTGGTCACAGTCAGACAGGGCAGGGTGCCCTGCTGGCAGCCAGGCCCGGGCAGTGGGGAGCAGAGGGCAGAATCCCTCACGGAGTCTCTGGTCTCTGGAAGGGCTGGACGGTGCTTTGCCAGCCGCATCTCTCGCCAGTCTGTCTTTCGAGTTCCAGAACACCGAATAGCTTGTATTCTACCCACTTCCCACCCAATCACACACACACAACCCCATACACACACGCACACATGTACACAGACACTATTGCTGCTTCTTGCCTTCCTGTCCTGGCTCATGCCATCTCTTTTGCCTTAAACTCCTGCTGCCCCCTTATTTTGTCAACTCTTACCCACCCTTTGAGAACCAGGAGAGGCATCACCTCTTCCTGGAAGCCTTCCCTGGCCTCCCATTTGCACGTTAAGTGATGGCCCTCACAACGTCATCTACAGTAACTCTCCTTCCCACTGGTCTGTGAGATCCTCGGGGCCTGGGCAGGGTCTTACTCATCCCTGTGTCTCCAGCGTGGCATCCGATGGGTGGCGGCCATCCACACACAGGCTGGGCGCTGCACCGCCGGGCAGAGCTCCTTGTCCTTTCAGGACCCGTTATCTCAAGATTTCCTATCAAGCCACAGTTTCCCAGCCTCTGTGCATGCTGGGAAACCTCTGTCTATGCAGGAGGGAATAAAATCTAAGGAACAAGTGACCCTGGAGAAGTGCTATGGGCAGAAAATATAACAACACCAAAAATAATTTTGGACCGACTTATGACGGAGCCGTAAGTGGCGATAAGAAAAGCTGGGACACACCTGACCCGTGAGGCTGATGGGGGAAGGGCCAGTTTTGCCTGGCACATCCCACAGGGCTGCCATCCAACGTAGAAAACGCCAGTGTGGAGCATGCGCGGCTCTGGCCCAAAGCAACCATTGCAAGGTTCCTACGACTGACACCACAGAAAATCCTTTCCCCTTGATACTTATCTGGGTGGCGAAAGAGACAGGAGGTGGTGGGACTAGAACCCAGAGCTTTCTGAGTGCAGTATTCTCTACACCACATCACACAGGATGAGGGGCTCCTGACAGCCTAGATCTTGGGACTGCCGCCTTGGTCTTTTGAGCCCCTTCAATTGTGTAGGTACCAGGTGTGCCTGACAGGTGGAGGGAGGAGCTGGGGCACTCACAGAACTGTGTGTGTGCACGGCTGGGTGGGCTGCAGCTCCCGTCCTGGGCCAGGAGAACGTCGTCTTGGAGACGGGGCCCTGCTTGTCCCCCAGCATCTCTAATGCTGAGAACTCCCACCCGTCCCTCACATGTCTGTTTCAGTGTCTGCCGACCTCAGCAGGACGCTTTACCTTGGCTTCTCCCTAGACATTTGGCGCCTTTCATCTTGGCCCTCAGACTTTTAGAGAAATTCTTAGACTTTGGCTTATGACTGTCTGCTCTCCCACCCTTTCTCTTGCCCACTTAGTACATATTTTTACCTCCTTCCTGCCGTGCCCTTAGTTAACTTGTCCGAGGCTTGGATTTCTTTCTTCTGCCTCCCTCAGAAGCCTGGGCTGCACAGCTTGGGCTGCTAGCTGGCGCGGGGCCACGCGCCTGTCTGTACTGCCCAGCCGCCGGGAGTGCCAGTCACCCAGTGCTCTGCTCTCCTCCCCCCCAACAGTCTGCACACGCAGTTTTTATTTGTGTACTTTTCTCAAGGCTCTAAGCTGTTGGCAGGCATTACTCATGACTCAATTTAGTGAACATCTATCTAGATACCCAAGGTTGAGTTAAATATACCAAGTATTTGTAACCACCTCCCTCACTCCTCTAATTGTAAGAGGGAGTGGGGTGCAGAGCATCTGAGATCTGAAAGCCAAGTGTTCAGCAAAATGCTGGGCAGGCTCCCCAGCCTGCGCGGCCACGCACCTTTACACCACGCCGCGCTGCCCCAGCCTGCGTGCTGCAAACGACGCATTTGACCTCCAAGATGACTCCACGTTCCAAAGCCTGCAAGGCAGGCTGATTTCTTGGAGAAGGGAGGAGGCGGCACATGTCTGAATAGAGCAGGCCCTGTTAGAAAACAGAAGGCTTCATTGCTAATAGGAGCGAGCGACCAATCTGTCCACATTAATCCAGAGACATGGTTCCTAAAACTGCACCCAACACTCCGCCCCTCCCCGCCCCACCTGCATCTACACTGACAAATGGAAACTGAGCAAAGCCTGGTGCTCAGAGCACTCGTTTCTAATGTGCCCCTCCCATCCTTGGCACCACATACTCCAGGGAAGTAGGCCTTAACAAGGGTGGACTGTTGGTCTCTCTTTATACCTGAGAGAACCAAAGAGGGCTGTTACTCAATAGTTGAGATTTCTTGAGGTGGAAACGCACTTTCAGATTTTCACCCTTCTCATTCAAGAGGAAGAAAGCAGGTCTTTCTGTCCTTTCTGGGTCTGAAAAGGGCAGGCAGGCTGCTGGTGTCTGAGGGAAGAACAAACTTACCAAATGCAACAGATCTGTGATTTCCAGGGCAATCCTTCAGCATGCGATATTTTGTTGTTGTTGTTGTTTTGTTTTTGTTTGTTGGCCCAGGGCTTACCTCTTAAAAGGGCTGGCAGAAGCCAGTACAAGGGGGCTATGTGTATCAGTAGGGCTGGGTATGCACACCAGACAGTTCTAGAAGATGCTAACAAAGGTTTCTCTCACTCTGCAATTATCACCATGTCTGGCCTTCTGAAGGGGGAGACCGAGCAGAGTGTTTCTTTTCAGAAGATCCAGGAAGTACAAATCCTATCAAATAGCACTGCCTTCTCCCGCCTTGCAATTAAGGTGGTGCTTTACCCATAACGGCAGGGGCAAGAACAATACCGACATGGTATGTTACAAGTAATATACTGCTGGGTATGTGGACCTCTTAAAGAGCTGTGGCACTTCCTTCATAAGGAAGGGAGAAGTGTTACTGTTTTCATTCCATTGATAAGGAAATGAGGGGGAGAACGCGGTAAAGCAAGGCGGCCACAGATCCCTAAGTGCCAATGCCAGGCTGAACACTCAGGTCCTGGTAGATGGCAAACAAAGGCCGGCCCAGCAGCTGCGGGCCTCTCCCAACAACTGGAGCATGGCCCCCGCACCACAGTCATGGCACAGAGGGGCTGTCTGCCATATGTTGCTCCCATTTAATCCTCATATGGACCTTGTGAGGGTCTTTCATTTTCTAAGTGAGAAAACAACATCCCAAAGATGTGTTTGTTCAGGAGTTGAAGGCGGATCTGTGTGACTCCATAGCTGGGTGCTCTTCCCCACACCGGACGGCTCTGGCTTCTGGAACGTCTACCAGGCTGAAGCCCACTGCACTGGATAAGGCTGCCTCTACGAACAGAAATCTCAGGGCTGCACCTGAGATTCAATCAGGTGAAAACTGCTGCCTGGGAGCCAGTGGCACCTAAGGAGTGGCGTCCATGATGTTCTCAGAATTTGGGCTGAGTGGGAAGAAGAAAAGCCCATTTATTTATGAAATCTAGCTTTGGGTGCCTTAGATAACCCTTTTGATCTATTTCTTGGACTCACTAGAGAAAGTCCTTTTGTACAAAGACACTCTCATCTGCTTTGCTGTATAGAAGAAATAAGCACTCCATCACCAACTGCCCTTTGAAGGGTGACTTCGTCTTTGGTCTAAATGAATTGGGCCTGTCCCTTTCAAAATGATGTATTCCAGTAAAGGATGGAGAATTTATTATTTTTCAAAACAGATGACTGTGGTGTTGACCTAGAAAGGCCCGACTGAAGCCTGCAGGGCAGGTCTGACCATGCTGGGCTTGGGTTTGTTCCCCCGTCGCATCAGAACATGGGCACCTTCTCACATTAGGTACGGCAACTGATATTCTTTCTGTTTTATTTACTCGGTTCTGAAGCAAAAGAATAAATATTTCATGAAATTAGCCATTTGCTACTGCAAATACGTTAGGAACATTAAGTATGGAATTCATCTCTCCTTAGCTAGCGAAGCAACTCTAAACATGTAATTAAGATCAAAGATACATTGTTAAGGTTGCCAGCAGTTAATCAGATCATTGATTTTGCCCCATTTTTGTGCATGTATCGCTGAGGCAAGCACTACGATCACTGACTTTGAATCCAGCAGTTAATCAGATCATTGATTTTGTCCCATTTTTGTGCATGTATCGCTGAGGCAAGCACTATGATCACTGACTTTGAATAACAGATCCAAGTGTGTCTCTGTCCTCGCCCTGTTCTCCTTATAAGAATATTGAGATACCATATATGCAATTATTAATTTCAAGTGTTTTGTGAAAACTTTGCATGGTTTATCACTATGTTAGATGTTGTAGGAGATACCAACGAAACAAAAGAACTCACCCCTTCCTAAATGTTGGAGGGTAACACAGCAGACTCCTCGCCAAGGTCTGGCACATAACAGGGGTTCAGTAACAGTCAATCCCTTTTCCACCCACCCTTTCTCTTCACAAGAAAAAGCACCCTCCTGCGGGAGAGTAGGGGAGGTGGTGTTCTAACAATGCTTTCACTCGATGCTGTGGCTGAACAAAGGTCTAGAGCTTAAAGTCCAAGCCCAGGTCTCAGAAACGGTAGGGAAACCTGTTTTCCTCACGCTTCCATTTTATGAACTATAAAATGAGAATAAAACACCTGTCGGCTGTGCAGTAATCGAAGATCTTTTTATTATCCGAGAATAAGAAGTGCTATTGAAACGCAAAGCTTTATTTATTACAAATACTCAGCAGGGACGAATTCCCATAGATACTCTTAACAACTTGGCAGGGGCTCTTCTGACTCCTTCCAAGATTAAGCTCCTCATCTCTGCGAACATAAAACTCGATCTGCTACACAGCTTGCAGATCATGACGCCCTGAACATCACAGTGACAATCTCCTGTGCCCTCCGCCTCAGCGTGTTCTGCTAAGGGTGATATACTATCCATTCGGAAGCTTAGGCGGGCACATCCTGCTGCTTCATGGGCTGGGATGGATGAAGTGTTGCTGGAAATCTGGGCCATTTGTCAACTCCTAGAACATCTATCCTCTAGAAACTAGCTATAAATACCTTTAGAAATAACTTCCTTCAAAGGATTGGGTAAAACATGCCAACTGGGTTTTTACAAATGAAAGGTTTACTTTGTCTGGTAAAAGAAAACCGTCGTTACTTCCAAAGGCTCATTAAAGCCTTTGTAGGTTAACTTGTGGGACGACACTGCCACCTGGTGGTCGGCGTGCACTGTGCGCACGGAGCTCCCCAATGGAAGTTACACACTGCTCAAAGAACCACCAGACTTATTAATAAAGAACTAAGCTCTGAGAACAGCCCTTCTCACAGAGACACTGATTCTTCTGAAGTGGCTCCATACATTTAAGGAAACATACTAAGCTTGGCATTTACTGAGTGACCTAAGCAAAGAATTTTCCTACCCGCTCAATTCTTAGTACCAGGTGTACTGAAGGACGTGATTTCTAAAAGCAAAACAAAACAAAAACACTTGAAAGGCAGGCCTGGTGGTGACAAAATCTCTCAGCATTTGCTTGTGTGTAAAGGATTTTATTTCTCCTTCGCTTATGAAGCTTAGTTTGGCTGGATATGAAATTCTGGGTTGAAAATTCTATTCTTTTTTTTTTTTTGAAACGGAGTCTCGCTCTGTCGCCCGAGTAGCTGGGACTACAGGCGCCCTCCATCATGCCCGGCTAATTTTTTGTATTTTTAGTAGAGACAGGGTTTCACCGTGTTAGCCAGGATGGTCTCGATCTCCTGACCTCGTGATCCACCTGTCTCAGCCTCCCAAAGTGCTGGGCTTACAGGTGTGAGCCACCGCGCCTGGCCCCTGAAAATTCTATTCTTTAAGAATGTTGAATGTTGGCCCCCACTCTCTTCTGGCTTGTAGGGTTTCTGCAGAGATATCCACTGTTAGTCTGATGGGCTTCCCTTTGTGGGTAACTTGACCTTTCTGGCCTCCCTTAACATTTTTTCCTTCATTTCAACCTTGGTGAATCTGAAAATTATGTGTCTTGGGGTTGCTCTTCTCGAGGAGTATCTTTGTGGTGTTCTCTGTATTTCCTGAATTTGAATGTTGGCCTGCCTTGCCAGGTTGGGGAAGTTCTCCTGGATAATATCCTGAAGAGTGTTTTCCAACTTGGTTCCATTCTCCCCATCACTTACAGGTACACCAATCAAATGTAGGTTTGGTCTTTTCACATAGTCCCATATTTCTTGGAGGCCTTGTTCATCCTTTTCATTTTTTTCTCTAATCTTGTCTTCACGCTTTATTTCATTAAGTTGATCTTCAATCTCTGATATCCTTTTTTCTGCTTGATCAATTCGGCTACTGATACTTATGTATGCATCACGAAGTTCTCGTGCTGTGTTTTTCAGCTCCATCAGGTCATATATGTTCTTCTCTAAACTGGTTATTCTAGTTAGCAGTTCCTGTAACCTTTTTTCAAGGTTCTTAGCTTCCTTGCATTGGGTTAGAACATGCTCCTTTAGCTTGGAGGAGTCTGTAACGACCCACCTTCTGAAGCCTACTTCTGTCAATTCATTCTCCATCCAGTTTTGTTCCCCTGCTGGCGAGGAGTTGTGATCCTTTGGAGGAGAAGAGGCATTCTGGTTTTTGGAATTTTTAGCCTTTTTGCACTGTTTTTTCCCCATCTTCGTGGATTTATCTTTGACACTGATGACCTTCGGATGGGGTTTTTGCGTGGACGTCCTTTTTGTTAATGTTGATGGTATTCCTTTCTGTTTGTTAGTTTTCCTTCTAACAGTCAGGCCCCTCTGCTGCAGGTCTGCTGGAGTTTGCTGGAGGTCCACTCTGCACTAAATATGGAAAGGAAAAACTGGTACCAGCCACTGCAAAAACATACCAAATTGTAAAGACCATCGACATTATGAAGAAACTGCATCAACTAACGGGCAAAATAACCAGCTAGCATCATAATGACAGGATCAAGTTTACACACAACAATATTAACCTTAAATGTAAATGGGCTAAATGCCCCAATTAAAAGACACAGAGTGGCAAATTGGATAAAGAGGCAAGACCCATCGGTGTGCTGTATTCAGGAGACCCATCTCACGTGCAAAGACACACATAGGCTCAAAATAAAGGGATGGAGGAATATTTACCAAGCAAATGGAAAGAAGAAAAAAAGCAGAAGTTGCAATCCTAGTCTCTGATAAAACAGACTTTAAACCAACAAAGATCAAAAAAGACAAAGAAGGGCATTACATAATGGTAAAGGGATCAATGCAACAAGAAGAGCTAACTATCCTAAATATATATGCACCCAACACAGGAGCACCCAGATTCATAAAGCAAGTTCCCAGAAACATACAAAGAGACTTAGACTCCTACATAATAATAGTGGGAGACTTTAACGCCCCTCTGTCAATATTAGACAGATCAATGAGACGGAAAATTAACAAGGATATTCAGGACTTGAACTCAGCTCTGGACCAAATGAACCTAACAGACATCTACAGAACTCTTCTCTCCAAATCAACAGAATATACATTCTTCTCAGTACCACATCACACTTATTCTAAAATTGACCACATAATCGGAAGTAAAGCACTCCTTAGCAAATGCAAAAGAATGGAAATCATAACAAACAGTCTCTCAGACCACTGTGCAATCAAATTAGAACTCAGGATTAAGAAACTCACTCAAAACCGCACAACTACACGGAAACTGAACAACCTGCTCCTGAATGACTACTGGGTAAATAACGAAATTAAGGCAGAAATAAGTAAGTTCTTTGAAACCAGGGAAAACAAAGACATATCGCACCAGAATCTCTGGGACACATCTATCTAAAGGAGTGTTTAGAGGGAAATTTATAGCACTAAAATGCCTGCAGAAGAAAGCGGGAATGATCTAAAATTGACACCCTAACATCACAATTAAAAGAACTAGAGAAGCAAGGGCAAACAAATTCAAAAGCTAACAGAAGACAAGAAATAACTAAAATCAGAGCAGAACTGAAGGAGACAGAAACACGAAAAACCCTTCAAAAAATCAATGAATCCAGGACCTGGTTTTTTGAAAAGATTAACAAAATAGATAGACTGCTAGCCAGAATAATAAAGAAGAAAAGAGAGAAGAGTCAAATAGACACAATAAAAAATGACAAAGGGGATATCACCACAGATCCCACAGAAATACAAACTACCATCAGAGAATACCATAAACACCTCTATGCAAATAAACAAGAAAATCTAGGAGAAATGGATAAATTCCTTGACACATACACCCTCCCAAGACTAAACCAGGAAGAAGTCGAAGCCCTGAATAGGCCAATAACAAGTTCTGAAATTGAGGCAGTAATTAATAGCCTATCAACCCAGGACCAGATGGATTCACAGCTGAATTCTACCAGAGGTACAAAGAGGAGCTGGTACCATTCCTTCTGAAACTATTCCAAACAGTAGAAAAAGAGAGACTCCTCCCTAACTCATTTTATGAGGCCAGCATCATCTTGATACCAAAACCTGGCAGAGACACACAACAAAAAAAGAAAATTTCAGGTCAATATCCCTGATGAACATCAAAGCGAAAATCCTTAATAAAATACTGGCAAACCGAATCCAGCAGCACATCAAAAAGCTTATCCACCACGATCATGTCAGCTTCATCCCTCGGATGCAAGGCTGGTTCAACATACACAAACCAATAAACGTCATCCATCACATAAACAGAACCAATGACAAAAACCACATGATTATCTCAATAGATGCAGAAAAGGCCTTCGATAAAATTCAACACCCCTTCACGCTAAAAACTCTCAATAAACTAGGTATTGATGGAATGTATCTCAAAATAATAAGAGCTATTTATGACAAACCCACAGCCAATATCATACTGAATGGGCAAAAGTTGAAAGCATTCCCTTTGAAAACTGGCACAAGACAAGGATGCCCTCTCTCAATACTCCTATTCAACATAGTATTGGAAGTTCTGGCCAGGGCAATCAGGCAAGAGAAAGAAATAATATTCAAATAGGAACAGAGGAAGTCAAATTGTCTCTGTTTGCAGATGACATGACTGTATATTTAGAAAACCCCATCGTCTCAGCCCAAAATCTTAAACTCATAAGCAATTTCAGCAAAGTCTCAGGATACAAAATCAATGTGCAAAAATCACAAGCATTCCTATACACCAATAATAGACAAACAGAGAGCCAAATCATAAGTGAACTCCCATTCACAATTGCTACAAAGATAATAAAATACCTAGGAATACAACTTACAAGGGATGTGAAGGATCTCTTCAAGGAGACCTACAAACCACAACTCAAGGAAATAAGAGAGGACACAAAGAAATGGAAAAACATTCCATGCTCATGGCTAGGAAGAATCAGTATGATCAAAATGGCCACACTGCCCAAAGTAATTTATAGATTCAATGCTATCCCCATCAAGCTACCATTGACTTTCTTCACAGAATTAGAAAAAACTACTTTAAATTTCATATGGAACCAAAAAAGAGCCCGTATAGCCAAGACAATCCTAAGTAAAAAGAACAAAGCTGCAGGCATCATGTTACCTGACTTCAAACTATACTACAAGGCTACAGTAACCAAAACAGCATGGTACTGGTACCAAAACAGATATACAGACCAAGGAACAGAACAGAGGCCCTCAGAAATAATGCCACACATCTACAACCATCTGACTTTTGACAAACCTGACAAAAACAAGCAATGGGGAAAGGATTCCCTATTTAATAAGTGGTGTTGGGAAAACTGGCTAGCCATATGCAGAAAGCTGAAACTGGACCCCTTCCTTACACCTTATACAAAAATTAACTCAAGATGGATTAAAGACTTAAATGTAAGACCTAAAACCATAAAAACCCTAGAAGAAAACCTAGGCAATACCGTTCAGGACATAGGCATGTGCAAAGACTTCATGACTAAAACACCAAAAGCAATGGCAACAAAAGCCAAAATTGACAAATGGGATCTGATTAAACTAAAGAGTTTCTGCACATCAAAAGAAACTATATCAGAATGAACAGGCAACCTACAGAATGGGAGAAATTTTTTGCAATCTGCCCATCTGACAAAGGGCTAATATCCAGAATCTACAAAGAACTTAAACAAATTTACAAGAAAAAAACAATCCCATCAAAAAGTGGGCAAAGTATATGAACAGACACTTCTCAAAAGAAGACATTTATGTGGCCAACAAACATGAAAAAAAGCTCATCATCACTGGTCATTAGAGAAATGCAAATCAAAGCCACAATGAGATACCATCTCACACCAGTTACAATGGTGATCATTAAAAAGTCAGGAAACAACAGATGCTGGAGAGGATGTGGAGAAACAGGAACGCTTTTACATTGTTGTTGGGAGTGTAAATTAGTTCAACCATTGTGGAAGACAGTGTGGTGATTCCTCAAGGATCTAGAACCAGAAATACCATTTGACCCAGCAATCCCATTACTGGGTATATACCCAAAGGATTATAACTCTAATTATTACCCATAACTAGGTATATACCCGAAGGATTATAACTCTACTTATTACTGGGTATATACCCAAAGGATTGTAACTCTACTATAATCAAAGGATTATCATTCCACTATCAAGACACATGCACACGTATGTTTATTGCAGCACTATTCACAATAGCAAAGACTTGGAACCAACCCAAATGTCCATTAATGATAGACTGGATAAAGAAAATACGGCATATATACACCCAGGGAATACTATGCAGCCATAAAAAAGAATGAGTTCTTGTCCTTTGCAGGGGCATGGATGAAGCTGGAAACCATCATTCTCAGCAAACTAACAAAGTAACAGAAAACCAAACACCACATGTTCTCACTCACAGGTGGGAATTGAACAATGAGAACACACGGACATAGGGAGGGGAACATCACACACTGGGGTCTGTCGCGGGGTGGGGGACTAGGGGAGGAAGCGCGTTAGGAGAAATACTAATGTAGATGATGGGTTGATGGGTGCAGCAAACCACCATGGCATGTGTATACCTATGTAACAAACCTGCATGTTCTGTACATGTACCCCAGAACTTAAAGTATAATAATAATTAAAAAACACTTGAGTATAAAAAAAAGTCTGAAACATTTTACTTCATATTACACATACTTTTTTTTTAAAAAAGGCAGAAACATTGAAGGAAACAACACTCAACATGAAAGAACCTTGTGCCGGAGTTCTAGAAGGACCTTGAAAATCAGTTTTAAAAGGCCTTGCTGTCACATAGTCTTTTTCATGGCTGCTTGAGTCATGCTGAAGAGATAGGCTTCATAGATTATATTTAAGAAGTTGTCATCATTCTGGAAAACAAATCGAAAGACCCAAGAGAATGTTACTTGGTTGGCAGACACAAAAGGCTTCCTCTGTCTTAGAGCTGAACTGGCCTTTGGATACTGAGACACTCATCTCTCCCTGTCTAACAGCTGGTGGTTTTTAATTGCATGTGTGAATGTTAAGTGGGGTTGACGGCAAGGCCGGACAGAGCTGATGGTTTTCCATGGTCAGTATGCACAGCAGCAAGAGCTCATTACATGCAGCACAGATGGGCAGCCCAGACACATGGCAGCATGGAGCAAGGTTTACTCAAGAACAGCCTGGGTCTGCTGCATGAAAAGACATGAAGCCCCAGCAGACAGAGGAGTTAGGAGGACATGATCCAAGTCAGTGGTCTCAAAGTTTGGTTAAGAGATTGCTGTGGTGTGTTTTTTTGTTTCTTGTTTTTTGGGTTTTTGAGACTGGGTCTCACTCTGTCACCCAAGCTAAAGTGCAGTAGTGCCATCATAGCTCACTGCAGCCTCAACCTCATGGGTTCAAGCGATCCTCCCACCTCAGCCTCCAGAGTAGCTAGGGCTACAGGTGCGTGCTACCATGCCTGGCTTTTAAGTTTTTTGTTAAGACAGGGTCTCACTATGTTGCTCAGGGTGGTCTTGAACTCCTGGGCTCAAGTGAGCCTCCCACTTTGGCCTCCCCAAGTGTTGGATTACAGGCATGAGCCACTGTGGTTCTTAAAGGCCCTCCAAGTCACCTACAATGTGTCTGCTTTGTTTTGGGCATTACTTAGGATTTTACTTGCAATATGCTTCATCAGTACTTCATCAAAGCTAATATAAGTCTTCCCATAAGTTATGGAAAGTTTCTAGCCTTGGCAAGTGGGCAGGAGTAAGACTGGTAATCTCTGGGCTCTTTTGCCTGGCTAAGGAGTGAGAATCACGGTCTAATCAGTGGTTTTCCTCATGTTTTAATTCTAGAGACTTCTCCCTCCCACCCAAATTCTTTACAGTGTTAGTAATTCACCCACACTTCACATTCCCCCTTCATTCCCTCTTGGCACCCCACACAGATTTAGCATCATTCTCATGCAATGAAGAGAGTGATGTTATCCCTCTTTTTCCTGCAAAGTAGTCACAAAGTTCCTCTGCATGAGATTGTGTCCTAACAAGAGGCAGAAACTAAAAACAGACTGCTTGAGTGACTGGGAATATGAGGTGTGGTACACGGGAAGAAGTAAAATGCACGCAGAGTGGAGGGCAGGGGAATGTAATTTCTAATCCGCCATGTTCAGCCACTACTCTGGAGTAGAGTCTCAAGACAATGTGAAGGGAATCAGCCAGAAAACATATGGATCTTTTAAATTACAACTTAAGAAACTGGCTCAAAGTAAAGAGGTTCACAGATGTCTAATTCCTCCTGAGCTTACTATGAATAGCTTTAAAAGGTGGCAAATATTTTTATCCTGATATTTACTTATGAATTAGTAGGGCTCAATCATTTGCTGTTGACCTTATTTATCTCTGATTGTTATTATGCTTCTGCTGACTTCTAGCCCCATTCCTTTCATTCTTCCTCAAACATGTTTCCTTCTTTTGTAGTCTCGCTATGTTGCTCAGGCTGGTCTTGAACTCCTGGCCTCAAGCAATGCTCCCACCTTGGCTTCCCAAAGTGCTGGGATTACAGGCGTGAGCAGCCACTGTGCCCGGCCAACATGGAACCTTTTTAAAAATGTTGTACTAATTGAGACCACTGTCTTTTTAAGTAGGATAAGACAACCGCAGAAGGGCTGGCCTGCTCTCTAAAGGCCGTCTGATGCTTAAGCAAAGTACCACACAAGTTTTCTTAAAGATTATCTACCAAAAAGACACCTAAATATGTTAACTGGGGTGTCTGAAGTCTGTCTGGCTACAAATGTTCCACTTTTCAAGGACTGCCGTTGATTTCTTGGGTGTGCTTTGCTAGGGCACCTGTGCTGAATGTTCTCCCGAGGCTGGTCCCTGCCAACATTCATGTGGTGAACGTGGCCCACGGGAGAGTACGTGGGAAGTGGCACTCGGGGGCCAGGCTGGGTGCATCCCAGCCCTGCTTATGTACGAGCTCCGTGCCTCAGGCCAGTTGCTCAGCCTCAGTTTCCTTGTCTGTAGAATGGGAAAAATAACAGGGTTGTTATGTAAGGAGTGAATGAGTTATATGCTTGTGTGTAGCACTGAAAATAGGGCCCGGCGCCAGCTCTGTGGAGTGTTAGCTATTATAGCACTCATTATTATTTCATAATTTCATAGGCAAGTGAGGCTAGCAGCTCACAAGGAGTCCTGTCACTCCATCCCGTCCTAATGAGCAGGTTTCAAAATGACTTGTAAAACATACCTGTAGCAGCCATGGCCATTATTTGCTTCCCTCCCTGTTTTCCACTCGCTCAGTGGCCTCTTCCCCACTCAACAGATGGCCCCTTGCCCAGGACTGCTCCCACCTCTACCTCCCAATGGTGAGTTTTCTGTCTGGGCCTCCAGCACCCAGGGTCCTCTCAGGGACTGCTTAATCCCCAGCATATGCTTCCTTCTCTTCTGACAGGTGACAGCTTGGAGGCCTTAGACAGTCCTTCAAATTACAAAATCCTTGAAGAGCTGAGACACCCAAGCCACACTTGGTATTATAAATAACACCTAGCTAACTGAGCACAGAAGCCGCTGGGGTCAGGATGAGTTGTTACACACACCTGTTATTCTCACGGAAGCTAAGCAGGCCTTGGCTGAGTCTTTATCTCATAGTTGCAGCCAGGAGGCCAACAGGCGTGGTCAGGTGCGAAGGGAGATGACGTGCTTGCTTACCTGAATGAGGTACAGCAGTGCCTCCTGGAGCTGGAGCTTGGTGAGTGGGCTGCTGGTGATCACGGAGGGCTCCGGGCTCTGTATGGGCAGGAGGAGGCTGGTGGCAGCAGCAGGTGGCTCCTGGCCTCCCACAGGCAAGAGGCCGCTCTCCCTTTCCTTTGGCGGGACGGAGGTGGGTTGTGCGAACACCATGGGGGACATAAGCAGAGACGGAGCTGCTGTAGCAGGGATGCGCTGAGGTGAGATGACCTGCTCACAGCAAATACACACAGAGAGCGGGGTTCAGGAGCAGCTCACGGCATGATAGCTTGCAGCGGCAGATACGGGTGGTCTAAGCATTCCCTGTCCACAGCTTTCCTAGCTGAGAAAAGTTTATGGGAAACTGATTCTTGCTCCACTGCTCCATGCACCTTCCTTCAGCATCACTGAGCAGCTCTGGTATCGTCTGCTGTGGGGACTATTCTTTCCACTGCATATGCAGCTTGGCCTCTGGGTGACAGCTTATTTTTCAGGCTACCAGTATTTGGCAAGTGCATTTAGGACTACTGACCTTTTCCTTAGACCTGGTTGTCCATGACCCTGACCTAAAGGTCTCACAACCTATGTGAGCTGCCACCCTTGTTAGGGGCCTCCCCATTTCCCCTCCTGACCCCGGAGCACAGGAGGCGCTGTGAGAGCAACTCCCCGCCCCTCCTGCGGCCTCACTCACTTCTCGTGGGGAGGGAGAGTGATGTGTGGGTCCACCCCTTCTGGGTCCTTCCCTGACAGGATCTGCCTGCCTGCAGAGAGCCCTCATCTTCAGCTTCCGCAGCTGATGTGTTTGGGCTGACCCGGGCGGCCTGTTGCTCAGCCCTGCCAGAGCCTGTCTGCTGAGTCTAACTCCCTTGGCAAACAGACCTGAAACCAAGTTTTCTAACAGCCCTTTCAGTTATGCAAGTGACATTTTGATCCTTATCTGACTGACTCCTACAGCTATCATTTGCTTCTAACTCAGGGAAGAAAAAGAATGTTATTTATCAGCCTCCGAACTCCCCGAAAGAACTCCTAAGAGGGAGGCAAGGAGGCCAGCAAGCTAGAAGTTGCTGTAATTTTATAATCAATCCCTTAGCGTCTCTTTGAGCAAAAGTTGGCCTAGAGGAAGGCAGGCTGTTTCTTTTAACTTGTCCCTACATGACATTTCGAGGAGCGGTGCTGAGCAGTGATGCTCCCGGAGGTGGAGTCAAGCATTCTGAGCACAGCGTGGGCTGCTGAAATGCTTGCCTTTCTCACTCGGCTCTTGATATTTGTGAGTACTGAAAAGTCAAGGGAGTTGTACATCAGAAATTTAAGTCAGACTATATTCATCGCATGCTTCTAATTCTAAATCATCAAAGAGGAAAAAAGCAGACATTTTTAAAAAAGGGACAATAACACTGAAATGAGGGGGAGTGGGAGTTATAAATATTGTTTCTATAGCAGTCGGTACTCAGATTTGGGATGTTAATAAATAATAAATGAGAACACTTTGACTCAGGGGCTCACAAAGACTTTTGGCACATGCCTAAGGTCTTTGTTTTCAAAAAACTGAATTTTTTGTTTTGAGACAAGGTCTCACTCTACTGCCCAGGCTGGAGTGCAGTGGTGCAAACATGGCTGACTGCAGCCTCAACTTCTTGGGCTCAAGCAATCTTCCCACTTCAGCCTCCCAAGTAGCTGGGACCACAGTGGCATGCCACCATACCCGGCTAATTAAAAACAAAAAATTCTTGTAGAGACAGGGTCTATGTTGCCCAGGCTGGTCTGAAACTCCTAGGTTCAAGCGATTCTCCTATCTTAACCTCCAAAGTGCTGGGATTACAGGCACGAGTCACCATGCCCAGCCAAAAGTTCAAGATTTTTGAGAAACTGTTATAAGTTACATAACAGGCCAGGTGCAGTGGCTCACGACTGTAATCCCAGCACTCTGAGAGCCCGAGGTGGGTGGATCACCTGAGGTCAGAAGTTCGAGACCAGCCAGGCCAACATCGTGACACCTCGTCTCTACTAAAAAAATACAAAAAATTAGCCAGGTGTGGTGGCAGGTGCCTGTAATCCCTGCTACTCAGGAGGCTGAGGCAGCAGAATCGCCTGAACCCGGGAGGTGGAGGTTGCAGTGAGCCGAGATCGCACCATTGTACTCCAGCCTGGGCGACAAGAGTGAAACTCTGTCTCAAAAAACAAAAAAAGGTACATAACAAAACATGACAAAGGGCCAGTGATGATATATGTGATACACAGGGAGAACTTTCCAATTTTTAAACCCAATGTACTTTCAATGAATGTGTTCCAATCCAAAGGGAAAACAATTCAATGTCAGATCTCCAGATGTTACCCACAGGCAGATGATCAATAGCTTGTGGTTTCCTCACTGTCCCAAGTCAGTGATGGACATGGAAAAGCATCTTCTCTAAAGGAGAGAATCTTTCTAAAAACTGTCATATTTTCCCTCTCTGGCAGTTTGTGTGGGGGGTGGAGGTGGGTGGCATGCATACCTCTCCTGATCTACAGTAGGCTATACTGACGATACAGAGAAAGATAAAAACTGGCTGCACCTTTCAGGAGGAAATAGGCTGTTTTTTGTTTATTTCAAGAACCTACAGCATGGGCTGTGGGTAAGGAGTCTGTTTTCTTCATCATTATGTACCCACATGTAGACAATGCCTGACATGTAGTAAGTGCTCAAAAATATTTACTAAATAAGTGAATAATTTACTGTGGACTGAAAAACAAGAGGAGGTCAGTTGCTTGGCATTCCAGATTGATTTCAAGGCAGACCATACTAAGTTCCTACAGTCAAAAATTACGGTTTTCTCCCATGTCTGTGTTGGTCTTCAGACCTCCTAATATAACGAAGATTTAACTCTACAAGTAATGCTCTCAAAAAGGTTGGGGGAAGTTCTCAGATTGTTAACCAAAGTGAAGATTCTCCTTCCAGGTAGAAAGTTCAGGCAATCAAGATGCACGGAGGTGCACCCTGCTCCAAACAGAAATGTACGTGACACATTGGTCCCTAGAGCATGGAAGTGGACTCTACATTTCACTGCATTATAGTAATACCTTTTTCTTTGTCTGTCTTTTTTTTTCTTAACAGACAGGGTCTCGCTCTGTCACCCAGGCTGGAGTGCAGTGGCACGATCATGGTTCACTGTAACCTCCGCCTCTTGAGCTCAAGGGATCCTCCCACCTCAGCCTCCTCAGTAGCTGGTGCTATAGGCGTGTGACACCAAGCCTGGCTACTTTTTTTTTTTTTTTAGGGACAGGATCTTGCTATGCTGCCCAGGCTGTTTTATTTTGCCCCTGGTACATATTTACCTGGAAAAGAGGAGTCTGCTGTTCTGTGTTGGGTGTCTTGTTGATCCAGGATTCCAAGGGTTTCCCTGTTCCAGAGCTCTGAGCGAGCACAGGAAACTTAGCGGCCAAGGCTGGCCGGTTAGAGGCATGCAGCTGCTGCTCCTGCTGTACAATCTGAAGCTTCTTCAGTAACTCTTGAGGGGAGATCACTCCAGAGCTGCCAGTCTGACTACCAGAGATGGGGAGTGTTTGTCTTGGGAGTGTGGACTGTTCTCTTCCATGAGCCTGATGTCCTACTGTCTGAGGTGGAAGGGAGCCATTGAAATAGGCCTGTGGTGGCTGAGCCAGACCCTTTCCTGGAGCCACAGGGGTGACAGAAGTGGGAGCTCTGCTGCGGTTCAGGGCAGCTGAGCTGGCAGGTGCTGGTGTACTAGGGTCACACTTGTTTGCTGCCCCTGGGGTACTCTGAAGTTTCTCGAACAGGTTCTGAGTTCTGGAAGCATTTTGTACACCACGAGAAGTTCCAATGTTGTGAGGAGACCCTGGCTGGACAGGTCCTGTAAAAAATTCTCCCGCAGAATGGGTACTGCCATTTTCACAAGGCCGGTTTTCAGGCAGCTCTGACAATGGGTGGAGGTCTGCGCTCCTGACCATGAGTTTCTGAATGGCTGGACAGAGCTGCTTCTCAATGGGGGGTGAGTGTCTTCTGGGTTCCTCATAGGACAGGGAGCGTACAACCCCCTGCCTAATTGGAAGCTTCTCTTGCTGCTGCTGCTGCTGCTGCTGCTGCTGGTGGAGAGTCTGCGGAGGCTCCACAGTTTCCTGACATGTAGCTTTGTCCTGCTTCCCAAACAGAGCTGTCAAGGATAAGTGTTGGGGTTCAGGGTCTAAGGTCTGGAAAAAATAAAGATATCTGACATGAGTCTACAAACAATTTGGTTATATGAGGAAGTGCTATGAAACATAACTTATCTGATGACTTATTCTATTTACAAAGGATTGATTAGAGAGAATGAAAAATAATAATAATAAACTTGAAAAATGAGATCCCCTTTTTAATGTCAAAAATTTTCACAGCATGCTCCCCTTGCACCCCCAAAACAGTTATTATATTTTAATATCTGTTGACCGATAAAACAGGTATAAGATCTTCAAGGGCCTGGGGTTTCACAGATTGGGAACCACCTTGGTAGGAAATTATATGCACTAAAAAAATAAACAATCTGTTCAATAGGAAGCCCATCTAAGCCTGCAGAGTAATATGAGAATACAAAGGAATATAAGCATTTCAGAATTTCTAGTAGTTTTTCACAGAATTATGGAAATCAAGGGCTGGAAAGAAACGGAAGACTTTAAATCTAACTTGATCCTTTCAAATATATACTGGTAGGATTTAAAAAGTCCTTGGATACATAAAATCTACCTTGGCCCAGCCAGTTACAAAGCTACTTCCTTCTTGCTCTTTACTTCTGTTGCTTTCTGCATTGTTGCACTGAGAAAACATGAGGCTAGGCACAGTGGCTCATGCCTGTAATTCCTGCACTTTGGGAGGCCAAGGCAGGCAGACTGCTTGAGCTAAGGAGTTCAAGACCAGCCTGGGCAACATGGCAAAACCCCATCTCTACAAAAAATACAGAAATTGCCAGATGTGGCAGCACACGCCTGTAGTCCCAGCTACTTGGGAGGCTGAGGTGGGAGGATTGCTTGAGCCCAGGAGACACAAGTTGCAGTGAGCTGAGATGGTGCCACTGCACTCCAGCCCGGGTAACAGGAATGAAATCTGTCTCAAAAAAAAAAATAAAAGAGGAAAGAAAAAAAACCACAAGCTTCATTTTAAAGTCAACATATTCAGGTCTCGCTATTAAAATATAATAAAAACTTTCCATAAAACAAGCAATAAAAAGAAAGCTAAAAAATTAGAAGACTTCTTTTCTTTAAAAATTCAATATAAGATTTTCATTACTAGTCTTTATGTCTTTTGGCTCCATGTTCATTTTCAAAATTGATATAAACTAATTCCTTTAAGAAAATCTTTTTAATTAGTCATAGTCATGATAAAATGACACAGCAATATTATATTTACAATCATTAATGGGACCTACAGATTGACAATTTTTGTCATTGCTGTACTATTCTGAAGTGTATATATATATATATATACACTAACACAAAAGCTGCTGTAATATTTCTAATTTAGATTGCAAAGACAGTGACAAGTCATCATATCTGAAGAGGAGTTTTATACCATTCCTTTGGACTCTGAGCTCTCGGCGGCAGCTACCCCAGTCTACAGTGCTAGCTCTGCATCTGGCACAGAGGAGGTGCTCAGAAGTGCTCAAATCAACTCTGTGTCCTTGGTGGTTCTCCCAGGTGGCCTTGGGAAGCCACCCACCCCAGAAGAATATGGACCCAATGGGTAATGTTTCTGTCATCTCTGACAATGTTATTAGTTTTCTAGGGTGCTTGTTTGTTTGTTTTTGTTTTCTGAGACATGGTCTTGCTTTCTTGCCCAGGCTGGAGTGCAGTGGCGCATTCCATAGCTCACCGTAACCTCAAACTCCTAAGCTCAAGGGATCCTCCCGCCTCAGCCTCCAGAGCAGCTAGCACTACAGGTGCACGCCATCATGCCTGGCTAATTTTCCTGTAGAGATGGAGTCTCACTGTGTTGCCCAGGCTGCTCTCAAACTTCTGGCCTCAAATGATCCTCTCGCCTCAGCCTCTCAAAGTGCTGGGATTACAGGCTTGAGCCACTGTGCTGGCTTGTTGTTTTTTAAAAAATACATTATCTTTTAAGGAGTTCAAGTTCACAAGAGATTAGCACAGAATGTGGTATATGCCAAAAGTAAAAACTTTAACCCTCTTCTAGGAAGAGTAAGTTATTAATAATGAAAAAATCTGTATTCTGAAATCCCGCTTTCTTGGGTTTACCTGAAAGCATTCTTCAACAACACCAGGCCCTCCCCTGACTATATTCTGGGTCAAAGTTCTTTAAGAATTCTAGAGACACACTGAATATGACAAGCAGAGAACTCCGTACCTGGTTGGGCTGAGGTATACGCTGTTGCTGGTTTTCACTGGGTTTCACTGGAATTGGTTTGATGAGATTTGGATTGTCATAGATGGCAGAGGAACTGGTTATCTTTTTTGGCTCAGAACAGGTTTTACACTGAAATAGAAAAGAAAATCCCCTCATTTTTGGCTTAGAAAAGCTTTAGTCTTTTTAAAAGACTACCTTTTTACTTCTTATCTAATTGGTAGACGGCTGTGTTTTTGATAGATTTTCATGCACAAAGGAAAATCCCTTAAATTTCTCTAAGAGCTATGTTTGAGTATAAATCAAGTTAAAATTTAATTTTTCTTAGTTGGACAATTCAGTGCTCTAAATATTACTAACAACACCAGCCTCCAGGACCAGGGGTTCTTAAGACACCTGTATAATTGAAAGGTTCTGTGCTTAATATATTGACTATACGTTTAAATATATATAGTCTAATGTCTTTCAATGATAAACAAATATAGAAACCATTCCTTAAATAACATGTCTGGACAATTTAAGCAGTTGACTTAAAATTGGAGAGTAGTTGAGTACATTTCATCAAAGTAACTAAATCTTTTTTGGTCTACAAACCAAAAAGCTGACTCAAACCACTGATTTAAAAATTACTAACATCATCTTTATTTAATAAATGACTTCTTGCATAAACAGAGTAATTCAAATCTGAGCGTTCTGAGCTACTTACTACAAATTAGAATTTTGTAGAGAAAGAGACAAGAGACAAATCTCATCATTTCCAACACTGACTCATTATTATACATTAATCTAACCAACCATGCAATTGCTAACACAGTAGGATTCATAACAAAAAGAGCATGGCAATGATACTGGTGTCTAGTTTGCTAAAACACTAAATAAAACAATATAAAATGCTGCTTTCTGTACTACAGACTCTCTGAAGCATCATTTGTTTCCACTGTACAGCCAAGGCCTCAGGCCCCAAAATATTCCACACCTGACATGAAATGAAATATAAACACAATCTTGTCCCTCAGGAACCCAGCATTCCCAATGTGTTTTACAGTTATCAATGTGTATTCTCTAATCCAACGATCTGGGGGTGTGGCATCTATTACCACTGTATGCACTGTATGTGAGGTTAACCATACAAAAGATTCTCTTCCTCCAGGCATTCTATCAATAATTTGTATATTTAGCACAAGTATTACGTGGGATGCAAAATCACCTTATAAGTCATAAAGTGTTACTTCCAATTCTTCTTAGGTGAATGAGGGTATGGCGGCATGGACCAACTGGCATGGCTTTCCCAAGTCATGGATAACCAAGACAAGACAAGAATACAGGCTAACATTTAATCCCTTACACAATTTTGGCATGAAAAGCCTTGCTATTTAAAAGAACGTGAATGCTTCCTTTCTTTGAATGACGCTTTCTGTATTTCTTCTTTTTCTATGTTCAGAAACACTGAATTTCCGGCAAAGAAAGGCAGATTTTTCCCAGCTTCCCTATGCCCATATCCATATGGGCTAACAGGATGCTTTGTCTGTTGATATGAATAAGCCTGATAGCTTTTCCTAGTTAAAATGTTATCTCCAGAAGCTGTTTTCTGTGTCACTACAACTGCCTACCTACAAAACCTTGCTTTTATGTAACAATTGCTCCCTCTTATCAGAGTGCTCAGAATTAATCATCCACCTCAGTAGTTTGTAGCTCATTTTCCAGTTGTTTAATTTTGTATGCTTTTCCCGACCTAAATATCTTTAAAATCCTGGGGGGAAAAACAGTTTTTGAAAAAGCATATAATGGATTCTTCACAGAGAACCTGAGGCATTTCTTTAAAACTTCAAAAACTTCCTCTGTTGGATGCTGAGGTTAAAATACAATAAAACCTCAAAAAGTATGTCATATAATCCAGTTTTAATCACACACAAACACATACATACATAAACATATGTATTTATGCCAAGAGAGATGTTTGAAACAAAATACAATAAAAGTATAAAAAGTTTCTATCTTCAGTTTATAGGATTATTGGTGATTTTTCTTTTTATATTCTTTTGAATTCTATCATTCAACAAAAAAATTTCTATAATTTCATAAATAACTCACAGCTATATCCAGAAAAGAGCCAATAATTCTTGTCTTAAACCACAAAACACAAATAGTCCACTTCTGAATACTCCAAGCTTAACTATGCAGCCTGTAGATCATTTCTGGTCCTGCCTCTTGTTCTTACTAAAATTTGGTTATTTTACTGTTCACTTGCATCTCAACTAGAAATTGAATAGGGCGGAGATAAAAAGAGATGAAATGCAAATTAACATCTTTTCTACTTTAAAGCAGATTCACAGAAAGTTATTTCTCAAAAGAGAATGCACAAAATTTCAGCCAAAATAAGTTTTCAAATTATTTTATTAACCTCCTGTAAACTAGACAGACTTCACTTTACCCATATCATATATACTGATAGCTCAACATTTTTCCTACTTCCACTTCTTGGGATGTTCACAAATTTAAGAATTCTAGAGAGACTTAAGCGTAAGGCCTGAGACTATAAACCTCCTGGAAGGAAACAGGGGAAAAGCTCCCCAACGTCGCTCTGGGCAGACTTTTTCTATAAACCTCCTGGAAGGAAACAGGGGAAAAGCTCCCCAACGTCGCTCTGGGCAATGGCTTTTTCTATGAACCTCCTGGAAGGAAACAGGGGAAAAGCTCCCTAACGTCGCTCTGGGCAATGACTTTTTCTATAAACCTCCTGGAAGGAAACAGGGGAAAAGCTCCCTAACGTTGCTCTGGGCAATGACTTTTTCTATAAACCTCCTGGAAGGAAACAGGGGAAAAGCTCCCCAACGTTGCTCTGGGTAATGACTTTTTCTATAAACCTACTGGAAGAAGACAGGGGAAAAGCTCCCTAACGTCGCTCTGGGCAATGGCTTCTTCTATAAACCTCCTGGAAGAAGACAGGGGAAAAGCTCCCTAACGTCGCTCTGGGCAATGGCTTTTTCTATAAACCTCCTGGAAGGAAACAGGGGAAAAGCTCCCTAACGTCGCTCTGGGCAATGGCTTTTTCTATAAACCTCCTGGAAGAAGACAGGGGAAAAGCTCCCTAACGTCGCTCTGCGCAATGGCTTTTTCTATAAACCTCCTGGAAGAAGACAGGGGAAAAGCTCCCTAACGTCGCTCTGGGCAATGACTTTTTCTATAAACCTCCTGGAAGGAGACAGGGGAAAAGCTCCCCAACGTCGCTCTGGGCAATGACTTTTTCCATAAACCTCCCGGAAGGAGACAGGGGAAAAGCTCCCCAACGTCGCTCTGGGCAATGACTTTTTCTATAAACCTCCCGGAAGGAAACAGGGGAAAAGCTCCCCAACGTCGCTCTGGGCAATGGCTTTTTCTATAAACCTCCTGGAAGGAAACAGGGGAAAAGCTCCCCAACGTCGCTTTGGGCAATGACTTTTTCTATAAACCTCCTGGAAGGAAACAGGGGAAAAGCTCCCCAACGTCGCTCTGGGCAATGACTTTTTCTATAAACCTCCTGGAAGGAAACAGGGGAAAAGCTCCCCAACGTCGCTCTGGGCAATGACTTTTTCTATAAACCTCCTGGAAGGAAACAGGGGGAAAGCTCCCCAACGTTGCTCTGGGCAATGACTTTTTCTATAAACCTCCTGGAAGGAAACAGGGGGAAAGCTCCCCAACGTCGCTCTGGGCAATGACTTTTTCTATAAACCTCCTGGAAGGAAACAGGGGAAAAGCTCCCTAACGTTGCTCTGGGCAATGGCTTTTTCGATGTGACCCTAAGGACAGGCAACAAAAGCAAGAGACACACAGGATTACATCCAACCCAAGGCTGTTGCATAGCAAAGGAAACAGCAGAGTGAAGAGATGACCTATGGAGTGGAGGAAGATACCTGCACAACATACATACGATAAGAGATTCATGTCCAAAGTAGATAAGGAACTCAAACAACTCAACAGTAAGAAAAGAAAACAAATGTTCTGATCAAAATATAGACAAAGGGCCTGAGTGGACATTTTTCAAAAGAAGACATACATGTGGCCAATAGGTATGTGAAAAATGCTCGACATCGCTAATCATCAGGGAAATGCAAATTAAAACCACAGTGAAATATCACCTCAAACCTGGTAGAATGTCTACCATCAAAAAGGCAAAACATAAGTGGTGGCAAGGATGTACAGAAAAGGAAATCCTTGTATACTGTTGGTGGGAATATTAGTTAGCATAGCTATTATGGAAAATAGCATGTTGGGCCAGGTGCAGTGGCTCACGCCTGTAATCCCAGCACTTTGTGAGGCTGAGGCGGGCGGATCACGAGGTCAGCAGATCGAGACCATCCTGGCTAACACGGTGAAACCCCGTCTCTACTAAAAATACAAAAAAATTATCCGGGCATGGTGGAGGGCGCCTGTAGTCCCAGCTACTTGGGAGGCTGAGGTAGGAGAATGGCGTGAACCCAGGAGGTAGAGCTTGCCATGAGCCAAGATTGCTCCACTGCACTCCAGCTTGGGTGACAGAGCAAGACTCCGTCTCAAAAAAAAAAAAAAAAATTTATGTTGGCTCCTCAAAAAATTAGAAATAGAACTACCACATGATCGAAGAATCCCATTTCTGGGTATATATCCAGGGAAAATGAAATCAGTATGTTGAAGAGATAGCTGCATTCCTGTGTTCACCACAACATTACAATAGCCAATATATGGAATAAACCTAAGTGTTCATCAATGAATGAATGGATAAAGAAAATGTGGTGTATAAACACAATGGAATACTATTCAGCCTCAAAAAAGAAGGAAATTCTGTCATTTGCAACAACATGGATGAACCTGGAGGACATTACATTAGGTGAAATAAACCAGGCACAGAAAGGCAAGTACTGCATGATTTCACTCCTACATGAAATCCAGAGAAGCTGAACCCACTGAAGCACAGTAGGCTGGTAGTTGCCGGAGGCTGGGGGTAGGAGGATTTTGGAGATGTTGGTCAAAGGATACAAACTTTCAATTAGACAGGAGGAATAAGTTCAGGAGATTTATTGTACATCATGATGACTACAGTTAGTACTAATATATTGTATACTGAAAGTTGCTAAAAGAGTAGATTTTAATTATTTTTGCCACACAAAAATGATAAATATGTGAGGTAATACATGTGTTAATTAGCTTGATTTAGGCACCCTATAATATACATGCATATCAAAATATCATGTTGTATACCATACATAAATATATACAATTTTAATTTTTCATTGAAAATAATTTTAAAAAGAAAACTTCAATAAAAGTAAGTCTAGCACTGAAAACCATCTCAGAAGTCTTTTAGTTTAATACTTATCCAACACAAGCCAAATTCTTTTATCACATCACCAATATGTAACTGTTCAATCTCTTCTTGAACACTTTAAGTAACGGAGACTCACTTCCCAACAAGAACTCTGAAGGAACATTCTGTTTTCCTTCTCTCTCGCTACCTTTCCATTTCACCCCCTTTCTTCTGTCTCAGAACCACTTTACTCAGGGTCTCCACATTTTCTGAAATATCTGTGTGTGAGTGCAGAGACAACACAATGTAAGAAGGCGATGGAATGCTCTTTCCAAACATAAGGCACTGGCAGCTAGCAGGGTGCATGCACACCTAGTTAGGCCGGCCAAAAATAAGGTGATGGAAAAAGAACATCTGAAACAGGCCCTGAAAGCTGGATCATATTTTGATGGGTGAAGAAGGGGTGGGAACAGTATGAGAAAAGTCATGAAAGCACTCTCAGGAAGCAAAATGAGTATTCTGTTTGGCAGGAGTTTCAAATATTTGTAGAGGGTAGTAGGGTTAGAAGAACAAACTGAGGCCGTCTTAGGGAAGGCTTGAAGACTCCAAGGGTTCCTGTACTGGGCAATGACAAACCAAGAAAAACGGAGACTAGGAAAGTAGCGTGATCATGCAGGTGTCCTGGCACACTGTATCACAACATCTGGCTGTTAATGGAAGAAGAAATAATTTCCTCTATTATTTATCTCACAGTTGGAGCAACTGACATTACGCATAAAACAACATGTATTTGATTTTTACAGAAAAGCACCTTCTATACACGAATTAAGTGTCTGCACTTCATGTCAACATTATAACAAATCTGTGAGGGCATAAAGATGAACAGAACATTGTTTTAACTTCAACCAGTTTACAGTGTACTGGGAGAAGTTGACTTAATGTAATAAATGAGGAAGAACAAAATAAGTTTTAAATAGTAATAGACTGAGTTCACATGGAAGAATAATTAATTTGACTGAAGAGACCTGGGAAAACTCCACGTAAAAAGTGTCATTTTTACTAAGCCTTAAAGGATATGTAAATTCTGAAGGGTAAATAAAGTAAGGGGAAAAATATTCCAAGACATAGGCACAGTATAAAGTGATGGCCTAAATTAAATCTCCAGAACCGTATATGAGTGTTTCTGAGAGAGACAGAGAATGTGTGTGCTTGTGCTGTTCTTTTATGTGATGGTCACTCAAGTGAGGCCAGAGAGGAGACACAGGAGAGTCTCAGGAAAACAAAGTTTATTATACTCACAGGTCCTGGAGACAAGAGGCATGCCACGCTGCACAGGGCCACGTGTGGAAGCCTCAGGGTGTCAGCAGCAAGGGGAAGGCGTAGGCTAGAGCATTTACTGAATTTCCTCAAGGAAGGCAAGGCAGGGCATGGTAAACAGGTTAAGATTGGCCAGTTTGAATAACTCCAGCAGGCTCTAAACTGTATGAGTGGTCCCCAGTTGCTGGGTACCTGGCCCTGGGATGATTAAGGCAGAGGAATATTGTACAGGCCAGAGACGAGGAGATACGTATGGCTCAGGATTGGTTAGTGTGCATATTAAAGGCGTGCTCCTGGCCAAGCCCTTTGCTATCTCTGAACACTGGCTGGTCACAGGAGGGGCAGTCTCCCCAGCCAGAAAGGATTTTAAGATGTCAAAACATTATAACATATAGAAGATAAAAAACAGAAACAATACAAGGTATGTGTGTGTTGAGAGGAGGGAGGGAAAGAAAGGAAAATAATTTTTTTCAATATTTGTATTTATTTACCATTGTTACACTGTCTTCACAGAACATTAAGTTCCTGGAGGGCAGAAATGTCACCTTTTGAAGATTAATCTTTAGTGTGCATAATATAGTATAATTAATAAAGTATAACTAATTATTCAACTAGTTGCCAAGTCATCATAATTTTTTTTAATGACTTTTGAAGAATTAAAAAAACACAAAATGAATACAGAATAGTTACTGTCTGAAGCTGAGATTAAGGCATCTCTGTCCAGGCCATACAATAGAAGGATAATTAAACTGTGGCTCATTCACATTCATATTCCTTCCTTCACTCAATAGCCATTATTTAACACTCACCATGTGCTAAGTACTTTGAAGACAATAAGGGATATAAAAGTGAATAAAGGATGTTCTTCGTACTCAAGAAGCTCACAGTCAAGGCAAAGCATGTTAAAGAAACTTGTCTAACTGCCTATATGTGCCACTTCATTCAGGATTTTTCTGATTGCTTCCTCATAGCATCATTTAATTTGTTTTTCTACCTTGTCTCCCCTCACTCCCCACCCACTTTCACTTTCTGTAAACTAAAAAGTTAGAGCTCAAGGCTTAATGAGATTCAGGATCAACTCTTTGGGCAAGAATATTTCAAGATGGTGCTGTACATTTGACATCTTATCACATTAGGAAGCCAGAGAATCTGGTTATCTAACTTTTAATGATGATAATCAGCGGGGTTCAGGAGGAGGCAGCCTGATCCTTCCACTGTCAAGTTTCTATCAACCTTTCCCATAACATTAATATTACTGATGATCACTGCCTGAGTCAATTATTTTAAGCAGAGTGTCTTTAAGTTCTATTATTCTCTCCACACGTACTAGCTGGAATTCTCTGGTAGAGAACAGCTCTCCCTCATTGACCAGGGCTGTTTGATTACTCTGAGATATAGTCCCTTTAGGGCAGGCAGGATAAAAGCTTATTTCATTCCCATTAATTATCAATTTTCAGAGGAAGGAGTTGGTGCCTTAGCACCTTCAAACGGATAACTAATAATTATTTTGCTTGGTTTTATATGTTTGGTTTGCTTGTTCTCTTTCTCATTACCAGGAACTCATAGATTTTTATACATTCAATGTGGTTTAATCCATTGTAGTCACTCCTGTTGATGTTAGAATGTGGTGCTCTGGTCAGTGTCCTTGAAGCTGATTTCTGTGTCCTTTCACATGACCCTATTGGTTTTACTATTCCAGACCTGGAATCAGAAATTTCTTTGAAGAGCCCTGACACCTTCTGGAAGGAAGTAATATTTCGAAACAACAATCTGGGTGATATAGATGCTTACTGCTACTGAGTTAGTCACTTTTATTTTTATGTCCTTTCAGGGCAAGAGTGAGAAACTCTATTTTTTGTTTTTATACCTAAGAAACAAAACATGAACTAATTCTGATATTTCCACTTAATCTTATGTAGTTTTAACTTATTAGATTTGATTTTTTTCCCCTTACACTAAGGTTTTGGTTCCAACCACGTTTATCTAATTTCATATTTATTATATCCACAACAGTAGAAAAATTACAATGCCAACAGTAGAAAAATTAAAATGCCAACATTACTACAAACAATAAAACCAATGAATGAAGTTTATAATGTCTTGCAGTTCTTTTTGTCCTTAAAATATAACCCACTAAGAGTGTTCAGTTCAAGCAGCGGGCTTTGAAGTCACTCTAATTTTTTTTCTAAGTAATTATGTGACAATATGATATTCAATTACATACATTTATTTCAGCTAGTTTCCAAATTCTATAATTTTTAAAAATTTTTATTTTTTGCCCATTTTTCTAGTGTTAATCTTGTACTTCTTAATTTTTAGGAGCTCTTCATAAAATAACCTTCCTGTCATTCTGGTGTCAACAATTTTTTTCTGAGTTGTTTTTGTATCTTTCTATTTGCTTGTGTTGTATTTAAACCTTGTAAAATGTTTTTTATTTTTATGTAGTTTAATTAATTGCTTTTGGGTTTTTAGGCATAATTGAAAGATTTCTCTTTTCCTAGATTATAAAGAAATCCATACAAATTTTCTTCTGGTACTTGAATCATTATATTTTTACATTTAAATTTCTAATACATTTGGAATTTATCCTGGTGTATGCTGTAAGGTACAGACTCAGTTTTGTATTTTTCCAAATGGCTACCAGTTGCCCCAACACCATTTATTTAGGAATTCACTCAAATAGCTGACTTGAGATTATCATCTTTATCATATCCTAGATTTCATATACAATTGGATTTAATCCTAGACTTAGAATCTTAAATCTGTCCCATTGGTCTATTGGGCTGTTAGGTATCAATACCATCAACACCATACTGTTTGAAATGTTGACTTCAATGTTTTAAAATCAGGGAGAGCTCGCTCCATCCCCCCACTCATCTCCCCCACCTCCAACCCCTACTAATATCACACTTCTTTGCCAGGATTTTCCCAGCTATTCTTTCTTGCATATTTCTTTCCATGAGCCTTACACTCAACTTGTCTAGATCAGAGAGTAAGGGAGAAGTGGGGAGGGGAGGGGAAAAGAAACCAGTGGTATTTATTTAGTGGTCACCTTAAATGTAGAGATTTTTTTTCTAAGAGCTTTATGTTGAATCTTCTTATCCAACAACAGGGTGTATATTTCCATTTGTTTGAGTCTATTTTTATGCCTTTCAGGAGTTTTTAAACATTTTCTTTATATAGGTTTTGCCCATTTCTCGTGAATTTTATTGCAAACAATTTTATATTCATTTGTTGCTACTGTAAGTTGGGGTCTTGCAGTAAGTCTAACAAGACTTACTACCAGTTGTGTATATGAAGGTTATTGTATACATGAAGGCTATTGTATATATGAAGGCTACTGATTTCTCAGGCTATTTTTTAACCCACTTAAAGGCAAACAGTTTTCTTCAGCTTATAAAAAATCTATATTACAAATAAAGATTTTTTATTTGTAATATAATTTTGTTTGGTGGAAGGAACAGCATCCACAGTACCTAGTCTTGCTAAACAAGAATATTCCCACTGCGGAACTGAAGTGTGTATGTATCACAAGGAAGGGCAAACACTCACCTTTGTGTATTCGTCTTTGGCCTTGATGAGCATTCGTAAAATGTCTACTTCTTTGCCCTCTCCTGAATTGAGGATCACTGGGGAAATTCCTGCTCCAGTTCCCTGATGGGCTTTCAACTGTTCATACTGAGTTAGGCTAGAAAAACAGAGGGGAAAATCCACACAAGAAAAGCCAATTCAACACAAACAATGTTTAAAACCATCCCAATTCTCACCTAGTTGTTTTCATCCTGTTACAACCATATTAGAAATAAGCTTGCTTAGGAATTTAAAGGAGAAAAATGAGAGTTGAGGTCCTGAATTCACTGACTACACAAATGAATCTAGGATAGGGGTCAGCAAATCTGTGGGCCAAGTCCAGCCCACCACCTGTTTTTTGTAAAGAAAGTCACAAACACAGCCAAGCTCAACACAGCCATGCTCCTTTGTTTACATGTTGTTTATGGCTGCTTTCACATTACAAGGGCAGAATTCTATAGTCGGAACACAAATCCTATGGACTGCAAAGCCTAAAATACTCACTCTCTGGTCCCTTTGAGAAGAGTTTGCCAACTCCTCACACAGTGCATTCTAAAGGATGCTCTCATTAGTTGCTAAGGAAACCCAATTTAGAGTTCTGAAATACTGAGGAAAGAACCCCCTACTTTACAGACTGCCTTGAAGTCAAGGCAAGGTTGATTCTGGCAACTCAAATCCTGCAGCTCTCTGGCAGTTTCAAAACATGGTAAAGATTCCATTCTAACTCGGAGAAGAGGGGCCATTTAAAAAACCACTTAGAGCAACGAGGAGTTCTTCTGTTGCCTGGAAAACAATACAAAGATAGACCAGATTGCTCCTATATGCTGCTAGGTGATGTCGAGGAAAATATACTTTCCCTTTATGTGCTGTAACTTTCAGCTCACATTCTTATTATTGCCATGAAGTTTACGGTAACAAAGATCTGAGTACTTACTGAGAGACTTAATTCTAACTGGGGAGGGGGTCGGAATCCACACAATCAGCTGCTTATTGCTAGTAAATAATCAATTTCCTGCCCGAGCTGTTAGGTAATTACTGCAGAATGCTGACAATTATAACATGGCCTCTTGGCTGAGCTACAGGGTATTTTTTAATCTGTATGAAATCCTGTTATTATTATCCACTGCACAATTTACAGTAACATGAATGTTCTAGGAACTAGTTGTTATGGTGGTAAATACCAGTTTGAATACACTTAATCACCATCTGCACCTTGAGCTAGTTACCTAAAATTAGCTACCTCTAGCTAGACTTTCAGGAATCTATCTCATCTCTTAAAAGGTGCTCCCTGTTTTTCATTTCCGTGAGGTCACTTTCTAGTCATTTCATTGCCCCAGGATTTAAAAGTGGGGACTGATTCTTTTGCACACAGAGCTACAGTGTCATACCCATGTGGCAGCAGCCATCCTATGTGCTTGGCTGAGTCCAGTCCCAGGCTGTGACACAGCACGTGCAGGAAACTCATCTCACTCTGAGACTCTTCCCATCCCCATAAATGGCAGGGAAATAACTGCCTCACAGTGAGCAGCCCTGGGCTCAAAAATTGATCAGTCAACCAACTGCAGAGCAGAGAACAAGCCCTCCTCTTTCAACGCAATCAGGGAAGCCAAGAGTGGGAAAGTCAGACAGCAATTTTAAAGTTGCCCAAAATGCAGAATGGGACAAATCACAAGGTATCATAAGATTAAAAGAAAGAGACCAGTAACAAGGAAGAGAGAGACAGTCGACTGATCACTAAGCTAATAGTAACTCAGCAATTTCTAAGGAGACAGAAAATAAAGACTACCTTAACTCAGTGTCTGAGACATGGGAGGAAATTCTGAGCTCCCACAAACATGTATACACAGTTAAAGGAAAGCATCTGGGGGATGAAGGAAATGAAAGATTTTACAGAATCGGGAGCAGACTTTTAGGATGGCTCTGAATGTTCTTTTTACCAACAGGCATATTGATAACTTTTCAAAGCAAAAAATTGCTAATTTACATATGAAAATATTAAAGAAAACTGCCATCTGGAACAATTCATATATATTTCACACACAGGAAAAAATGAATCATTCTAGATGATAAATATTATGCAGTGAAACTGCGGCAAGTTGTTCTTACGTCTAATTTTCATTTATTAATTAATACTAAATGTCTGCCTAACCAGTGAAAAGGACTGCTATGGGAGATATATTCTGTTAAGACTGTAGTATAGTTACACACACTTAGAAATACAAACAAAAGCACCAGGTCCTGAAAAATATTTAGCCTTTTAGTACTTACTTTTTCATAAGCTCTGCAATTCTTTGGCATTCTTCCTTATCATAAAACCAAATTCCATAGATGGACACTGCAAAAAACACACATCAAACAAATTATGAGCATCTTCAAAACTACAAAATAGAAAAAAATCTCCTTTCCATCTTAAATACATAATAATCTATGTGTTAAATTGATTTATTCAATAATTATTGAATAAATAAAAGCAATCATTGGGGTTAAAGCTTAAAAATACAGCATCAAGCCAGGCACAGTGGCTCACACTTGTAATCCCAGTACTTTGGGATCACTTGAGGTCAAGTGTTCAAGACCAGCCTGGCCAACATGGTGAAACCCCATCTCTACTAAAAATACAAAAAAAATTAGCCAGGCCTGGTGGCGGGCGTCCATAATCCCAGCTACTCGGGATGCAGAGGCAGGAGAATCGCTTGAACCTGGGAGGTGGAGGTTGCTGTGAGCCAGGATCGCGCCATTGGACGCCAGCCTGGATGAAAAGAGGGAAACTCTGTCTCAAAAAAAAAAAAAAAAGCATCAAAATTTAAGTCCACAGAGAAATCCGTGGTGGTTTTGTGCAAAGACGCGCACCCACACACATTGAAGAAACTGTGCTCCGCGTGAAAACATGGCACCTGAACACAACAGGCACTCGGCAAAATCCTCTGAAGCAAATGAATACAGACGGAAAATGAAATCACAATTTCTATACTTCCTGGCTGCGAGATAGCATTGTTTCTACACTCCATTTGCACATTTCATAAACACATTTCATGTTTATTTTTAAATATTCAGAAACCTGATACTCAAATTATGCCTAGAAGCCTCCCTCCCCTTCTCCTTCTCTCAGGAACATGTTAACTGAGAAAGTGGCTTTGTAAGCTGTAAGTTAGGGAGAGGCCACTGGAAAAAATAAAATTTAATAATAAACTTCTGGCTTCAAAATGGTACAGAAAATGTATAACTGCTGAAAGATTAGATATGACTATGATTTCCTCATTTAGTAATGAAAGAAACTGTGACATAATATACCTGCTATTGATTCATTCAATAATGTTCAAATAAGTTGTATACTTTAGTATGTGCCTATCTATATCATTTTTATAGCAAAGGCTGAAGCAGCTCCAGAAGACATTTATAAATATCTAGTTGAGGATCTGATGGCATTAATCATCTAAGTAATGCATTAACTACACACACATTTAAAACATCTTCACTGAAAACAGCAGCAATATTACGATAGGGCAATGAAAACCAACAAAACATGTTTTTACAAGGGAAAAAAGACTTTAAATTCAAACTTTCTAAACACGTAATTATATTAATAGTATTTTGCTGTTAAAACAGCTATGATATTCTAACTACATCTTTTTTCCCCTCTTACCTGACCAATGTCTGGGCATGGAATTTCTGCTTCTTGTCAGTAATGATTCATATATCAAAAGGTACAAGAAATGTCTTTATAGTGCTATTTTAAGCAGGTATCTTAAAGAGGAACCTATGAATCTGAATTACTCACTTGCCAAAAGGTGGCAATAGGGCTTTAAACTTTGGTTTTGCAATTATCAGTGTACCAGAAATCTTTTATCTTACCTACCTGCACGTGAAGTGGGGGGGAAGTAGGGGAAAAAATCCCAGCTTTTCCTTGAACAGGACCATTTTACTCTCTTAGATGGAAATACATACACATTTTCCTCCTTGGTACACTGACTTTTTTTTTTTTTTTTTTTTAAGAACGTCTGAGTTCTGAAGCCCATGTGCTATGAGAGCTTTTACATCAAAACAAAATTCTTTCATCTCAAGATCATTGAATGTGTATCTTGAAACTTCATATTCAAGGTTGCTTCCAGTCCATCAACAATAATTCCCTACTCTAATTCCCTACACAGATTCCTACACTAACCTGCATACCCTCACGTTCTTGAAGTCAAAGCAGATTGGATCACTGACGTTCAACCACTTAATAAATCTGAGTATGTTTGCGTGTCTTGGTGACTTTAACCTTAGTTACAAAACTAGGAGCCTGGCCTATTTTTTTGGTTATAGTGTAAGTTTTCTTTCCTTGAAGACTGACTTTTCCAAAACTATCAAAGGAGAAAGATGGCAGTAAGGGAGAAAAACAGAGCATAACTCAGAAACACGAGGCCCAATGGCAGAGGAAAAAATGGCCGTTGTTGTCTCATGAATAGGCTCTATTAATAAGAATATTCTGGGTATCTTTCGTTTGATGTTATACATTTGCGGCATTTGACATAAGGAATTAGGCTTTCGTAAGGGTGGGATGCCAAGAAAACTGTTGATACAAATAGAAAAGCAGTTTGACAGTGTCATCACCATGAGATAACTGAAATGCAGATTTAGGGAGCGAAAATGCTACGGAACATCTTTCAAATGTCAAAGCAAAATGAAGGAAAGATTGAGTTTGCAGTAATTATTTAAGACATCGTGAAGACTTCTTTAGGACCCAACCATTTATCTCCAAAGCAACATGGCTTTAAAAATTAAAATGAGATCATTTTGAGATAACTCTTTTGATCCCAGTTTAGTCTGGACAGAAAATTTAAATAGCCAAAGGGGAAAAAAAAACCATTAACCAAGAGTTCTGGCTACCGAAAAGAGGCACCAAGATAAAATGCAGAACTGGGCCTAACTTTCTTCTCCCTAAAATAGTTTTGCAACTTGAGTGCATTCCCCTGGGAAAGAGGCTGTGAATTCCATGGAAGTATGCATTCCAAGTTTCCTGCCTCTTAGCCCTAAGGTCTACCAACCCCTGGACAAACCTATCACTCTTCCACACAAGAGGGTCTATCAAAGCAGTCTGTGGAGATATATAAAAACCAGAGATCACCATGCCTTAGGGAGGTGATGAGCTGACAGGCTGACAGAAACCATGAAGTTCACATTTCAATCCAAGTTTTCCCGTAAAGCCACTGGCTGAGAGGCCCATCCCTACATAGGCAGGGAGCAGAGCAGGGAAGACGAAAATACAAGGTTGAAAAGAATCAAGTAAGAAGGTGTTTTGTTTTGTTTTTTAGAATTCTAAAACTTAAAAGGAATTTTACTGTAACTTAAACTTGCAGCGATACGATACGGCCATGTCAACTTTTGTGGCACTGAAATGTTACTGCAGGAATAGCTTCTGGGTTTTAAAAAATTATAAGAGATCATGAGCAGGATAATTATTTAGCTTTAAAAATCAACCAATTAATATACATCTGGAAATTCACAATGCTTCGAGCCTTTGTTCAGCCTGGTACGCCTGCATACCAGCCGCTTCCCAGCCACCTGTCTGCCAACACGGAGGTCAAGTTTAAGGGTACTTTGGTGCATGAAGCTCAACTCAACTATTTCTACATCTCTCCTGGAGGTAAGAAACCCTAAAGTGAAATAAAGAGTAGGAAGAACATGTTGAAATTTACTCTAAATATCCTAATGATACCTAGAATGTGACTTCCTCACTCTAAGAACTCATCTCTCCATATTTAATCAGGATTTACCACACACCGTTGTAAAATTTTGCCTGTAACTGCACTATCCTGGTTTATGCCGTTCTTTGGAAATTCTCAATTGAAAAAAAGTGATGTTTGAGGCAACAGGCAATGCAATACTGCCTTTACATAATGAAACACCAATCTTTTACTTTCCTTTTAACTCCGTCAGTAAGATCAAGGAGATCAAAATTTCCATATAGACTTCATGTCTGGATTTTTTAGGTCCACAAAGACAAGGCAGAGAGCAAGCTGATTATATTCAGTAGTGGTATTTTCTTTTTAAATTTCTTCAGTGGAAAAACCAAAAGCTGGTCAAATTTTAAGAGGCTAGTTAAGGGGCCATTAAAGGCAGTGTCATGTCAGCGTCATTCAAATGTACATTTTCATTTGTAACCCTTTGATTCTTATTAGCATGGTGCATTAGTTCATTTTGCATGTTCTTTGGGGATTTGCCTTATCTCATTTATGTTCCTAATAAATATTTCTGTTTGATCTGTTCTTTTAAGATATTTATAATTTGTTTTATATTTTTACCCAAATACCATACAACTCCAAATCATGAATGATAGCTTGTAATCGTCTAATGAGGACATGTGATAATGTTTGTGTAAATTTTTAAAAGAAGATATATATCCATTCAATTAGGAAGTGGATGATAAACACATAATTACATGGGTAAAATTTAAATAGGCAGGACATCTGATTTGGTAATGTTCTTTCTAATATAACTTCACTAATTCCTCTCAAAAAGACAGGGAAATATGTTTTTCTTAGCATTCAGCAAGGAAGGCATTTAAGTTCCCTCTTTTTACTTGGAAAGCCACGGAAACGTGGTAGTGTGACATTACACAAACCTCTTCTGGGCATCTAAGGATAAACCAAAATTTAAAATTCCTTCAAACTCCACTCCTTTCATGAAGTCTTCCTCACAAGAGTAGAATAATATTTTCAATGTAAGGATGGAGAATATCTAATCATATATTTGTGTAAACACTTGTTTCTGAGACTTCATTCAAATATAATGTTTCTTGATTTACTATAGCATTTATCTAGATCAAGCTTTAATAAATCTGACCACATTGATGATGACTCGTTACTAGCATATGGTAGTACACATGCACACACAGCTACTAGGCATTTGAAAGATCCCAAGATATTTAAAAAAAACAGAAAAATAGAACCATGAAATTTTAGAGCCAGAAGTCAGGTAAGAAGCATGCAGTTCAAGAACCTATTTCACCAATGAGGAATCTGTGGTCTAACAAGGTTAAATAAGCTAGCCAAAGTCATTTTTCTTGGTTTAATCTGTTTCCCCTAAAACATGCCCTTCTCCCAGCCTTTCAAATGAAATACATGAAGCATTCAAATTTGTTTTTACATATTGGATTGAGTTCTAGGCTTGGTTATAAAAGACTGGAATTAGTCTTTTTAAACCAAAGTTCATATGGACTCTCAAAAGGAAAAAAAGAAGGATGGAATGAAGGGAGGGGGGAGATCAGTGAGGAAGGGAGGGAGGGAGAGGGAGAAAAAGAGAGAAAAGAAAGAGGAAGGGAATTAAGCTTTCTGGTAGTGGCAGTGTTTTCACAGCAGTAAACACTCGAGCAGCAATGACGCTGCCTGTGTGCTGGCATCCATAGATGGGAAACACAGGCTGCGTTTGGCCGGCTCTGTGCGGATTCTGTACTTCTTCCCCATTTGGAATGTTTGCACTCAAAATGCTTTCCTCCGGCATGTTCTCTAATGCCTTTAAAGTAATGTTCTTCCATTCACCTTCTGCGTTAGCTTTACTGACCAAACACGGACACAATCTTGTAAAACAAAATCTTCACTGGCCACTGAGAGTCTACATAGCACTGTTATCTTTGGCCCCTGGTCTGCTTCTTTTCATATGACATGGTTTTACTGCACCTCACAAATCAGCGATCCCATGACCTGAGAATAATGGAAGGTTCAAAGCAGATGAGAAGCAGTTTCTATTTTATGGGTGACTAATACTCATGAACATTTTGGGGGAAACAGTAGAAACAAACCTCCCCTTTCTAAATAAATTAATGTTATTAGAAAGTTAATGCCATTAAAAACAAACAAAACTCTCTGAATTAAAGCATTATACTAATTTGGATTAAATTAATATGTACTCTCCAACTATAAATGAGAATTTATTACTTTCCCAGTAAAAGACAGATTTAATCTTTTAGAAAGTTTTAATTTATAATGGATTCATGTTATATCATTCAATCTTCCTAATCTTCCCAGAGATCATCATCTTCCTAAACTGGGAACCTTGAGGTCATCTACTACCCTCAGGTTTACCAAAGGTCATATGGAATCTTTTTCATCGTATACTAATTTCCTAGTTTTATTTGTTCCTTTAATCTAAGAGATATAACAGAGTAAATAAACTTTTAAAAATTAGGAAGCAGAAAAGTCCATAGTTTACAACAAATATAAATAGAAACAACTTATTCTGCTTTGTTGGCCACTTAAATTTATATTTTCATTTGTTCATAATCTTGCTGAAAAATTTCAAAATCTCCTTGGCCACAAATATCATGCAGGGAGTCCCTAATACATCTTTTCCTTCTCTCTACTCGTCCTTGAAGACCCAGGCTTTCTCACTCCTCTAGGAATAAACAGTCCCAACTTTTTCTTTGCTCCTGTAGTTTTGTATATCCTTGTAGTAAAAAAGGTAATAAATTAAGCATTTATAAATCTGTTCCCTCCACTAGACTATAAGCTCCTGGAGGGGAGGACTTTGTTAAAACACCCAGTACAGCAAACAGCATGTGCAGACATTCAACAAATACTTGCTGAGTTGAAATGAAATCTAAGACTTCAAGCTCTTCTACCATCAATAACCCTTGTAATTGCTAATATCAATAATTATCACTTCCTGGAATAATTCAACATGTGGACTAGATATGCTAGAATTCTCTATCAATTGATTACACCTTCTACCAGAAATTTCAGCATGGACAGTCTCCTCATATCACCGCTTTTGTTCTCCTTCAACCTTCACTGAGAGTTTATTTTGCTTCAAACACTTTACCTTCTTATGCTTAAGTAGTGTTGATGGGATTCTGTCATTAGGATATGAGCTCCCGAAGACTGTATATTTCGATTGATCCAGCACTATGTAGACACTAATGTACTCGTTTAATGTGTATTTACTATTACAACTCTACCATATACCATTCTTCCTGATTGACTACTTGTTAGGCACTGGCAACTAAGAGCTCAAAGGATGCAACAATTCTGCAAAATCACATGCATTTCTCTTCATTATGGAAAAACAAAGGACAAATAATAACTAATAGTACTTTGGTCTACCAGAAAATCCAAGCTATTCATATTCTAGTCGCGTTTGATAATGGCAATCCCAAGCTTACATATATAAGCACCTGAATGACCTGAAAAATGTAAGATTTAGATGCATGTCAGTCATTCCAGCAACACACTGACAACTATCACCATAAGTGAATCTCAATGTACATAAATAAGTCCAGTCTCCTATAATCGCAGTTTTTGAGAAAGCTATGTTTAAACATGTCTATTTATGCTTAAGCTTATTTTTAAAACAGAATATTTCTACAGGTCAAAAATTTGTTCCAATGAAGAACAGACTTCTTCATATTTGAGCCAGATGATTTAATTGAGTGTTTAACAATGATAGGAATAGCTCTGCTGAAAATAGCCTAACTATAAAACACATGATCACAGAAATATTTCTACAATTTGACATAGCAGTAGTCTAGCCAAAGGAGCCTAGTGCTACTTCCTGATTAAAGAAAAGTCAGAGTTTCTTTATTTTTTCATTTTTACCTTAATCTGTGAATATAGACATAGGAGATACTACTTTCCAAAAGACTCTTTCCAAAAACCCTTTATGTTTAAACAGTTAAATTGTGTTTTGGTTCTACTATGAAATAAGAGCTCTAAGGCTATACATAAGGTAATTCTAATACAAGTTCTTGGCCAAAATTGTTTTCCTTCTTCAAAACCCATAATTTTTCCTTCTGTGGGTTAAGCAGTAAATTTACTTTGATTCCAGAACTTGATTATTTGAAACTATTTACTAAATGATTTTTGGACAAAAATTAGTAATATAAAACACAGAATCTAAAAGAATACACATTATATAGCCATAATGACCACTTACTATAGATAAAGGGTAGGGAAACTAAAAGATGCTTTCCTTATTAAGCATTTAAGAAAATGTTTTGGAACCCAGCTTTTCTCTGCCAAGAATTTAGACTTCCACCATGCTAAACTGGGCTCTCTTAAACACAAAACATAAAATACACTGCATGTCCAAGCCACAGATGCAGCGTATCAATCTGAATAGCATTACTATGTTTTCTTGGTCAAGCTGAGAACCTTAATAGTCTTTATGGTTTAGGATAAAACAAGTGACTTTACTTTGTAGCAGCTGTAAATCACCATATATGACTTTGCCACATGGGTTTTTCCTCACCTCAGCATGTCAGATTGTTAAGTTACATAAGAAATGTATATATTCACATGAAGGTTCTCTCCGTGAGTCCCCTGGCAGTTATGATGGAGAAGTAGAAACTGTGTTAATTGGATGGTCAGGGTGAAGAGAAGGGTTGTTTACTCACACTGTGTATCTGCTTATGTGTGTGTTTCAAGGAACTATCTGGTGTCACAACTCAACACACAGAAAAATAGAAATACGAAATCCAGAGATACCACAAGGCTCAAGAGTGAAATTCTGCTTTACTTGAGATTTTTCAGAGCCTTTCTTTAGATGGATAGTTTTCTTTAGAGTTTAGATCCCTTCCTTTCAGCCTAAGTGGAGTACTGACAGAGAACAAAAAAGTCATTTTGGATTAAAGGTCACAGTGACAAGTTTCATCACTCAAGTCACAGTAGACGTATAACCCTTTATCATATATTAACATGTTAGCTCTCTAAGCAATGGTGCATAATAAATAGATCAATTTTTCAGTCGGAATGGCAAAGGAGACTTAGAGACACAAAGTAAGATTCAGTGACCACATTATGATTTTTAAATTTTGGTGGCTCTTCTTTCTTTCTCATTAAATGCAGGCTTAAAAGGAGTCCTTGAAAGTTTCTAATTCAACCAACCACTCCTCTCACATACAGTAAAAGAGCCTCAAGACTGTATAGGTTACCTATTCTGACTAAATATGAAATGTCAAATTCCTCGGCTCCCATTCCTCACTGCTCATGATGTGAATGAGTCTACTTTAAGGTCTTGTCTTCCTGGGCAGATCCCGAAGAGAAATGTATTCTGTTATTCCTGCAAATACTAAGTTTTTGCCTAGTAAGAATGTCAAGTATTTTTAGCCATATAGTTACTTTAAATATTAGTTTCTTGACCCTAGAGAGCTTTAGGGGTTCAATAAAATCCCTAAAACTATATGCAAAATGTCATGTATATATGCAAATTTTGGGAGGTGAAAAAGTGCAAAGCATAGACCCTCTAAAACAATGTCTGGCACACAGCAGTCAAGCAAATATATTTGAGGAAAGGGGGAGAGGGAGGGAGGGAGGGGGAGGAAGGAAAGTAGGAAGTAAAGAAGGAAGAAATGAAGGAAAAAAGGGAAGAAGAAAAGTCTTCAGATTCTCATAGGGGTTTGTGACTCACAGAAGATTAGGAACTACTATTTGCGACTATCAATATGCCAATAAATATCCTAGAATGGAAAACAACCCTCAGTTATCTCTGGGCAGATAATGTGTCTTTCATTTACTTGGTAATAAATTTACACAGAGTTCACTTTTAACTTTCCAGATTGCTTTTGTAATCACTGCCTAAACTGATTGCAAGGTTAAGAAAAGACGTAACAAAGTCTCCAAGTCTTAGAATTTGTTAAGTTGGAAGAGCTTTTATTCCTCCATGTAGCCTGAAGCCTAGGAGAAAGCTTAAAAAGCACAGATCTGTTAGCATGCTCGGCCATGATGAGGGTGAATCACACAGTTCAGCTGTGGCTACTGGTTTGCCTTCGTTGGAGAGGTGTCATTCTCCGTCTCTACCATGAAGTGGGAAACAGGAAGACATTTTGGAAAGCTCGACAACTTTGTGACTCCTGCTTGATCACTCCAAGCAGCGTATCTTCAAAGCTTTGTCTTATGCATTCTGATGTTCCAGATGCCACACAAAATCATCAGATACACATATACACATATAACAATTCTAGAATATAAGTGATTTGCGAATTTTGTTAAGTACACTGTACATGTCTATTTCTTATCTAAATCTGTTTATTTCCTGTGTTTATTTGGCACCACAGAATATAAGTAAAATATAAGATATGGTCTTTGCCCATAAGGGGCCTGTAATTTATTATCCATACCACTGCCTTCTCAATAGCCTAGATAATTAGCAACCAATTAATTAATGGTAACATAGTGGCAGAGAAAACGTTTTACAAAATGCATTCTAAGTATAGTGAGCAATATTGTTTCCAAATTATGACTCATCATTGTTCTCTAAATTTGACTTTCTTACTGCTATTATTTACTATGGGTATATACAGGTACACTTTAACTTTGGAGCTTTGGAAGACAATCAAGTTTATACTTCATAAGATGTTCTATAATAGCCACCAAGAAAATATCTACTATTATATTTTTAAACTGTATTGTTTTTATATGTTTCATTCTAGAGAAAGCACTGCAGAATAATGCTAAGGCTCCTCTTTGCTAGGAAATTGACATTTAAAAAAATTGACTCTCAAGAGAGAAGTGGAAGGTTAATTCCTTCCACTCAGGAAAAATATTAAGTTATACGGTTTCCATATTTTTGGCAAAGAGAAATCTTGCTTCTCTGACCATGGGGAGAAAGCAGATGTCGCAACCCAGAGAAAGGGGGCATAGCCTTCTCACTGATCTGGAAACTAGAAATGCAGACTCAACTATTTCTATTACCTCACATTACTTGGGGCTTTCAGTTGACATCAAGCTTTTGGTATTATGTTGGTTTAAAGTACTGAAGATGTGTTTTAGAACAAGGACTGCTTTATTTCCAGGTTGAAAAAGCCAAGACGCAAAGTAATAAAGAGTTAGTGTAATATTCTAACCAACACAGCAGAGATCAGGGTTAGCAGAAACACTGGTTAATAAATGTCAGGAAAATAAAGAAGGGTAAAAAATTATCCTTAAATTTTCATTTATTTAAATACTTCTTTTATAAGGTTCAATTATTTCTACTTTCTTACATTGAAGAATCATTTATGTACAAGAAAATGCACAGATCTTAAAGTGTTCTGCTCAGTGAGTTGGCAATAAAACACTCTTATGTAACCAACACTGAAAACAAGATATAAAATATTTTTATCACTCTTTTCCAGTCAACAACCACACCCCACTTCCACCACCAGCCCCAGCAGAGACAACCAATTTTTTACTTCTATCACCCTAGATTAGTTTTGCCTGTTCTTCAACTTCATATAAACTTCATATAAATGGGGTCGTACAGTATATCCTCTTTTGTAGATGGCTTGCTTTGCTCAACATGTTTCTGAAATTAATTCATGTTGTTGAATATATCAGTAGTTCATTTCTTCTTATCGCTGAGTAGTGTTCTATTATTATATACCAAAATTTGTTCATCTATGTAACTATTAATGGGTATCCAGGTTATTACCAGAGTTTTTTGCTATTATGAATAAAACTGCTTTGAGCATTTGTGTAAAAGTCTTTGTGTGGACATGTGCTTTCGGAGTCTCACTCTGTCACCCAGGCTGGAGTGCAATGGCGCGATCTTGGCTCACTGCTGCAACCTCCGCCTCCCGCGTTCAAGAAATTCTCCTGCCTCAGGCTCCCAAGTGGCTGGGATTACACGTGCCCGCCATCGAGCCTGGCTAATTTTTTTTATTTTTAGTAGAGATGGGGTTTCGCCATGTTGGCCAGGCTGGTCTCAAACTCCTGACCTCAGGTGATCCGCCTGCTTCGGCCTCCCAAAGTGTTGGGATTACAAGCGTGAGCCACAGCGCCTGGATTTTTTGTTTGTTTGTCTTTGAGACGGAGTCTGGCTTCATCGCCCAGGCTGGAGTGCAGTGGTGCCATCTTGGCTCACTACAACCTCCACCTTCAGGGTTCAAGTGATCCTGCCTTGGCCTCCCCAGTAGCTGGGATCACAGGGGCCTGCCACCATGCCTGGCTAATTTTTGTATTTTTAGTAGAGAGGGGGTTTCACCATGTTGGCCAGGCTCGTCTCGAACTCCTGACCTCAAGTGATCCGCCCGCCTCAGCCTCCCATAGTGTTGGGATTACAGGCGTGAGCCACCGTGCCCAGCCCATTTCTCTTAAGTAAATAACTACGAACGGAACTTGTTGGATCATACGCTAGTTATATGTTTAAGTTTATGAGAAATTGCCAAATAGTTCTCCAAAGTAGTTGTAGCATATTACTCTTTCACAAGCAATGTATCAAAGTTTCCATTGCTCCACATCCTCATTAACACTTGTCTTTTTAATTTTAGCCATTCTAAGGAGTATGTGATATTCTTATTTGGGCTTTAATCTGCATAGGTTTCCAATGTCCAATAAGCATATGAAGAAATGCTCAATACAGTCTGTTGTTATGGTAAAATGCAAATTAAAATCACAATGAGATATCACTTCAGAATTCCCAGAAAATTAAAAAAAACAAACAATATCAAGTTTTGACAAGGATGTGGAGCAAATGGGAAGTCTTAGACATTATTGGAGAGAGTACAAATAGGCACATAACTGTTCAGCAGTATCTCTAAAGCTAAACAAACCCATACACTATGTCCCCATCAATTTCACTCCTAGGTATAAACCCAAGATAGATAGGCATACATATCCACCTAAAAAACATGGACAGGAATGTTCATGGCAACTTTATTCAGAATAGCTCAAATTTGGAAATAATTCAAGTATCTATCGATAGGAGAATAAATAGACTGCAATATAATGATGCAGTGGAGTACTACACAGAATAAAAAGCAAGAAACTACGGCTACATGCATTCACTTCAAAGTACCTGAGGAATCATGTTAAGAATCTTTTCATGTGACTATTGGTATTTGTATATCTTCTTTTTAAAAGCGTCTTTTCAAATCTTTTGCTAATTTTTAAGTTGGCTTGTCTTTCTGTTGTTAATTTCTAAGTGTTATTTACATATTCTCAATATAGTGCTGAGTCAGATATATGTACATGTTCTCAATATGTTTTCCCAGTCTGTGGTTTTTCTTTTCATTATCCCAAAGGTATCTTAAGAACAGAAGTTTTTAATTTGATGAAATTTTTACTTTTGATGAGGTAAAATTTATCATTTTTTGTTTTATAGTAAATGCTTATAAGTGTCATTTTAAATCCAGTGTTTGGTAATACTACCTTTAACTATTTTTAATAAAGAGTTATTTATTTCGTTGCTTCTATAAAAATGAAAAAAAGTTCTTATTTCATTTGCAGATAAAACATCGATAGCATAAGCTTTTCTGTTTAAACCACACGGCCATGGTTTAACAGGGCCAGGAGGAAACAGAGATGTGGCCTGTTTTCATGTATCATAATTAAGATATCAAGTTTAACACAGTGAATAAACTTCTTAAATATCAAATCACAATATCTCAATAAGCATAAAACAAGTTGAAGGAGACATCCATAACAGTGCTTTTTAGAATTTAAATAAAGTTCTATAAAGAAAATTTATATTATATATATGCATTATACATCATCTTGTTCACATAGATAAAACTAACATTTTCCCACATTACATATCTCTTCCTTGAACTATTAAATTTCCCATGATGAGGATGTATGGCATTCTCACAACTCACAATCACCTCTAGGAACTTGTAGGTAAATGTTACCACTACACATATTAAAGTAACCTTGAGAAGCTGAGCGGCTCCTAGGTAAGCTGCTAAAATCACTCACTGCTTCGGGTTTCTACACAGGAACCACAGAGGCTCCTTAATGCCTAATGGCTAATGCTCCAAAAGAAAAACTAAAGAAATAGTTGTGAACTTTTAGGTTAAGTTTCAGCCATAGCTTTGAATAAAGAAATCCAATAAAAACAATTCAGTACTCATTGCAAATATTTAATTGTGCACATTTAATGCAAGGAATTCAGTGCTATGGGGGACTGGAAAGACACCTTTGCCCTGAAGGTGCCTGCACTCTAACAGAGAAGCCAGGACAAAATATTATACATAAGGTAAACTATAAGCACAACTAGTAATTGCCTTTATTTCTAGCTCAGATTTAGCATGTTATTTTGAACATATATGTTTACATGTCTGTCTTTCGTGCTAGGATGGTAAACTGTAAGGGGGAAGGGATATAGCTTATTCGTTACTGCCAAAACCCAACACAGAATCAGTTTCAACAGACAAGTGCTCAATAACAAATGAGCAAAGCAAATATAAGTACAACATAAAAGACATATATGCTGCAGTGAGACATCACAGCTACACAGGGGACTCACAAAAACATCCAGGGAGGTAAAGTTCCAGCTGGGTTTTGAAATATGAGTAGAATTTATCTGGTAGAGATTGGTCAGAATGAGGGAGAGAATTTAAGGAGAAAAAAGAATATTTAAAAGCATGCAGGTAAGAGTGTTCTGGGAAAGTGTATATGTAGTTGTTTGCTTGGAGCATTAGGCAAGCGTGCAAGAGTAGCAGCAGATGTGATCTGAAAGGGTAACTGACCTGACTACAGCCAGCTTTAAATGTTAGGTGAAAAGTTTTACTTGGAAGGCATTTCAGATTTTGAGAAGGAAAGCAAATTAATTAGGCTTGTGCTACAGGAAGATAAATCCAGCTGTGGTTTTGGATGGAGGGGATAAGCCAGATGTGAATTATAAGGCTAACGACATATCCTTTTTATGAATTGCTGGATTCAATTTGCTAGTATTTTTTCCTTTTTTATTGTGTTAAAATATTAAAAACATTAAATTTACAGTTTAAAATATGCAGTTCAGTGGCATTAAGCACATCCACAATATTGTGCAACCATCACCGCTATCCATCTCCAGAACTTTTTCATCATCCCAAACTAAAACTCTGTACCCATTAGAAGATAACTCCCCACTCTCCATTCCCTGAAGCCCCTGAAAACCACTATTTTACTTTCTGTCTGTATGAATTTGACTACTCTAGGTACCTCACAGAAGTGGAATCATACAATATTTGTTCTTTTGTGTCTGGTTTAACTTAGCATAATGTCTTCAAGGTTCATTCACGTTGTACTATATATATAATTTTATTCTCTTTTGAGGTTGAATAATATTCCATTGTATGTGTATATAATATTTTGTTTATCCATTCATTCACTGATGGATGTTTGGGTTATTCCCACCATTTGGCTACTGTGAATAATGCTACTATAAACATTTTTTTGTTCGCATTTTGCTGAGGATTTTTATACCTATATTCACAAGAGACATTGATCAATAATTTTCTTTTCTTGAAATGTCTTTGCCTTGTTTTGGTATCAGGATAATGCTGCCCTCATAAAATGAGTTGGAAAATAATACCTCTTCTACTTTCTGAAAGAGATTGTATAGAATTGGTATTATTCCTCCCTTGAACATTTGGTAGAATTCACCAGTTAAACTATCTGAACTTGGAGTTTTGTTAGATTTTTAATTACAAATTCAATTCCTTATTATGGGACTATTCAGCTTACCTATTTTTCTTGAGTTAATTCTGATGATTTGTATTTCTCAGTGAATTAGTCCATTTCATCTAAGTTGCTGAATTATAGTACTCCCTTATTATCCTTTTAATGTCTGTAGATAGCCTTTCTTTCATTTCTGATACTGCTAATTTGTGTCTTCTTTTTTTTTTTCCTTCATCAGTCTGGCCAGGTGTTTACCAGTTTTACTGATTCTTTTCAAAGATAATCAGGTTTTGGTTTCACTAATTTTCTCTAAACAGTTTTTTTGTTTTTTATCTCATTGATTTCTCTTCTTTTTATTTCTTTCCTTCTGTTTGCTTTGGATTTAATATACTCTTCTCCTATTTTCTTTAAGTGAACGTTTGAATTACTGACTTAAGAACTTTCTTCTTTTCCAATACAAGTATTTGATGCTATAAATTTCCCTGTAAGTCCAACTTTGGTTGCAACTGAAATATTATAATTTTCATTGTTATTCAGTTCAAATGTTCTCTAATTTTCTTTCTTCTTTGACATGACTTTTTCAGAAGTATGCTGTTTAATTTCCAAATATTTGGGGATATTCCAGATACCTTTCTGTTGTTGATGTCTAATTTAATTCTATTGTGGTCCCAAGAATATACTTTGTATGATTTCAACTCTTTAAAAATTTTTAAGGTTTGCTTTATGACCTACGATAAGGTTTATCTTGGGGAATGTTTCACGTGCACTTGAGAAGAACGTCCATTCTGCTGTCATTCGATAGAATATAATATAAATGACAGCTGTGTTTAGTTGATAGTGTTGTTCAAGTCTTCCATATACTTGCTGTTTTCTGTCCTCTTGCTCTATTGATTGTAGAAAGTGGAGCACTAAATTCTCCAAGTAACTGCAGAATTAAAAAAAAAACAAAAACTTCTCCTTTCGGTTCTATCACTTTTTGCTTCACACACTTTGAAGCTCTGTATTTAGGTGCATACACATTAATAATTATTATGCCTTTTGGATGACTTTATCCCTATATCATTATGCAATGTCGTTTTTTATCCCTGGTAATTTTCATTGTTCTGACATCTACTTTGTCTGATGTTAATCTAGACACCCCAGTTTTCTTTTCATTAGTATTTGCATGGTATATCTTTCTTCATCCTTTTACCTTTAACCTATCTATATTGTTACATTTAAAATGGGTTTTGTGTAGAAAGCATATAGTTAGGCCATGCTTTTTTAATCCAATCTGGCAATCTCTTTTAATCACTATGTTAGCCCATTTACATGTAACGTAACTACCGATATGGTTGAACTTGGGTAGGTCTACCGTTTTATTTTTTGTTTAATGTTTGTCATGTTTTTTGCTCTCCTGTTACCCTCTTTCTTGTCTTCTTTTGGGTTATTTGAATTTTTTAGTATTCTATTTTATCTCTTGGTGATATCTCTATATTTCTTTTTAGTGGTTGCTCTAAGAAATACAATATACATATCTAACTTTACCCAGTCTATACTTAGAGTTTTTCTTTTACCACTTCAAACAGAATGTAAAGGCTCTATAAGTGTACAGGTCCATTTACCCTCTCTTTTTATGTTATAGTTGTCACATGTATCACATCCGTATACACTGAACCTCCTTCCTGACAATGTTATAACTTTTGCTTTCAACAGTCACATGTATTTTAAAGAATTTGAGAGGAGAAAAAATAAATCTTTTGTAATTACCCGTATATTTACTATTTCTGTTGTTCCTACTTCATCCTGCAATTCCAGCTTTCCCTTTGATATTATTCCTTCCAGCCTGAAGAATTTCTTTTAGCATTTATTCTACAGTGGGTCTTCTGGTAAAAAAAAAAAAAAAAAAAAAAAGGTTCTTTTTATGTTTCCTTTATCAGAGTATATGTCTTTATTTCACCTTCATTCCTGAATGATATTTTTGCTGGAAATAGAATTCTAGGTTAATAGCTCTTTTATTTCCAAACTTGAAAATGTTGCTCCACTGTCTTCTGGCCTACATAATTTCTGATAAGAAATCTGCAGTCATTCAAAACATTATTATCCTAGATGTAACACAATGGTTTTCTCTGGTTTGCTTTCAAGATTAAAAAAAAAAAAAAATCTTTGTTTTTCAGCAGTTTGATTGTGACTGTCATGTCATGGGCATGGTTTTCTTTGGGTTTATTCTGTTTGGGGATTCACTGAGTTCCTTGAATCTATACATTTGTCTCCTTCATTAGACTGGGAAAGGTTTTGGACATTATTTTTTCAAATATTTATGAGTCTCTCCTCTTTATTAGACTTCAATGGCACAAATTAGACCTTCTGATATTGCCCCACGGATTTCTGAAGGCCCTGTTCATTTTTAAAAAACATCTTGGCTCTATATTCTTCAGGTTTGAAAATTTCTATTGACCTATCTATGAGTTCACTAACTCTTCTTTCCACTGTCATCTGCATTTTGCTATTAAGACCATCCAAGAAATAGTATATTATTCAGTTCCAAATTTTCCATTTGGTTATTTTTTATACCTATTTTTGTGCCAAGAATTTCTATCTTTCCATTCTTTTCAAGAGTATCCAGTTTTACCTCACAGAGCATGGTAATAACTATCTTAATGTCACTATCTTATAATTCTAACATCCAGATCATCTCAGGGTGGCTACTGATTTTTTCCTTGACAGTTTGGCATATTTTCCTGGCTAGTAATTTTGGATTGCACCCTGGACATTTTTATTATTTTGTGAGACTCAGAGTCCTCTTGAAACCCTCCAGAGAATGTTCACTTTGTATATTTGAGAAAGCAATCAATTCAGTTAGGTTTAGATAAGAAGCTCTGTCTTGCTGCCTGTGGATGATGCTTCCCATATCAGTTCCATTTTCTTTTTTCTTTTTTTTTGAGACGAGTCTCCCTCTGTCGCCCAGGCTGGAGTGCAGTGGTGCGATCTTGGCTCACTGCAAGCTCCACCTCCTGGGTTCACGCCATTCTCCTGCCTCAGCCTCCCAAGTAGCTGGGACTGCAGGTGCCTGCCACCACACTTGGCTAATTTTGTTTTGTATTTTTAGTAGAGATGGAGTTTCACCGTGTTAGCCAGGATGGTCTCGATCTCCTGACCTCGTGATCTGCCCGCCTTGGCCTCCCAAAGTGCTGGGATTACAGGCGTGAGCCACTGCGCCCAGCCGTCAGTTCTATTTTCAAAGGTGTTTATGTCTGCCCTATACATATACTAGTCTGAATTTGGAATAATGGTTTATATTGTAAGTTAATTCTCAAAGCTGTTGTTATTTCCTGGGTTCTGTTACATGTATGTAGCTCACAGGTGGACCCAGGATTTGCATGAGTTCCTAGACAGAATTAGGAGATCTCCTCATCCAGCTCCCTCCTCTAGAATTGCTCCCACTCGCCAGCTGTCAGGGGCCTTTTTCCCCAGTCTTCCGACTACAAAGTCAGGGTTTATCTCAGGGTTTTAGACTCTCACACTGTCAGACAGTCTGTGCAGCAAAAGAAAATAAAAATAAAAATACATAATGGGATTTTCCTCCACTCTTCAGACCACAGGGGCAGAGACAGGGTCTTTCTTGGGATGTCAGGTGCCTGTGCTACCACCATGACCACCACAGTGGCAGTTCAGCTTTCCCTGCAACTGGCTTCACGGTAGGGGTAGAAGAGTAAAAGGGAGGTAGGGAAAGAAAAGGGGGAAGTTTTTAGAAAGAGGAGTTTCTCTCAGGTTTTGTTATTTTTTTTTTCCTAGCGTTCTGTGACTTGGCGCATTCTTGGGTCAAAGCCAGTTGATAAAAGAGGAAAGAATAAAGCCAGGAACTCACCACCATAGCAGTTTTTCTTCAAGTTCTGATTGCTCTCCTCAGTGTGTCTGTTGTCATTTACTTTCAGAGGCCCCAGTTAGTTGCTTTTGTAATCTGCCCAGAACTTTTAGTTGTAAACAGTGGGAGAGATATACTGTAGTGAACTTATTCTATTTTGGATGATGCCAGAAGTTCAATCCCTTTTTGCTATGGGGGGTTATGAAACATCCCAAGTAACACATAATGAAAGCCTGAACTGGAATAGAAGTGGGGATAGAACGAAGGAGAGAAGCTACAGAACCACTCCAGAATTAAGAAACATGGCTGTGAAGGCTTCAAAAGGTTTACTATTACCACGCATGCTTAAAAAAAAGAACTTACAGGAACTCCCAGCTTTACAAACGATTTGTTAATACAAATGGGCATTAGAAGTACTCTGCCCTGCTGCTAAGGAAATTATATTCTTGGCCTCTATACAGTTTTATTCTTGAATGGATTTTCCTACAGAAATAATCCTACATATGCTAGTGCTGTATTTCATATGTACATCATTATAATACTAGTATGCTACTCTTAAACAGGTGCACACTGGGCTAGAAAGGCTTTTGTGAGTTGACTTGGAAAGCTAACCACAACTAAAATTATGTTTTTTATGAGAGAATGTATTTTGATATCCAATTATATTTTTGGTTTTTATTTCCATAAAAATAATACATGTACATAATTTTAGAAGTTAAATAATACTGTGAACTTCATAGCAAATAGAACCCTTCTCTAGTCACTCCATTCTTGATTACTGCTCCCTGAAAGCAATTTAAATTACATCTACGACAGTTCTTTCTGCTCTCCATTTATTTCTCATCCAATTTTTCTTATGGTATTTAAATCCCTTTCCCATATATCATGTATGTACCATTTCTTGATTTTCAAAAATTGACTGAAGAGGATTCAGTTTTCTTACAATACACACAAATTCACACACAGATACACACACATACAACCCCATCCTTCCAATATAATGCTTTCATATTCAGTGTCTTTAACTATGTATTATGATTTGCAGAGCTACATGGTGTACTATGATTACATTTCCTTTTTTGTTCAATATTTTGTTTTCCCAGGAATTAAAAAGGGTTTCTTCTGTCTCCCTCCCCCTTAGTTTTCAATGCTCCTCATATCATCACCAAACTCTTAAAAAGTAGCTGTAAATGTCCCAATAGATTCAAACTATCAGTTGTAAATTTTTTCTTGGATACCATTCCTGAAGCAATTCACCCTTTGACTTTAATTTAAATCCCCTCCAGTTGCACAGGGGTCATTACGGGACTCTTCACCTTTGCTCTGGGAGATTCCCTTCTTCCTGGATGATTTGTATATCAGTCACAATAGGCCAAGTTATGCTACAGTAACAAATGACACCAAAATCTCAATGGCTTAGCTTACAATGACACAGGTTTATTTCTACAAGCTACGTGTCCATCATGGGTCATTGTTACCTCTGTGCCATGTTATCTTCATTTCAGAACCTAGGCTCACAAAGCAGCCTCTGCCTGGAATATTGCTGGTCATCATGGCAGAAGGAAAAAAGGCAGTAAATCTTAAGCTAGTTCTTAAAATATTTGCTCAGAAGTGATACATATCACTTTCAGCCACATTTCACTGGCCAAAGCAATTAGTATAGCCATACTTGAGTACAACAAGGTGAGTACATATTACCATTCTGCAGGGTGGGTCAATGCGTGGTATAGCCAACAGAGCAAAGATAAATAACCCTCTGTGAGGAGGCAACGCTCATGTTTGTGAACAATAAAGCTATTACAGCACGCTTCCTATTTCTTGTTTATTCTATCTCTTTCGTAAAATGGATCCTTCATCCTTTGGGTTTATGTCTTTTTAATTTTTTTACTGTCATTTCAAGAGAATTTCAGGAAAACTAGGAGTGTGCTCACTCTGCCATCGTTTACCCAAAAGTCTACCAACCACTCACTTTAGAAGGCAACTTTTATGAAGATGGCCTATTTAGAAGATGGGGGCTACCTGTAATTTTCCTTTTCATTCAGGGTACTATTTCCGTTATTTATAGCAGTTTTTCCCAGATCCTATGAATGTTAATCAAGGATTTAAACTGTCATTTCTTTTTTCATACAAAACTACCCAAAATGGTAAATTCACTTTAAGACTTAGGAGGAGTTTTCTAAAATAGTTTTGGTCCTAAATATCTTAAGTTTTTCTTTTCTGATTTGATCTAAACTTCAGGTTTACATCTGCAATAAAATCCAGCATCTAAAAAGAATTTCATTGCAATCCTATAACTGTGGATTATATCCTATATTCAACTTGTTGGCCTAGCTCTGAAATATCCCTGTCAGCTGGGCATGGTGGCTCCCGCCTGTAATGCCAACTACTCAGGAGGCTGAGGTGGGAAGATCACTTGAGGCCAGGAATTTGAAACCAGCCTGGGAAACACAGCAAGATCCTGTCTCTAAAAAGGTTGTTTTAAATTATCTGGATATGGCGGTTTAGCCCAGGAGTTCAAGGTTGCAATGAGGCTATGACCAATGCCATGGCACTCCAGCCTGGGTGACAGAGCAAGAACTTGTCTCTAAAGAGCAGAGCAGGAGCAGGAGCAGGAGCAGGAGCAGAGCAAAGAGAAAAAGGAAAGAGGAAAGAAAAGGGAAAGGGAAAGGGAAAGGAAAGGGGCTGGGCGTGGTGGCTCACGCCTATAATCCCAGCCCTTTGGGAGGCCAAGGTGGGTGATCACTTGAAGTCAGGAGTTTGAGACCATCCTGGCCAACACGGTGAAACCCTGTCTCTACTAAAAACACAAAAATCAGCCAGGCATGGTGCCATACACCTATAATCCCAGCTACTCAGAGGCTGAGGCAGGAGAATTGCTTGAACTTGGGAGGTGGAGGCTGCAATAAGCCGAGATTGTGCCACTGCACTCCAGCCTGGACAAATAGAGCAAGACTCCGTCTCAATTGAAAAAGCAAGAAAAGAAAGGAATCCCCATGTCATTGCTGTCTATAACTTAAGTATTATATTTGGGAAAATATATTTCCATATGCTAATATCTTATTTAGTTGCGAAATGAAAAACACAGTAAGTGATTACTATATGGGAATATTACAAAAGAAGTGGTCTAATTCAGCTTTTTGTTAAATTAGTTTTTAATCTGGTAAAAACTAATCTCTCTAATAACTGATATATGCTTGAATCTCAAGGCTAAAAAAACTTGCTTTTTAAACCTTGGAGCGTACTCTAAAATAACTAAGTGTTTGTAAATGATAAACTTGGCTCAAATGCATTATTTACTGCTAGTACTTCACTGCTTGGGCCTTGGGTCTCGAAGTTAAGGTTTCTTGGTTCAAGTGGTGTTTCCATCTCAAAATAGTCATGGACCACAGCGTATCACTTAATCCCTTTAACCTTAGTATTCTCATTTATAAAACAGGAATAACAGTATTTTCAAGAAAAAGTTATGGGATAACCCATATAAAACCTGAACATAGTGTTTGGCAGACAGTAAATGTTTGTTGAATAAATGAATGAATGAAATGTTTGCCCTAACTTTAACAGCTATCTTACTTACTTTTAAAGTTCATACAGGTCAAACCCCATTTTAACAATGTTTAAACCCTTTAAACAATGTATAAACCCTTTTCTGTAATAAAGTAATCTATTTTGTGTTTGAATGAAGTTACTCTATTTATCAAGCATCTTTTTTTGGCTGATTAAATGAAGAGAGTTTGGGATTTTCATTTCTTTATTTTGCTCTTCTACATTCATCCAATTCAAGAAAGGGATTTTTTTTTTCTCTCCTAATGAATCTAAAAAACCTCACCACAAACCTCTATCAATTCTACCTTTGTCTATTTGAAATGCCCAAATATGGCCTATGACATACATAAGCCAATGTGAAATGCAAAGACCAGACAGAGAGATTCTTGACTATACAGAATATCTTGAGGAAATAGTCTTACAAAAACAATCCTGAGTAAAGCTGAGTTCCTTGCCCAAAGAAAGGCCAACCAATCTATATGCCACCAAAGAACATGTAAACCATACATAATTATTATATAACATATTTGAATTCTATTAAAACGTTTAAGAGGTATCTGACACTCTGACAGCACCTGTGGTAAACCCTTCTGTGTACCTTTGATGCCCGGGATTGAAAAGGCTTTTGCAAACAACATAAAACCAAATGACTCTGGGTGCAAAGGCAATCAGTATCAGATAGAAAGGACAAAAAAAAAAAAAAGGCAAAATGAATCCAGAAAAGTAAATAGATCCATTCCCTTTCACTCTTTGTTGTTCAACTGATTCTATTTCTTTTGTATGGAAATTCATTAGAAACATTTTAATATGCATCCCAAAGGCTACCTTTAATTTGCATCCATGTTTAATAGTAGAGCAGTACAGGTGGTGTGGAAAAAGCAACGGAAGTGAAATCAGAATCTGTGGGTTTTTACACAGTCTGCCTCCTCACTGGAGTCTCAGTTTCCTCATCTGCAAAATGGCAATGAAAATGTCTACTCCACAAAATTGTGATTATTAAACATGGTAAAATAAATGAAAATCATTATAAAATACGGAAACATAAAATAAAATATGAAAAACAAATTAAAATAGAACAGTGCCATTCAATAGAAATATGAGGGGAACCACGAACGTGAGCCACATCTGTTATTTTAAATTAAAAAATACAAAGAAGCAAGTGAAATTAATAATATATTTTATTTTGCCCAATTTATCCAAAATATTGTCATTTCAACATGTTAATATAAAATAATTAATAATTGAGGTTTTTTCCTTTTTTTTTTGCACTGTCTGACAGTTGGTGCCTGTTGGACACTCACAGTGCAGCTCCGTTTAGACTAGCCACACTTCAGGTACTAAACGGCCACAGTAGTTAGTGACTATCATAGTGGACAGCACACGCTTAGAACCAAGGTGTATGTTTATTAGATCTAAATAGTATTTTCTATCAGATAAACCCTGTGGGACTTAAGAAGGTTATTTTTTAAATTGATGCATTAAAGAGAGTTTGTGTTTTTATATTTTTGGTATAGTAGTTAATATGTGATCTATAATAAGAATTTAAAATAAAATATTACCTATAACTGATCAGACCATGTATTTATCCAAAATAAAAGCAACCAAAAGTGATGATTACAGGTAACTTTGTAGTTATTTTATTAGGACTTAAATTATATATTAATTTGACATAAAATCTAATAATCTCAAAAAAAACCCTGACATAACTATAAGCACACAAAACAATTCAAACTATAAACAATTCAAACTGGCATTTCTGTAGAGAAGGAAAGGGTCCTGGAGTTGGAATTCCAAGTCTTTAGTAATAAACTACAATTGATAAAGTGTACCTTTCGGCAAAGAAACATGAGGAGAAAACACAATATTTTTCTATATTGCAAAACTTTTCATTTCACAGGACCTGCCATTAGTAAGTCATATTATAGTTTCAATAGCTTTATTTTTTTCTCTCATAAAAATTTATTCTCTAAATAATAGGATAACCACCTATTATGACAATTATATACAGCATCATTTTAATGCATCTTAATGATGCATTGGGGTTAAAATGTCAAATATTATTTACATTATACTCATTAAAATTACACTGAATAGTATATGGTAGGCAAATTCATGTATCTTGAGTTCAAAGAGTAGGATGAAAAATATACAGAAAACATTTCTTCACTGCAAGGTCTTTATGAAAGCTGTCCACAAAGCATAAGGTGCATGTGTGTGCACACATATGTATTTATATATTGAGTATTATGTTCTTGTTTTCTGTGTGTAGAGATGTCCCTGCAACTGGCATATTTTCAGCAATCTTCCTCTGGGCTGACCAGCAGTGCAACACAAGTGGTCAGAAACGATACGAGAGTAAAATGTAGTATGAGAAAGGCGATGGCTACTTCATTTCAAATCTGACAAGGACTATTTAGTTACCTACTACGACTTCCACATTACAAAGGGTTATTAAATTCTTAATGACTGAAAGAAACTTTTTGGACTTTGATTTTTTATTTACTTGTATTCAGAAGATGGCACTCCTACAATACAGGCCCTCAAACACTTTGTCAGCTCACTCGGCCAAAAGTGATACATAAAGAAAAAGTGCCATAGCAGACTCGTTAATTCTTCGTTCAGGGAGCCACCTATGTGTGTGTCTCTGCAGTCTCCTCACTAAGAACTTGCCTCACCCAGCCCTGCTCAGGCTTAAGATCAGCAATGGGTTCACACTACAAATCCATAAAGCTTCAAAAGACAGGGTTTAGGTTTATATCATCATATTTATATTCACTTAAACTCTTCCAAGGAAGAATCTATTCCATCATTAGGGCATGCATTTCCTAAACATTAACATTTGTTAAAATGCTGACACCCCCCATAGCCACTGATACCAAATGCAAACACAATGGCAAACACTGTACAATTTTAAACACTTGGCCAAACTTCAGAAGTAAAACAACCCACTGTAGTAAGAAAGACTCACATCTGGCATTTCTGTAGAGAAGGAAAGGGTCCTGGAGTTGGAAATCCAAGTCTTTAGTAATAGGTTCTGTCCTATTTTCCATGCTCAGCCTATTCATAATGGTGAATCCATGCTTTGGAGAAGCAGACCTAAAAATCACAAGGAGTCAGGGGGAAATCAATAGACAAATTGCTTAGTATGCTATATTTTCAGTATAAGTACATTCTGATGTGTCTCTCAACCTTTGTTTGTATATGCAGCTTTATATAAGCAGCCTGTACACGTACTTCTTCACCACTGGCATCATTATGGACTAATTCCCATGTAATGCAGCAGCACTGGCATGATGATTCATTTGGTAAAATTGAGTCATACTTCATTTGTGGTGTGTGTGTGTGTGTGTGTGTGTGTGTGTATACAGATGTTGTTTATTTCTTAACCTAACGTTGTAAATTCCTTTAAGGCAGAGTAACTACTTTTTAAAACATTACTGACTTTTAAAGAATACTTTTTAAAAGTTAAATTAATTAAAGATATTTTAAACAATCTTGGTAGTTAATATTAGAGTGTACATCACAATTATATGAAGAAAATTTTCATAGAAAATTTTAAGTGTTAGTCTGAAATTGAAGCCTGCAAAATCTCTTAGTGATATGAAGCAACTCTGAACAATGAACTTGTGAGGACACAGCCTGAACTAGAAGTTTACATAACAGTGCAAAGGGCAGATACTTTGTTTTCTTCAATGCAAAGCAAACAGCTTCACAGATAAACCACTATAAGTTTTTCTCTATAAAAATGTGACATTTAGTGATGTTTTATTTTCATTTCACTCAATAAACCTTGAATGCCTGCTCTGCCAGGCAGAAAGAATCCAAATTATACTGAGTATAAACTCTAACAACTACATGTGCATTCATCTACCCTTGGGTGACAGCCATATAGTAATTCAACTGCGCAACTTCCGGTGACAAATGAAACACCACATACTTACACACTGAAGCTGAAGCAAGCAGAATTCATTTATTTACTTTAAATGAGGGTGCTAGGGCTGTTATTAACAAACCCACAGAAATGTTATGAGCAACAGGAAGACAAGTTGTTTATGTCTTAGTTTTATTTTACCTCTATTTGATACTGATCAAGGAACACAGCTACATAACCACTACCAGGATTTTCTTCTGAAACCTCCAATTTTAAAATTGATGGGAGGCAATCCTTGCCTAGCTTATTTTACAAAGGGGTAAAGTGGTGGTAAGCATACAATCAATACCAGAAATAATCATGATCATCACTTCAACTTAAATTCAGAGGAAGAATGAAAATGTACTCCCAAAGAGCTCTGTTAGGGGTCTTCTGGAACTGTCAAGTTCAGAAATCACCAGTGGGTGTCTCTATGAACTCTCTATTACAGAAAGGAAGGCATGGGAGGAAATAAATGATTTTTTAAATGGGATTAAGTGTTTTCATACAAGAATGAGAATTTGATTCTGCATGTATTTCATTATCACAACAGGATCTCACCTCTTTAATAGTACAGCTACTATAGCATCTCATAATTTAGAAAATAGGCCCAGGGGATAAATGTGCCAACTGCTCTAAAGCAACTTCTGTAAGAGAAGTCAAAATAAATCACTGCCAGCTCCATTCCCTGTAACAAGCCTCCCACCCCCCACCCACCATGAGTTTTACATGCTTTTTGTAATTCGCTACTGAAGAAAGCCTTCAACATTCTAGGATCTGGGAGGTTTTTGTTTTGCAGGGGATAAGGGAGGCATCCCATTCTTGAGGAGTTAGATTTGGAGAAAAGACTAAAAAACAGCAAAGGATTTTTTTCTCAATTTAATGTTTTGTTTAATTGAGAGTTCCATTAGAGACTTAGAGTATAGTAAGAAATCCTTGAAAATACAAACTTATATTTGGTCTGGATGTACAAAAGAAAATATTTGTATGATTTGTTCCTCTTCCATAGTTAAAAAAAAACCCTACTAAAAATTCCCCAAATCAATCATTAATACTTACTAATACATCTTTTCTGTCACTTCTCCAAAGAATCATAATGCGTGTTGTGAGAGATGAGTGAGAACGCACCCTGTGTGCATGGCACATAGTACAGTGCAACCCTATGGCTTTTGTTGTAAACTTCAGAATCCTCAAGAGTGCTCATACTCTACCCAATAAACTTGCCTGGGGGCATGCTCTGGTGCTCTGGATGTTTGGGAGCATAATGTAGACTCATATACCAACGGTTCTTGGGTACTCCACTGCTCTTCTGAGACTGTGAAGAACCTGACCTCCTTGTCACCAAGTGTGCTGGCCTTGCCTCCCATTCCTTCCTTCCACCTCCCATTGTTGCCTCCACTGGAACAGACCTTCCTCCCCTGCAGCTGAGCTCCCTCCTGCCCAGCATACACAGACCTCCATCATGCCCACACTTTGCCCCAAATGGGCCTCTCTGTGCTGTTCTAGTCCTGCTTTTATCTTTCCAGCTGACTCATCTGTATCCTTGCTGGCCCTCAAACCTAACCATAAACCCTCATCGGTTCCTCTTTATACTCACTCCTTCAGGGAACAGCTTTTATTTCATGGTTTCAACTACCAAATTACTTCAGACAACTCTAAACCATCTCCAGCCCTGCCCTTACTCTGAGGGGCTGGCCACCTCCACCCAAGTGTCCTGCTACCAGTTCCAAATCATTACTTCAAAGTAAAATGAGGGCTGATCCTCAAGCCACATTCTTGACCTCCTGTCTTTCTTTTCCACCAATGCTTCTGTCATTCTCAATCTTCCATGTTCAAAATATTGTCATTTTTAAAATTTCACCATTGCAATACCCTTTCCATTTCAATTTCTATTATTCTAATCCCAACTCTCATCATTTCATATCTACCCCACTGCAATAATCTTCTCACTGTCCTGACTCCAATTTCTTCCAGAACTAGTGCGTCCCCATGAAGTGAATACACTGACTTTCCCCATACATTTTCTCTATTACTCTCCTGTTCATAAGCCTTCAATAACTTCCTACTGCTAAGAAAATAATCTCAAAATCCAGAGTCTGCCATTCCAAGCTAGCAAATCTCTTTACACTTGCTAACTACTATAAACCAGTATAAGCCCTCTGCACCACATCTCCCTCACTGTCCCTTTAACACACCAGGTTCTCCGCCCCTGCTTTTGCCATTCTTCCTGTTGAGACTGCCTTCCCTCTCCTCTATGCAAGCTAAGTTCCACCATATTCCTGAGGCCCAATTCAAGACACATCACTCTATAAAGCAGGGGTGTCCAATCTTTTGGCCTTCCTGGGACACCTTGGAAAGGGAAGAATTGTCTTGGGCCACACATAAAATACACTAATAATAGCTGATGAGCTAAAAAAAAAAAAAAAAAAAAAAAAAAAAAAAAAAAAAAACAACAAACTCTTCTAATGTTTTAAAGAAGTTTACGAATTTCTGTCAGGCTACATTCAAAGCCATCTTGGGCCACGTGTCCTATGGGCCGTGGGTTGGACAAGCTTGCGATAAAGCCTTCCATGATCACAGCAGCCCATTCATTGCTCAGAATCTATCCACTGGCACTTAGGATACTCTATCCTGTATTGTGGCTTACCATAAACATGAATATATGTGGAAAGAAAATACACTTGTGTGTGTGTATTTCCTGTCTCCCCAGTGAAACAGATACCCCTAGAAAGGTTTATATTAGGTCTTTTAATTTCATCTTTGTACCCTCATTGAAGGTGATGACCTTTGGCTATGACATTTTATGTGAATGTTTATGTGAATGAAAAGTTTATTTATTGAGCCAATATACATAATGTATGTCTCTATATGCACTCGTAATTTGATATTAATATCTGATAACAAGAAATGACTAAAAACATGAGTTTATTAAATCTATCCTGAAACATATTCTATTGACTAGACAATGGAGGACTGAAAGACATCTTCAATTTTGGATCATGCTTTTTTAAAGAGTCAGGGGTGGGAGAAAAGTGATCAACAGCCAGGTGCGGTGGCTCACGCCTGTAATCCCAGCACTTTAGGAGGCCAAGGCGGGTGGATCACGAGGTCAGGAGTTTGAGACCAGCCTGACCAACATGGTGAAACCTCCGTTGCTACTAAAAATTAGCTGGGCGTGGTGGCGCATGCCTGTAATCCCAGCTACTCAGAAGGCTGAGGCAGGAGAATCACTTGAACTCAGGAGGCAGAGGTTGCAGCAAGCCAAGAGCTGTGATCGTGCCACTGCACTCCAGCCTTGGTGACAGAGCGAGACTCCATCTCAAAAAAAAGAAAAATGATCAATGAAACCCTTTTCCAAATATTAACTGAACAATCTAGTATTTCTGATAGTGTTCTTCTAGCTCCTTGCCAATGCATTATATTCAAGAACTTTGTGCCATTCACTTGAATCAAAGAATATTTAATCTATTTTAAACAGTGCCCAGTCAATGATTTAAGTTCATCTACATTGAAGTTTAAATTATATTCTGAAATTAGTATTCATCACGATATACCAGGTGACATTATTTGGTATTCCCTTCTTCGTGTCAACTAATAATTTCAAAACTGAGATTTAATTCTTTTACTTCTTTTTGAAATAAAACTGCATGCACTTGAAGAAGAGTGACACAACGGAGCTAAAATATTATTTTGAAGATTAGTTTCTTTATAAAAGTGAAACACTCTTACCTTGTATAAACAAATAAGGTTCCTTCCACATCAGTTTTCTCCTAAACAATAAAAACAAAACACACAAGACATGTATGTTCTCTTCAATTCACAAAGGTATAAAACAAATTCTCATAGAATAGGAATTATATATAACTTCAATGGGCCAAATATACCCAACATGAGGAGTTATTCTCAGGAAAAGGAGAAAGCAAGTTCTATGTCATCATTGTGCCTCTGCAGATTAGGCAGCAGGAAGCAGTCTTTCTTTTGTCATTTATAAAACAAATCATCATTATCTCTCTTTACCAAATACAGGGATAGCAGCATACCCTTAGCTGAAACAATGAGAAAATAAGTGTGCTATGCGGATTTAATTAGAAAGAAGAGTGCTGCCTTTTTCTCCTTCCACCACACTGGGTATAGAGAAAGCTGCAGACATCACTGGTGTCTGCATTTCACTATCCTTCATTTTGTTTTCTGGGTTCATTTTCTCCTGCCATATCCAGTGACTTAGGAGAGCAGATGATCTGTCAATAACTTTACTTTGACTGCTAGACAGAGAGGGCAATGATGCCACAGAGTTCTCAGATGAATCAATCACCTACTTAGTGTAGTATATTTACAGTCAAGGTCTGACCCGAGATCACTGAAGTAAAGTTACACAAGTATTACCAAGTTAGGACTCAAGAAATCTGCCTGAGAAAATCTGGGAGAGGTGGTAAAGTTAAAATGATGGTTTAACTAGGTCACTTCACATTTCTTTTCCATTTCTCCAAAGGCAGGAAGCTAGGCCATTATAATATTCATCCATATAATGCATACTAAAAAACACACATGTAAGTATCCAGGTGTTTGACTAACCACGAACCAGACCTACTGTAATTCAGAATTTAAAATGTACTTTTGCAATTTACATGGTTTAATTTCAGCATTCTATTTAAACCCCTGATATTTTATTATTAATATTCATCACCATAATCATTCAAAATTTAAGTACTCTGTAATTCTGGTGAAAAATACGCCCTTTTAAAAAAAGCGTAATGTCAAAACAGCAGTTTTTAAAAGGCACACAAGGCATGATCCTTTCACATGCTCAGGCAATTTCAGCAAATTTCTCATTCACTTTAGTTCAGTGGGTCTCAAAGTGTTATCCCCAGATCAGCGGCATCAGCGTCACCTGGGAACTTATTAGAAATGCAAGCTCTTGGGCTCCTGCCCAAACCTACTGAATCAGAAACTCTGGGGATGGTGCTCAGCAATCTGGGTTTTATTAAACTGTCCAGGTGATTCTGATGTATGCTAGTTTGAGAGCCACTCACTGCCTTAGTTCAACAACATACTCTCTGCCCATGAAATTATATTACAAGTCCTGAAAACAAAATCCATTATGGCACAAATCATATCAAGCTATTATCAAGAGTAAATGGCTATAAAAAATCATTACCTAGTAACAAAATATTTAATCTCAAGATGTTTATTATTATGGAATATGAAATTATAAATAAAGAATTTAGACCAGGCACAGTGGCTCATGTCTGTAATCCCAGCACTCTGGGAGGCTGAGGCAGGCAGGAGGATCGCTTGTGGCCAGGAGTTCAGTTTGAGACCAGCCTGGGCAACATAGTGAGACCTTGCCTCTACAAAACAAAAATTTTTTTAATTAGCCAGGTGTGGTGGCACATGCCGGTAGTCTCAGCTACTCAGGAGGCTGAGGAGGGAGGATTGCTTCAGCCCAGGAGTTTGAGGCTACAGTGAGCTATGATTGTACCTCTGCATTCCAGCCTGGGCAACAGAGGGAGACCCTGTTTCTTATAAATAAATAAATAAATAACAATTAAAACAACTTTAGCCAGTTTTTTCCCTAACATAAAAGCATAGGTAAGTCAGGGAGTTCATCCTTAAACTAGATTCACTATGAAGTTTGTATAAATCACCACAACATACTGTGAAACATATCCTTATTTCTGAAATGTGGCTCGTTTGCCCCTGTACTTTGAAAAATATCCAAGTCAAAATGAAAAAATATATATACAGAAACATTACTTATCTTTCTTTGAAAACAAACATGGTTAATTCCTATCTGCTGACAAATGTATATCCTGAGTGTACCTGAAGCACTAAGAATTACTTACACCCAAACCACCAAAGTATTAATCAGGAAAATGGCCCCTACAGTACAGTAAATGCTACCTGAACAGTATACAAATTTTTGGCTGTCCCTAAAGTTTAACTGATTCAGTCAGCAAGTATTCACAAGTCCACAAAGCATTTAAAAATAAATTTGTAGAAAGTATTTGGTATTATCCATTACATTGTTAGGAAACTGAGCCAAGATACAGGTGATAGAACTAGGACTTTGCAGAACCTCTATGTAGTCAGGATCACTCCCCACAAGATCAAAACACTCTCCTGGTCTTCCAGTATCTGACCTTGGACTGTTTCATCTTAGAGATCTGAATAAGGATATCTATATATATCAGCACACATAAAACTAAATAGCTTCTGACTTGTTTCCTTTCTTCCTTGATGTAACAGAAATTCTCTTTTCTTAATTAAAAAAAAAAAACCTTTAATGCCACATTTTAGTTTTTAAATTCCAAGGTCAAAAATGTAAAAGGCATGCTTCTCCTAAAATTAATCTCTAACTTATAACAAGTAATTCTTAAAACTAAGATTTTTATTTAGCATTACACACAAAGAATATGAGTTTGTTCATAGGAAGGAGTTGTGTTTCAGTAATCACAACCTGGGACCTGTAGTGGGGTTCTTGCCAGATCATGCTGGGCTAATTAGTTTATTATTATATGTCTCAGTTTCTCCATTGAAAAGAGATAACCAGGCCGGGCACAGGGGCTCACGCCTGTAACCCCAGCACTTTGGGAGGCCGAGGCGGGTGGATCACCTGAGGTCAGGAGTTCAAGACCAGCCTGGCCAACATGGTGAAACCCCGTCTCTACTAAAAATGCAAAAATTAGCCAGGAGTGGTGGCAGGCGCCTGTAATCCTGGATACTCTGGAGGCTGAGGCAGGAGAATAGCTTGAACCCAGGAGGCAGAGGTTGCAGTGAGCCATGGTCACGCCATTGCACTCCAGCCTGGGGAACAAGAGCGAGACTTCGTCTCAAAAAAAAAAAAAAAAGAGAGATAATCAGCTTACACTACTCAGATCTTTTGATGAAAAAACGTCAGGCGCTCTATGACACCTGGATAAAAGAGACTTTGAAAATATACATTTCTGTTCTATTACAGCTGCCCAAATTCACGCATTTTCCTGGCCCCTCCATAGTTATCCAAGGGCAACCAGATTTTTTTTTTCTTTCTGAGCAAAGTCCAGGGTTAGGGATGTGGAGAATAGCTAAAACAAGATTAGATGTTCCTTAGATCCTTTAAGGAGGACTTTTATGTGAAAGTATTAGTTACCAGTCCTGGGGTATTTTAGCTTAAATTTTAAAAGTACAATTTGAGGATTTAATATTATACTGTATTATAAAATCTAACAAGTGCTAAAGAAATAAGCAATTCAGAATTCAAAATACTAAAAAACCCAAAATGGAATATAAAATAGTGCTGTTTTGCAAATTTTGGGGACTCTGCACACTGTCTGACACAAACTAGCTCAACGCAATCTCTATTTTAACTTGATTATTCTCAGTTAAAATAATCAAAAAGTAGGTCTCAACTTATCCTCCCAAATCTCTCTTCATCATGCATGTAGCACGTGAGTCACCTATGAGGCTTTCAACAATATGAAATGCCTGGGTCTCATTATCCAGAGGTTTTAGTTTGGCATTTTTCACTTTTAAAAAACTCTGACTTATTTGGATACACCAAAAACTTAGAAAACCACTAGCTAGGAACACAACGTTAGTCACTTTAGGGCAGTTTTCAGGCTCAGCATTCCCTGGCCTCTACTCTATAGATGTCACAACACTCTTCCCTTCAGTGTGACAACCAAAAACGTCTCCAGACACTGCCAAATGTCACCTGGGGGCAAAATCAACTCCAGCTGAGAGCCACTGGTCTAAGGACTGACAGCTGGAAAATACCAGGGTTATGGTCTTCAATTGACACATAGGTATTAATATTTTGGAGGCGGGGGGCAGTCTTTCCTGGCAACAGGGAGTAGGTCTAACTCTAAAATTCCTATTCCAGTCATCACATAATCTTTCTTAATCCTTCTTTAAAGCAGTTCATTTTCTAGACACCTTTCCTTCCTAATTTCTCCTCCTTTGAAAGGCTGAAGTCATTCTTCATCCATTTTCAGGGCAATAAGAATTCCCCTCCTTAAGATCCCCCCTGCCTTCTTGTAAATACTTTCTCCTCTATTCTCAACAATGTTCTCATATTCTTATTAGGTTTACATTCAAACGGCTCCCATCCACAGTGACAGCACATGGAGACAGTGGTCATAATTAGTTTGCCTCCAGCAACTGCTCTGCAGTTGAACTAGGTCTCTCTGTTTTTCTGGCTACCACAGCCTTGAAGATTAGAACTTTGAAAGAATGACCTTTTCCTGAATGAATTATGCCCTGTCTGAAGGCAACATATCCAGCAAGCAGGAAAACATAACTCCTGTAATTAATGCATTGTGACACATCTGCTTTTTGATGAGGCTTTAGGTATCTAATAAACATCTGTAACTATCTTAAAAAGGTATCTATCACATTGATAAGGGTCAAAAGCCTATAGGAAACAACTATTATTCAAGAGAAATGCTCTACTCTCTTTATACTGACAGTTTCTTGGGATTCTCCAGACTCGAATCCCAGTGTCAAGTCAACTTACAGAACTATACATCCCTGGTCCTCATCTCTCTACTACGGAATTACTTTTACAGGATTATAACATTATACCTTTAGCATTTTTCTACAGAGCAGCAAAATAGCCATATGTAGAATATCTTTTTATATATTTTTAATTACCATGGAGGAAACTGTCTATGTTGCTCAATGTTCTTTATGTAAAAACGAAGGTGACACCTCGAAAAAACAAACAAACAAAAACAAACAAAAAAAGTAGGTGACAAATTCCCCTGGAAACTAGGGGGAAATAACCTCTTTCTCCTGATCAAGAGGTACACTTTCTATTACAGAAGAACGAATATTAAAGAGCTCTTCCTGTTCTCCTTTTGTGTTTGGCTACTAGGAGAGCAGACCTAAATTCTTTGCCCCATTCCGGCAAATTTCCTCCGTTAAGAACTTTGGGCAAAACTGTTTGTCTACCCCATTCTTGCTTGTCTTTTTATTTTTATGTTAATGATTTTCAGGTGAGTTTTTTACTACAGGCTGCTGAACTATACTGCAGATAAGTAGGCTTATGAATGTGGGTGTTAAAAAAAATACAGAGTTGTTCAACATGGATGTTTTCCTAGATTAAGTTTTGATGTTTATACAACCGACTTGAAGAACACAAAAAGTTTATCTGAAATCCATTCATCAAGGCTAAGTTCTCCATACTGTTTTGTAACTTATTTTAAAATGATGGATATCATGTATGTGATACATAATGGATGATGAATATTATTTGGACAAAACTCATTATGAGTAAAGAAACAAAATTACATGTCTCTACATTCGAGTGGGTGGGTTACAAAATTACAAGCAGCAATCCCTGCAACAGGATTCCAGTGTTCTAGGCTTCTACCCCATTCTAACTATGAGGAAAATGAAATTTCATTCCATTACCATTTACTGGGACTCTGCTTTGAGAAGAGCACTAAAATAATTTGGCTCCCAAATGACCTCCAATATCGAACTTGGTGTGCTGCCGTGTAATAATCTTCCCAAGAGCATCAGCTTCCTTCTAAGTGTTAGACCCTGCCCCATTTTGTCTTTTATTTGACGAGGTTGGCTCTTTTCTTGGTGTTTCCCCTTAAGTTTACAACTTGCAGATTTCTCCCCTTCTATCAAGTTTTGATTTCTCTTTGCCCCATCTAAGACTGACATTCCAAAATCAGAACTCTGCACTTTTATTCGTCTGCTGTCCCTGCCTCCCCCATAGCCACAGATTCACTGTAACAGAACTCTGCTCTACTTTCTCGAGCACATCGGTCTTCCGGCCATAAGGTATCAGGTCCTTCCTTTCCTTCGGCTCTTATGGTGCCGTACCCGATCGGTCTGGTCTCCCAGCGTTGGGTACGTTAGAGATTTAAGTCTTTTCCCCAACTCCAGGTAGCTCCACAGATCCGCCTTCCTTCCCCCAAACCCCCGAGACCCCATCTCCACAACTTCGGCCTCAGTCCCCAGATCCACCCACTTCCAGGGCGTCAACGTCTCCTCCCCCTCACCGGGTCCTCAAGTCCTGAGTCTGACGCCCCCCGCCTCCACCCCAACCCTGGGCTGCACTGCTCCGCCGCGTCCGCACGCACCCACTCGTTGGCCCGATGGCCGAAGGTGTACAGAGCCACCTGGCTGGCCACGTCCACGATGCGGTTGATATAGGGGTCGTGGCGCTGCAGGGCCGCTAGGCTGATGTCGCGCCCCTTTCCCACCAGGCCGCCTGCCGCCACGGCTGCCATCTTCCCTCCCTCCCAGACATAGGCACGGGGCTCTTGGAAGCCACTCTCAATAGATCGCAGAACGAGCGAGCTGCCTCGCAACCGAGAACCCACGGCGACCACACGGCCCGGGAGGCCTTCCGGCTCCAGTCACCCCCACCCTCCTGCCCGCCGACAGACGCAAGGCCTCACTAATCGATGGCCGCGCCCCGCCCACTGAGGATCGTTGCCACTGGCAACGACAAGCCCAGGCCTGCCCTCTGCATCCCGTTTCTTTCTCCAAGAGCTGTTTTTCTACGCGCTCGAGCCTTTGAGCTGTGTGTGCGGTAGGATTTCCTTCTTGGATGTGTTCGACCCCTTGGCATATCTTTTCTTTGGCGCTTCAGTGATCAAATCTATCACAATAAATAAGCCTCGAGCATCAAGAACTCTGAAGAGAAAGAGAACTGAATTGATTTCTGAATGCGCTAACACCCAGTGGTTCTCAAAGTGTGGTGTGGTCCTGGAACCCTTTGGGAGTTTCTGAGACCCTTTCAGGGGATCTGCAAGGTCAAAAAAAAAACAAAACCTTTTATGACAATGCTGAGACTTACTTATTTGACTTGTTCACTGTGGTGACGTTTTGCAGACAATGGTGGTTAAAAGCGCCGGTGGTTTAACCCAATCAAGGCAGGGGCACCAAACTGTATTGCTAGTCAAAGTACGCGTCACTAATCTGCACTCTCAGTTACAAAAGAAAAAAAAAAAAAGAAGAAGGTAGAGAGCCAGTGTCACCTGATGGTGTTCTTGATAAGCAGTAAGAATTATTAATTTCATTGAAGCTTAATCCTTGGGTACAATTCTTTTTAACATTCTGCATGAAAAAATAGGAAATAGGCATAAAGCACGTCTGCTGCAAAATGAAGTGTGTCATATTTGTCTCTAGGAAAATACTTCTGTGCTTGAGTTGTAGGCCGAATTCATGTTTTTATTTTTATTTTCATAAAACATTTTTACTTGAAAGAAAGATGGGCAAACTATGATTATTCAAACAGGTACTTGACAGACATTTTTCTGAAAATAAATAAAGTGTGCCTGTCACTTTCAGGAAAACAAGGGACAATTACTGCTGCCAATGATAATTTTTAAGCCTTCAAGCCAGAATTAAAAGTTTAGAAAATGTGTATCTACTGCCATGAGCTTGACATCTCAGTACTTAATGTTTTTTTTTCTGATGAGATCAGTGATGATATTAATGAGCGCAATTTTAACAAATCTTGTATAATGGAAAGTGTCAATATCTCAAAGATCTGCTTAACTCAGTGGTCCAGTATTTTCCAAAAGACCAATGTCTCATGCTACATAATCATGCACAGGCAAAAGATCCATTCAAGGACAAGGTGGACTAATGGATTTTTAATGTAACAGTATGAAAAGTTAATAGGATTTCAGATAGTACATTGCAGCTAAGCTTTGAGAAACTCCAGCTTGTCAAGTTTTGGTATATTATCCAAGAAGAATATCCACAATTGTCTGAAAAACTCTATTAAAATATCCATCTCTTTTCCAACTACATTATCTACATATGAGGCCAGAGTTTCTTCATATACTCCAAACAAAACACACATAGCCCGGGGTCTTTAAAGTTATTTTTAATTTCCAATATGGTAAATATAGGTGGGTATAACTCACATAAACAAAAGTTCTCTGAGGGAGTCCTTAATAATTTTTAAGAGTGGGCCAGGTGCGGTGGCTCCTGCCTGTAATCCCAGCACTTTGGGAGGCTGAGGCGGGCGGATCACAAGGTCAGTAGTTCAAGACCAGCCTGGCCAACATGGTGAAACCCCGTCTCTACTAAAAATACAAAAATTAGCCAGGAGTGGTGGCAGGTACCTGTAATCCCGGATACTCGGGAGGCTGAGGCAGGAGAATCGCTTGAACCCGGGAGGCAGAGGTTGCAGTGAGCCGAGATCCTGCCACTGCACTCCAGCCTGGGTGATAGAGCGAGACTCCATCTCAAAAATAAAATAAATAAAAAGTAATTAAAAAAATAATTTTTAAGAGTGTAAAGGAGTCTTGAGACTAAAAAGTTGAGAATGGTTGATCTAAACCATTTATCTAGCATTAAATATTAGAACAACTGTGCAGACATTACTACTCACATTCATAAATTCTTACCTATTTGATATAGAAATATCATAGATACGGCACACATACCCTCTCATAATAATATGTTGCAATATAATCTTTGCAGTCACAATTTCAATTGTACTGAAATTCTTGGTTAAGCTGCATTTTGGAGTCTCAGTCCTATTGACTCCCAAGCCTAACTTCCCAGTGGGGAAGAATACAGCAATGGCTTTCAAACAACTTTTTTTTGACTGAGGCTGGGGTCATTTGCAGTCTGACTGAG